>NC_000001.11:113796259-114099289 GCF_000001405.40 Homo sapiens | reverse complement strand
TTTTCTCTGTCCCCATTGGCACAGATCCCTATGTGAAAGTGTCCTTGCTCTGTGATGGGCGGAGGCTGAAGAAGAAGAAAACAACCATAAAGAAAAACACTCTCAATCCTGTCTACAATGAGGCCATCATCTTTGACATTCCCCCGGAAAACATGGATCAAGTCAGCCTGCTCATCTCAGTCATGGACTATGATCGGTAGGTAGGCGTCCTAGAGGGACGTAATTCTACCCCTCACTCCCACTCCAGCACCAGCACAGGGCTCCTTGACCTTAGACCTTGTGATTCAGGGCTCAGCTTTAGGGTTCAGGCCTCAAATCTATCTGTACCCAAGAAGGGTGCAGGAGTTTGAGGAAGAGCATAGATTCTCCCTTAGCAAAGGTTCAAAGTTCTTTTCCCAACTGGCCTATCTCCGTCAGGGGCAGCTCTGTCCATCAGTTTCCCTGAATTCACCCCTTGCTATTCCCATTCTTCCATCTGGCACCAAGTCCTATTATCTGGCCTTTGAAATGCCCCTCTATCCTCTCTATTTCTGCTGTTGCTACTACTGTCACCCTGGGATGGCTGTGCAGCCTCCTAGCTGACCCCTGCCTCCATCAATTCCTGCCACAATTCGGTCAACATACTAAGGACACATCTTCCTAAATGACAGCTTTCTTCCTGGACCTGCCCTTCTCAAGAACCATCAATGGCTCCTGTGATCCAGGCTTTTCCCTTGGACTCTGATGGCCTTCCCTAATCTGGACCCAGCATATCCATCCAATCGGATCTCCCCTTCCTCAGATATTTTTCGTCTCTTCCACTCATCCTGCTCTTCCATCTAGGCTGGCTCAAAAACATTTTTCAACTACTCTGGTCCCCATAACTTCTTCTCTCCACTTGTCACTTTAGCTAAAGGAGAAAGAAACCATGCAATAAAGCCTCAATACAGGACTTTCAGCCCAAGTTCTCAGGCATAGTATTGACGAACATACTTAAGAGATAATTGATGTTCTTACCGAGTGAATAAATCACATTCCAGCCACTGGGGTTTTGGAGAAATGGTGCTCAGAGACTGTCGATTTATTTGCAAATACTGATGTCTCAGTGAGGTTGTAATGTGTTGGCGGGGTCAAATAAGTGAAGAGACTTAGACTGTCTCACCTCGCATACTCAGGCTATCTGCCCACCACTTCTTGAGATTCCAAACAAGTTTATAACCTTTGCTCATCTGCCTGTGTCCAGTGTCCACTGAAGGGGACTAGGCAAAGGCTTCACCGCCACTGACACCCAGAAGCCCTGCCAAGCATCTGTTTTCAGAGCTCAGAGTTCTGAGTTAGACCCATCGGGCAGAGTCCTACCACCCCCCACACTGGACCTCCTTTTCTGAGGGCATGTCTGGTAGCCAGTGCTGGGACTTTTGTTTCTCCCTCAGAGTGGGCCACAATGAGATCATAGGAGTCTGTCGTGTGGGGATCACTGCTGAAGGCCTGGGCAGGGACCACTGGAACGAGATGCTGGCATACCCCCGGAAGCCCATCGCACACTGGCACTCCTTGGTGGAGGTAAAGAAATCCTTCAAAGAGGTGGGTGAGGTCACCTGGCCCTTGGCATGTTTGCTGCATGGCAGTGTGGGCTGGAGAATGGCAGTCAGCTGCAGTGACACCCTCGGCCTTTTGTGGAAAGGTGGGCATGAGGGCCACATGCTTCTTACCCAGTGTGTAATAGGCCAAAAGGAAATGGAGGAAGAAGGTGGAGGCTGCCAACACAAAGCCCCTGGTGTTGGGCATTTTGAAAGCAACACTGAGTTCTTAATGGAAAGCAAGAACTGTGAAGAAGACTTCCCAGCAGACCACTGTGCCAGGTCTGAAATGCTTTCACAAAGCCCTTGGCCAAGTCTGTCCTTTAGGAGAAAGCCCCAAGGGGGTGAGATCAGAGCTTGGCAAGACATTCTACCCCTGTCAGAACAGTAAGTTCCCTGAGGCTCAAGCAAGGAAGTCACTTGGCAGTTTTCACTGCTTGGATAGAGATGCCAAAGAGCAGATTCCTCCTCTTATGAATGTTGGTTCTTGCCCTTGTTGGGGAAGGGAGCATGGCCTCAAGGTGTCACGCTTTCTGGCTAAAGCTGTGGAGCTGGGTTGCGTTGGGTTCTAACAGAGACGTAATGGAGACAGCACTGGGCTGGGAGTCCCAAGACTTGGGCTGCAATCTTGGCCCCTCCTGACTTGCTGTATAATCTTGACCCTGTCACTTCTCCCTCAACTGCAAAGAAAATATCCCTTTGAGTAATATCTGCAAACTTCTCCACCCTCCGCTGAATCCCACCGACTTAGGATCCTGTATTCTATCACCGTGGTGGTCCCCAGGCCTGCTTTTTCTCAAATGGATTGGAAGTGTGGGTGACCAAACAAGGCTTAAACCTCACTCACAATATCTCATACCTCGGTCTGTATCCTAGAAAGCTGGATGAATATTCTGTCATCTTAACAGGCTTCAAACCTAACAAGTCTAGAGAGCTGTATAAATTGGAAATTCTACTAATACAAAATAAAGCTTTATCCCTTTCACTGCATGGCCCCTCGGCTTAAAATTGGAGTCACCTTCAAAACAGAGTCATCCCCTCCCCACACTCTATGATGCAGAGAAGTCAGGTCTGCAAACCCATAGAACCTGCCGGCTCCCTGCCCTCTCATGGAGGACAAGCCCATTTCCACCTGTTTCTGGCAGGCTGAGGTGTCTCAGGAGAGCCTGAGAGCCAAGGGGATTGGACCCATGGAAACATAGGTGATAAGGACCTCAGTTGTTGGGGGATGGAGGACAGGCTAATTGAATCACCTCCCTAGACAGGCAGCATGTGCTCTGTGCAGCTCCTGCCCTGTGACCTTTGGGGCAGCATCAAGAGATAAAAAGAAGCAAAGTTTCTGGCAGTTGAGGCTTCATATTTCTGTCTTGTGGGTGCCTTGATTGTCCCATAGCTGTGGAGCTTTAATGAGTGAGGCCAGTCCCTCATCTCTCAGCTCCCCCAGGGGAGCCCCTGCCCCTCTTTTCCAGAAAGACCTTTCTGCAGAGTGTGGGTGAGGAGCCCACAATACAGGAGGCACTGCTGGGCAGAACGCTAGACAACCTGCAGACAGCATCCAGCACCTCACTGAAGGCTGTGTTGGTTCAACCCAGGGAGAGGTCATGACAGCCCCATCCACCCCACCACCCCTCCTCCCCCACTTATCTTCCTTTGGAGATATTTAAGAATAGAACAAGTATACTAAACTGTTTAGGGTG
The DNA here is from genome assembly GCF_000001405.40 of Homo sapiens. Taxonomy (NCBI): domain Eukaryota; kingdom Metazoa; phylum Chordata; class Mammalia; order Primates; family Hominidae; genus Homo; species Homo sapiens. The sequence continues at coordinate 114,096,033 of NC_000001.11, read as the reverse complement.
GCTTAGGGGGAGGGCATGGAATGAGAGCTAAGAGGCCTCTGGTCGGCTGTAGGGCCTTAGAAAACTCACTGCCCAGCCAGGCATAGTGGCTCATGCCTGTAATCCCAGCACTTTGGGAGGCCGAGGTGGATGGATCATGAGGTCAGGAGATTGAGACCGTCCTGGCTAACACGGTGAAACCCCGTCTCTACTAAAAATACAAAAAATTAGCCAGGTGTGGTAGCGGGCACCTGTAGTCCCAGCTACTCTGGAGGCTGAGGCAGGAGAATGGCGTGAACCCGGGAGGCGGAGCTTGCAGTGAGCTGAGATCGCACCACTGCACTCCAGCCTGGACAACAGAGCGAGACTCCATCTCAAAAAAAAAAAAGAAAAGAAAACTCACTGCCCCACTCTGGTCTTTGGGTTCCTTGGTAAAATGAGGGGATAAGCCCTTCCCATCTTTGCTTTTCTAGGAAACTCTGACCCTAAGCAATGGCTGGGCCCGTGAGCCCCCATCTTGTGCTGTGACTGCCTTTCTAATCTTCAATCCGCAATAACCCATCCCTGTTACCAGGCTGGGCCTGCCTGTGGAAAATGGAAAGTGACAGAGCAGCGGCTACAGCTGGGGGTGGGGTGTTGAGTACCACAGATGGGCCAGGACTTGGCCCCAGAATCACTCTCCTTCATGATGAATATAACCTAATTAAGCCAAATAATTGATTCCAAGTCCCTGTTTCTTTGAGAACTCTAACTCACTGGTTCAGACTACAAAAGAAAGATAAAATAGAATCAAGCCCTTGAAAATGAATATTTGATGAGACAGTAATGGGAAAGTAACAGTATATGGAAAACAAAAAGAGAATAAATTGATATCCTTTGGGTTTACTTTTTTCCTGACCTTGCAGGCCAAGCTCCCAGGAATGCCCCCTCCCCCACGCACGATCCTGCCATTTTCTGCTCAGCTGATCATTCTCTATATCAAGAAGCTAAAAATGACACTCGTCTCAGCAACCTGGGATTTCCATAGTTCACGTTTATTTAAAATTGTCACTGACACATTTAGCGCCCACAGTTTAAATATCTTTATTAAAATGCATGTAAACCCCCACAGGGCTGACATTAAGTAAGCACCTTGTGTCCACGCGATGCATTGTGCTTGGAGGCAATCCTCCCGCTCATCCTCAGAGCTCACATCCTGCCTTCTTTTCGTTCCCGTTCTGGATATTGAGCAAGAACTTTGCTCCTGAAACTTGTATCTCCCATTTGTATAATCATAAAGAAATCTCCTCCAGCTCCTGGGAAGATAAATGGCATCATATCCGCAAAGCCCTCTGTATTTATCTTGAACCTTTCTTAAGGGATTTTCAAGTGCTGTGATCATTTCTTTTTTATTAATGAGAACAGAGGGCATTATACTTGCTCACTTGTTTGGGGCTCAAAATAAGGCTGAGGGGAACAAATTAACTGAAAAGGTGTCTTTCCCTGCTGGGATTCTTTCATAAATAAAAATTCATTGAGCCATCACAAGTGGCCTTTCCCAGCTGCAGCACCAGCCCCCTTCCCTCTCAGCCCAGAGCCATGTGTCATCATTGTTACCACACACAGAGTTGACCAGCGCTCTTCTCCAAGGCATTTTATTACGGGGGCCGGGTTCAGATCATCTGCCAGAGATGTTAAATCTCTGTTGGAACGTGACCCATTTCAGAGCAACAAAAGACCTTACTGGAACACAGGCATTCTGAAACAATAATCTCCCTGTGTGCTGGGGACAGGTATGCTGCCATTTCAGAGCCACTGTAAGCCTCCTGGAATCATTCGCCTTTCCATTGTCCACAAACCCCATCTCCTCCCTTTGTTTATCTTCATAGGAAAACTCAGACTAGCAGGGGAGCCAGTGTTCCTTCTTCATTTGTTCTAGATAAACAGTTATGCTCCCTGCTACTACTCTTTGGGCTGTTACATAAAGGAAGAAAGACACTCTGTGTAGTCCTTTTATGTTTTCTCCTCTGACCTGGCCTATCAGTCAGGTTGTTTAAGTGGCATGCTTACTCAGGGAAGAAGCCAGTGATTATAATGTACCTTTCACCAACAGTAAAGGTTGTAACAGAAAAGTAGAACTCCTAAAATGAAGGTCTGTTAAATAAGAGCATTAGTAATCATGTGTTGTCACCTTCTGGTTAAGAAACACTTGAGTCAGAAGCCACAGTGGCCTCAACAACCAGGCATTTATTTATCTAAAATATTTCACCAGGGAAACCCTCGGTTGTGATTTCATTCACGTGGATGCTGCAAGCAGAGAGACTGCCACCTGGAGTTAGGAGTAAGTACCTGGTGTGGACCCAAAGACGTTAGGTTGCTTATTACCTTTTGTCTCCTTCTTCCCCTAGTGTGGCCAGATGCTGAGATAGCAGCAGGATGGAGTGGAAAGAACACTTGGTTGGGTGTTAGGAGACCTGGTTTCGGGTTCTGGCTCTGCCCCTAGCTAGCTGTGTCTTGACTTCTCTGTCTTTGTTTTCTTATTTGCGAGAACAAGAAGGTTAGACTGGATCAGCTTCCAAGCCTGCCTCCAGTGCTGACATGCTAAGATTGCTTAGGTCTAGGTCACATAATGGTGGTCATCGGTACCTGATTGTCTGGCCTTTGGTTAGTCATAAAGATCTTCAGCTGGCCTGAACAGGGAGTCCTAAGAAGCCCATGAAGAACCGAGCCCAGAGAAGGGTAACAGAAGCTTTCCTTAGAATTGAAAGCATTAAGGTAGTTTAGTAGGTCTGGGTCCTTCCTGAACTTCATGGGTTTCCCATCTACTCCGCAGGTGATGCTGGATAGAAAGTGATCTATTCCTCAGGTGGCTCGGCCCTTCTAGGAATGGCTGTATTGAGGGAGAACCACATCCTCCCCCGACCCCAAACCTCCATGTATGCATGATGCATAGTAGCAGCTTCTACTCAGCCCCCTCACTCCATAGTGGAGACCCTCAACGCTCATGAGAAGCAGAAGGGGCTGCACTTCCAGGTCAGGAAGGCCATCTTGACCACCTACCTACCTCTTAACTCTGGAGCTCTGTCCTGCAGACACCCAGGACAGTACTGGGTCTCTTCAGCCCACTCCAAGGATGGGTGAGCAGTGGACACTGACTCACTTTGAAGTTATTAACATAAAGCCCCCAGGCAGGTCAAGAATATTCATGGGGTCAGATCTTTGCTCAGTAAATATTGCTGGGGTTATGACTGCTGCAGCGATGACTGGTTAAAGAAGGATTGAATGGTTCAAGTCCACCCAGCCTCAGCCCTGTCCTTCACTCCATTACGCCTCATTACATCACCCCTTTCACAGAAGGGTTAGAGTCAGGCTGATAGGAGGCAGTCTGTGACCTAGGAGAACTGGGGAGGAGAAAGGGGTTGCAGAAGCCCAGAAGGGTCTGCTCACACCTCTACCTCTCCACAAGTCAGGTGCAAATGCCCATAGGAAGAATGAAAAACAAAGGAGACAGCTCAAAGCTAAAGCAGTATCAGATTTTTAGCTGTACTGTCAGCTCCCAGACAAATTGCTAATAATGCATGACCATGGGTTCTTGGCAGTAAGGACATATTCTGCACACTGCCTCTTTCGCTGCTAACATAATATGATTTTCAGTGTGAAAAATGGCTGAAGCACACAGAAATGGCCCAGTCAGAGCACCTCATTCTCACACACACACACACACACACACACACACAGAGAGAGAGAGAGAGAGAGAGAGAGAGTTAAGAAAGCTTTAATTATCTCTGCAGTAGGTCTTTTTGAAAATCAGGTATTCCAAACTAGAAGCTCTAAGCTGTTTCCCTTATGTTTTTGCATGGCTGACAGCAAAATTCAAGAAAGCTTATGAGAAGCTAGGAAAGGTGAATTCAGTGCATTGGGCCAGTTCAGTTTTGCAAGTTGAAATGTAAATTCCTTTAGCAATTAATAAACAGATTGTTCTCCTCTTTGCAGTGGCAGGGCCGAGCTGCTAGCTTCGACAGTGAGAGCTCGTGCCCATCTCCGAAACCACCTCCAACACCATGAGATGTGCAGCCAAATAACACAAATGGGACTCAGCAATGTTCTCTTTGCACTTGTTCAACCGTCTAAACAGTGTTGTGCAGTCGCAGTGGCGGCAGCAGCGGCAGCCGTCCGTCACTCCAGAGTCTTACCTGCTCCTGTGTAGGTCAAAGCTGAGACACTTGTCATGTGGTCAGATCTGTCTTAGTCTTTTGTGTCTCCCAAGGTGATGTTTTTGTGGTTTTTCACTTTTTATGGGTCTGCTGGTAAGAAAAGGGAAAAAAAAAAAGAGTAGGAAAAGACAAAGGGTGGAAAGCCCAGAAGTTGGTTCTAGAAAATACAAGGTACAGTTTTTTGGAAAGAGGTGGATTGAGTTTCTGAAATGCTGCGTCTCCAGCAAGCTCCACAACCCTGGAAAAGGAGGAGGCGTGGTGGGACTGCGGCTGCATTTTCAGTGCCCTGCAGGAATGGGGTGAATCCATGGAAGAGCCTTTGTGAGGTGAATTACTAGTCTTTGAAGCTCTTCGCTGGCAGGACATAAACCACGCTGGGACCCTCAGTCCCGTGTTGAAATCACAAGACCTCTGAGGCGCTTGTGAGCCTTCAGCTGATGTGCAGGGTTCCTCGCTCCCCTTCCTCGCTGGCTTTCCCCATGAATTGAAAACGTCTTGATTCCTCATGGGAACTTAGTCACTTTCTTTAGGAATGATTCAGTTCAGCCGAAACTAAACACGCCATATGTTTTCTGATGCGCCACAGTTAATGATCACATTTGTTTGAAAACAGGATCTTTGTCCTCAGAAATAATCTTGATTGTAAAGTAAGAGAGAAACATATGTTCTGGAATGATTTCTGCATTATACATAGCTTTATAATTCCATGAAGTATCAAGCTGCTGTTTAAAATGCCTAAACAGATTAAAGAAAAACCTAGATTAAATGTTCTTTTCCAAATGGGGAGTTTTGAAATCCAAATAGCAGTTTGAGTCCATCTTTCTATGAAGAGTATGTTTTTGATTGAAACCGAGTCAGCGTAAGCCTATTTCAGCCCCTTTGGCTCTTTGACAATATTCATCTTAAACTTTAGTTCTATAAATTACTAAGTACTTCAGTGTTGTTTGTTTCAGTGGTTGTGAGGGTTTCTTGTTTCCTTTAGATCTTTACCTTAGGCCAAACTCAGTTTAGGAAAAAAAAAATTGTTTGAACTATTCTGTGTTGTAATAGCACATTTCTGTTGAGTTAATAGTGGTCTTCCCACCAACCCCTAAAACCAGGTTGATTTGCTCAATCTCAGTTTGTATAACCCCAGTAAGCGCATGGAGGTGAGTTTCTACTTCGACTTGTGGCGACACAGTGCCAGTTTCCTGAGCTGTGTGTACTACTTGCAAGAGGCAAGTCTGCTGAAGAACCCCTTCTTTTAACAGTGGAAAATCAAGAACAGAAAATCTGTTCACACACCTGTGTCTTATTCTTTATATATGCTACATGGTAGAGGAGCAGCGACCAATAAAGTATCCCTCATTTTAAACCAAGTTGTCAGATTTCTCTGCTGATAGAACGCTGCATAGTATCTTCTAGCCCTAAAAATGACCAGGTTGGGCATGAGTTAACAGGATATTGTGGCAAAAGGAATTTTCTGCTTAGAAAAGTAAATGTAGATAAACCTAAACTCCACCCTGTACTGAGCCTTAGGCTAGGGACTCATGTGTAAAGATGACTTTTCTCCCCAGATATCTTGTCATTGACAGGCCTTCCTAGTCTGGTAGTCCTACATTTGGGTGTTCTCCTGAGAGTGAGAAAAAACCCAAGGTCATGACAAGATTCCTGGCAGGTGACAGACTTCATTATGATTCTGACTCTAGACTGACCCCATCAAGATAGTCGTTTCCGTCAGTGAACAGATGCTGAAGGCCTTGCCATTACAAAGGAGACAACTGAGTTCCCTGGGTCATAAGGAGTCCAGAAATTAGTGTGAGAAGGTCCTTCTGGAAGTGAACTCAAAATTCATGTCCAGCTGTCATCGTTAAACCCTTAGGCAGGTGAGTATAACCCATTCTAACCTCTTGGAGAAGGGAGTGTGATCAATGTGAATCACAATAGTATTGCTCATCTGAGACATTCCTCTTATATCCAAGCAGCTATCTCCCATGAGTGAACATCCCAGTGGTTTCAGAAAATCATGTCCTGAACAGATTCTAGCCAGCCCCACACCACCCTGGCCAACTGCAACCGCTGCTGCTCTAGCAGTCTGGGTCAATTCCTACAGGCTTGGGAGCCCACCCCAGGGAGGCTTTTATCTCCTGCAGCCTCATCCCCAGCACCCTCAAGGTAGACTACTCCTCAGCCTGAATCATGAATGAAACCTGAACATCTGCCAACTTCATTATCTAGCCCAGTATCTCTTCCCTCACAGAGAAGAAGAAAATGAAATACAAAGTTGATCCATTTGTTGGCTTTCTCTGGCCGGAGAAACCTCTCGGGTTGTTGCTGTGAGCTTTGATGAAGTTGTGATAACCAGGGCCATTTGCACATAGGTTTTTTTAAAAAACATGAAAAGTTCCCTTCTCCTTTATTTAGCAGTGTTTCCGGGCTGAAAGACGCCCTCCTCCCCCTCTGCGCTTACCCAGGACGTTAATTAATTGCACTGTCATTTAAAATATTATGTTGTTAATTACTCGTTTGTGTCTTCCCACCCGTGTCACAGCCTGGAGTTTTTATTCAATTAAATCTCTGTCTCTTGCCCATTTCTCTTGTCATTTTATGTTCCTGGGGTTTAGCAGTCAACACACGCACAGGACATCTCAAAGCTTTTCTTCTCAATCTTTGCTTCACATGGATAACCACTTCCCTTCTATCAGAGGTAGAGCAGAACGGCTTGTTTGTTTTTTGTTCTGTCCAAGGAATACCTGTGTACCTCATCAGGCTGGAATCCACCTGTGTTTTGTCAGGCTTGTGGCTCGGAGATCATTTGGCGCACAGGGCTCCGCTGTTCCCTCAGCTGTTCAGCTCAACAAGCAACCCCTGCAGATGCTGAAGCTCCCCTAGGGAAGTGGGCCACACACATCTGGGAAGTACGATGCTGTCACCCACCAGTAGAGAATCCTGCTAACCATCGTAAAACACAATTTGGCAAAGCCATGGGAAAATACTATTGCAGCCTCAACATTTTTTTTTAAAAAAAGAACATTCTAATGTAATAGAATATCTCTCTGCTCGCCTGCAGCTTTTAATTAATTTAGAGAGCAGTCCGTAGAGAGGGGAGTGGAAGGGACCGTCCATTCCTGCACATCTGCATCTGAATGAGGGGTGCTCCACCGTGAGAGGCCCAGTGAGCTGAACTGCTGAGAGCAGCACTCTACTGCCTGAAGAGGCAGCCTCCCCTTGCCAGTGGCTTCCCATCAGGTCACCCAGCAGCCAGCAGGATGTGGCAATGTGCTGGTCACATCTAGAGCTGATAAACCAAAGGGGTCATTGTGTCTGTTAGTATGGGTTGGGCTATGCTGCAATTACAACCTGCAGATTGCAGTAGCTGAAAACCACAAAAGCCTATTTCTCATCCATGATAGGCGCCCATCACAGGTCAGCTAGGAGCCTTGCTCAGCTATCACAGGTCAGCTAGGAGCTTTGCTCATCGTATTTATTCAGGGGCACTCAGGAGGACAGAGCAGCTGACATCTCAAACACTGCTAGTTGCCACCCATAAGGGAGAAGAGCACTTGGAAGGGTCTCCTACTGGCCTAAATGCTCTAGTAACACGTCACTTTTCTTCACAGTCCATTGCCAGAACTACTGATAGAGTCTCACAAAAAAGGCTCGAGTTCCCCAGGGAAAGAAAAACTGGAAATACTGAGTTAGCAGCACCTGGGAAGACCCACAGTGAATGTAAACAGGCCTGTGGAGACTGACAGCTACTGAACGATGGATTCAGAAACACTAACAAACACAGGCATCCATGTGTTCTATTCATTGTCAAATGACTTGCCCACAGAAAGCTTTTAGTCTAGTACAATGGCACTGAGTAACAATAGTTCAAGGTAGAAAATGGAAATGCAGTTAGGGAGGTGAAGTAAAAGGCTATGGAGGTCCAACAAAGAACATCCCAGCTCAGCAAAATGAGTGGCAGCTTCAGGTGCGAAGTGGCTCTGATCTAGGCGTTGAGGCTGAGTGGGATTTGGAAGTGTGGAAGTTGTGGGGAGGAGGCATATTGCAAACTGAGGGGCCCACACAAGTGAAGGTCCAGAGCCAGAATTCCTAGGGCTGCCACTACCCTGAATCTAGGGGAGACAGTGAACCCCCTGAGTTCAAGTGCTACCCTGCTTGCACTAGTCAGCCCAGGCAGAGTGCAGGACTTCTGCCCATGGAGCCCTGCTGTCCCCAGCCCTGGCCCCAACCCACCAGACTCTAGACCTGGCCCCTGTGTAGCTCTTGCCGACTGCCTCCACTGGGAGGTGGACCTGCTGCCCCACCCTCCATTGGTGGCTTGGCACCTGCTCCTCTGACTTTGAGACTCAGTCTAGCAGCCTCATCCCATCCACTTAACCAGGCTTTCCTCCCTGGGCTGTTTATCAGCCAGAAGCCACTTGGGACTTTATGATCTGTGCCACATCCTGCTCTCCTTCAGGGTGAGCCCTATCCAGAGGTCTGATTCCTTAGTAGAAGGAACAGGACCAGCCTCTCCCCAGCTTTCCCTTGGCTGGTTCATAGCAGCAAGCCCATGTGGAGAGACTGGAGGTGAAGAGATGGGCAGGCAGTTGTGGCCGTCCACTCAAGAGGGAGTGTAGGACTGACCCAGACACAGGCAGAGTACCTGTACAACATGTGGTGGTCACAGCCAGATGTGGCGGTTCACACCTGTAATCCCAGCACTTTCAGAAGCCAGGGTGGGAGGATTGCTTGAGCCCAGGAGTTTGAGACCAGCCTGGGCAACATAGCAAGACCCCATCTCTATTTTTAAAAAATTTGATGGTCACAGAGGGAAAACGCAACACCACTGACAGCTGAGCTCATCTGAAAGACAGGGAGAGGAAAGGGGGTTTCCCAAGTGTTGGATGTTTTTATACCTTGGAAACTAAGTGTTCTATGCCTTCCACAGGAACCAGAAATTCAGCAGAGCAAGAAAAAGTGATGAGTCCCATTTGGGCCAAACTCAGTTTGAGATGCTGGAGGGATGTCTAGCAGACAGCTGCAGTTCAAGACGCAGCCTGGCAGCGAGGTCAGGTGTGAGATGTTAGTTTATAGAAACCTTGCACCACAAAGCAATGTGAAGACAGGAGGCTGACGCTGCCAAGTGAGTACAACTAAGCGAGTACAACTAGATGAGGGAGCCTAAAAAGAGGTTCTTCAGGAACCATCAGCATTTAGAGGTCAAGGGAAAAGAAAGTGACGTGAATCATGATGGAGAGGTGCCCAAGCAAGGCTGATTGATGCAAATGCTGATGAACAGAAACAGATCAATCAAGGGCTTCCTAAAATGATTCTTCATAACAAGCGAATCCAAGTTGCTTCAATATAACTCGATTCACGAAAGTCCATTTCCACCTATGTTTGCAGGGCCCCAACTCTTTTTTTGTCTCCCATCAGCTCGGCCCTTGATGTTTTGAAAAGAACTGTGTAAAATATACATCACATAAAATTTACCATTTTTAATTGTATGGTTCAAAGGCATTAAGTACATTCACATTGTTGTGCTAACATCAACGCCATCCATCCACAAAGGTCTTTTCATCTTGCAAAACTAAAACTCTCTACCAATTAAACACTAACACCCCATTCCTCCCTTCCCCCAGCCCCTGGCCACCACCATCCTACTTTCTGTCTTTATGAATTTGACTCCTCTAAGTACTTCATATGAGTGGAATACACAGACTTTTTCTTTCATGGCTGGCTTATTTTACGTAGCATCACGTCCTCAACAGATGTTGTAGTATATGTCAGAATTTCCTTCTGTTCTAAGGCGGAATAATATTCCATTGTATGGATATGCCACATGTTGTTTCTCCATTCACTCATCAATGGCTATCTGGGTGGGTTCCATGTTTTAGCTTTTATGAATGATGCTACTATTATTGTACACTATAGGTGTGCAAACATCTCTTTGAGACCCTGCTTTCAATTCTTTTAGGTGTATACCCAGAAATAGAATTGCTGGACTATATAGTAATTCTGTTTTTAATTTTTTTGAGGAACCACCATACTGTTTTCCATAGCAGCTGCACTATTTTATTACATTCCCATCAGCACTGCACAAGAATTCCAATATCTCCACATCTTCACCAACCCTTGCTTTTATGATAGTAGCCATCCTAATGGGTGTGAAGTAGTATCTCATTGCGGTTTTGATTTGCATTTTCCTAATGGTTAGTGATGTTGACCATCTTTTCATGTGCTTAGTGGCCACTTGTGTGTCTTCTTTGGAAAAAATGTTGACTTAAGCCCTTTGCCCATTTCGAACTGGGTTGTTTCTGTTGTTATTGTTGAGTTGTAGGAGTTTCTCTAAATATTCTGGACATTAATCTTTTATCAGATATGTGATTTGAAAACATTATCTCCTATTCTGTGGGCTGCATTTTAACACTGTTGACCATGTTGTTTGAGGCACAAAAGCTTTTAATTCTGATGAAGTCCAATTTGTCTTTTTTCTTCTGTTGCTTGTGCCTTTGTATCCAGTAAATCATCACCAAATTCAATGTCATGAAGATTTCCTCTGTTTTCTTCTAAGAGTTGTATAGGTTTAGCTCTTTACATTTAGGCCTTTGATCCATTTTGAGTTAGTTTTTCCATATACTCTAAGGTAAGGGTCCTACTTTATTCTTTTGCTTGTGGGTATCCAGTTTTCCCATCATCATTTGTTGAAAAGACTGTCCTTTCTCCCATTGAATGGTCCTGATACTCTTGTCAAAAATCATTTGACCATATATGCAAGGGTTTATTACTAAACTCTCTGTTCTAATTATTTGGTCTATATGTTTGTCTTCATGCCAGTTCCATACTGTTTTGATTACTGTAGCTTCGAAGTAAGCTTTGAAATCAGGAAGAATGAGTCCTTCAACTTTGTTCTTTTTCAAAATTGTTTTGGCTATGTAGGGTTCCCTGAGATTCCATATGAATTTTGGAATGAATTTTTCAATTTCTTTAAAAAACATCATTGGGATTTTAATAGAAATTGTCTTGAATCTGTGGGTTACTTTGGGTAACATAGGCAGGAACCCAACTCTTGAAGACACTATAATCACTCCACAAGGTGCCATTTGCTGACATTCTGTCCATAAATCCACCTCTGCTCTGAGAACCCTCCTGATATACACATGTTGTGATCCTTGGTACAGAACCAAGTACATGTGGAAGTCAAACCTAGCTAACCAGACCTTTTACACTAAACTCAACTCTTACCAAGTCCCTGTGAAAGTCATCTCCCACAACTGCAAGTGTCCTGGCCCAATTCCTAACCCGACAACAGAACTCAATCCTGAAGCCCAGCTTCTCTCTCCTGCGCTACCTCAGCCCCAGAATGCTCAAGAACTTCAACTGGGCTTACTCACATTATGGCAGGCTCACCTCTTTTTCTACATACACATGGGTATTTACTCATCTATTCACTCAAAACACATGTGTTGAGCATCTAAGGTATATCAGGTATCATGTTAGAGATGAGGACATGCAAATTTAATAATAATAATAACTAACATATACTAAGCAGTTACTATATGCCAGGCATTGTTCTAAGTGCTTTACATGCAAAATCTCATCTAATTCTCCCTCCAGCCCTAAGAGGGTAAAGAGCTTGCCCAAGATCATGAAACTGAACCCAGGTAATTAAATCCCAGAGCTCACATGCTTAAGCATGATGCTAAACTGCCTTCTAATAAAACATAGCTCTTTAAGGAGCTCACAATTCAGAGGAGACAAACGAAGAAATAGAAAATTACTCTGTAATATGGTAAAACCAAACCTTGAGAAATACCTGAGATTTAAGACATCCTAGAGAAGGATTACCTAACCCAGACAACTATGCATATCCCTTCATGGTGTACCCCTAAATGTACCTTCTGAAACCCCAGCCTCATCCCTTCCAGGAGAGGGTCCCGTGATGGCCTCTTTGAGAACCATCAGTCATCCATACTAATTTGATCCCCCATATCAATTACTCCTCCAGGAGCAGCTAAAGAGTTGTGGGATCTGCCTATCAAACCCAACCCTAGCCAGTAAACCCAAATGACAATGATGCAAATGATGGACAATGCAAGGAAGAATGAAGTCAGTATAACTTCACAGCTCTACTGAAAAGCAGTGTTGAGCTTCAAAAAGGCAGGAGAGCTCATCACGCTGTTACAATATGCAGCTCCAGACAAAACCTGAGCCATGAGACTTGACGAAAAAGGAAATTTGGTGATGAGCTGATGAGCTGCCACAGGAGAGGGCAGACAATACGGAGGGTTCAGAGGAACCCTGCAAACTCAGGCACTCCCACAGGCTAGCTCAGCTCTCCTGCCTCCTTGCATCTCTTTCCTTTCAGTACCAGAGTTGTGAATCACCTCCTGCAGCAATCTCACCTGAGGGCAACCAACTCACAGTAAATTAGTACTGGGGAAAGGAATGGAGGAGATATGTGACTCTTTTCCCTGAGGTGGCTCTTTTTTCCACACAGTTTGGGGAAGTTTGGTGACACATCAGAGATTATCCAGAGATACACAGAGCACCAATGTGGGCAGATGCCCCAGGCTTTCGTGAGCCATGTAGCATTTCTGCTTTTCTCTGTGGCTTCACCTTACAGTCTGTACCTAGGCTAGGCCTGTGGGAACATTTCAGGCTGGAGCAATAAGGAATGAAACCTGGGGCTAGAAATTCTGTTTGTGGAAATGTGAGTCCCTGAGATGACAGAGGACTTGCTAATCACAGTTGAAAGGGCTATGGCCCTTTGTACCATGGTCTTTCATCTCTCTGGAAAAATTACCAACAATGACACACAGCAGTTAAAATGGATTGTGAAATCAAAGAGCCAGACAAACTTCACACATTGTCTTCCTTAAATTACTAAGAACTTTCTTTGCCGAATGATACAAATATACCTGACTTACTGTGCAGAGAGATTCCTCATCTGCCTTCTAGATGCTAACCTGTAGCTGTCCTCCTGCACCTGGCTCTCCCTCTCCCTGACAAGGAAGTAAGGGCCAGAGGGGGGTGTGAAATTGTATTCTTCAGTTTATTTAATCCCTGTGGCTACCTAGCACGTGAAAATAGATTTGCCTCTTTGACACCAATACATTTGGTAAGCTCAAGAGCCTAGAGGCAGAAGACCTGGGTTAAATTCTGGCTCCTTGAGCCTCCCCAGTCTGCCCTGGATGGATCACTTATCCTCTCTGAGCCTCACTTCCCTCATCTGTAAAACAGGGGGATGACAACTTTCATGGCAGTGGTCAGGCTCGGCTTCTGACCCCATTGTGAGAGCATCCTGCAGCCTAGCTGCCTGGACAGTCTCCTCTTTCTCTGAAGGCCCCTGCTCAGCCTTTACAACCGGGTAACTTGTGCTGCTCTTAAGCCTGGAGATGGTGGCAGGAAGCACAGAGGGGGGTGTAAGGAATAAATCAAGTGGCTGGGTAATTAATTTAGAATAACTTAAGCACTGAATGTGGAAGAGAAACAAAAGTGATGACATTTAATGAATGTGTCAGTTGATATCTCACTCATTCCAGCTGTCTTTTAAAATGTCAAATATCCCCTTCCTTTTCCTTGCAGCTGGAAGGTACATGCTAAAAACAACAATTCTGTCCCAGTAGGTTAGCACAGGCACATAATTCAGAAGCAGGACGTCCTAGAGGCTGTAGGAACAGGAGACTATGCCCATCACCCTAGACAGCTGGACGCTGCAGCTGCTCCTTGCGCCCCACACCAGGCCACTCTCCTAGCTCTTCAGCTACCTTCTTGCTATCAACCATAAAAAAACACACAAGACGTCGATGCCAAGAGAAAGACAGTCAGTGTGCTTTAGGGTCCTTTCCCCTGTTTGTGTCTCTTCAAACTTCTCAGGGCTTGAAAGTTTTCGAGAGAAAACCTTAGCTGAACTCCAGGGAGAGAGAAAGCCAGGAGACGGTTGCCCCAGAGAACTCCAGGCTCAGGCATTTCCATTCTGAGCTGATTGGCCCTTGGCTCAGTCTTCTATAAATACCAGATACTGCTTCAGAGACAAACCAGGGGAACAAGCCAGCTGGATTTTCACTTTGGGGGAAAATGTCAAGCCAAGCGGCACCAAACACTTTTCATCTCAAACTCCAACTCTTACCCCCTAAAGGGAGCTTCCTCACTTTCAGCCACAGCTGAGCAGCCGCCTCTTCAACCTCACAGGGTGCTGAGCTACAAGGAGGAAGAGCCGCTAAAGAGCAAGCAAAAAACTGGCCAGTGGTCAGACAACCCAGAAGCAGAAGTGACCTCGGCAGTCCGAAAAGTTCCAGCAACCCGAGCTTATTGACCCGAGAGCAGCTTCTGGCTTGAGGAGCAGAGAGGGCCGTGGTCTTCTAGGCCATCTGGGGAGAGGCGCAGAGTGAGCTAGTGTGGGACAACTATGAACAGCTCAGCTTTGGCCAAGCACAGCCGTTCAGGGAAGACACAGTGACAGGTCAGAGCAGAGGCCACCCTTCCACTGTCCAGTTTAGAGCCAGGTTGTGCCGGGAGTCCATACCAGCCCCTCAGGCAAAGGCGGAGCTCCACTGCCTCAGTGCTCCCTTACTGAAGGAGCAGAGCCCAACCATGCCGACGCTCACCCCTGCTGACCTGCTCACCGATGCTCAAAGTCAATGGCTTCTTAAAGGACGTGTTTCCAACCCATATTCTCCTCGGCTGCCAAAGTGCCTCTGGCAGCCAATCAGCCCCTCCCTCCTGGAGGTTCTCTCCTTTTCTGACTCAAGGATCCTGCATGAGATCCAGCTTTGCTGCCATCCTGACTATTCTGCACACCTCCTCAGTGAGAAGGCTCCTCCAGCCCTCCACCCTCTCCCAGCACACTCTTACCCCCACTCACCTCCACCTCCACTTCACCCACTGCCTCCACGCCAGGGCTGACCTGCGTCCCCAGCTACCATTATTCTTCTGAGCACCAGGCCCAAATTGTCACCTGCCGTTAGACAAGGCCCTGAGATATCCTGCCACAACCTAAACCCAACATATCCTTCAGAGCTGCTCCTCAGCCTCTGCAGACTTCAGCAGCATTGTCCCATCAGTTTAACCCTTGACTCCCCTCTCTCCCTCAATCCGCCAGCGTGTCCCATTTACTTATTCTGTGTTGTCTCCTTCTTCTTATCTCACTGCCCCACTCTCTCTGGGCCCTCACTACTTCCCACTACTGTTATCTCTCCTACTAGAATTTCAACTTCTCACCCTCCTCTGTGCCAATTGAGAGATTAAAAACTCTAATACCTTCTGGGGCTAAGCAGGTGTAAATGTGTGAGGCTGTAAAACAAACGTAGAGTTGTAGGTTGTGGGAACTGGAAGGTGAAAGCTCTATTTAAAGACATTCAAATGCAAATTAAAAAAAAAAAAAAGGCTGGGCACAGTGGCTCATGCCTGTAATCCCAGTACTTTGGGAGGCCAAGGTGGGTGGATCACTTGAGGTCAGGAGTTCGAGATCAGCCTGACCAACATGGTGAAATCACATCTCTACTAAAAATAAAAAAAAAAAAAAATAGCCGGATGTGGTGGCAGGCACCCGTAGTCCCAGCTACTTGGGAGGCTGAGGCAGGAGAATCACTTGAACCCAGGAGGTGGAGGTTACAATGAGCCGAGATCGTGCCATTGCACAACAGCCTGGGCAACAAGAGCAAAACTCCGTCTGAAAAAAAAAATTTTTAATTTAAAAATTTTTTTTGAAAAGCTAACACTGTTGGCCAAACTAATAAGATTCAGCCCCTGGACAACTGCTTCTGAACCCCTAAAAAGCTGTTCTCCACTTCCCTAGTAATTTATTCATCCTAAAACCTTTGCCAGGCATCCCACTATTACTCATAATTTTTTACTAACTCCCCTTTTGCCCACAGAAGGAGAAAGGAATGATTAATGTTTGCATAGAGCTTTAAAAATTACCAAGCACTTTGCCTTACATGAAACTGACAATGCATTAATCTGGTGTTCAAAACACTTCATGGGTCTTCAGCACCCGTTTCTATGGCCAAATGCAACACCCTCCTCTCACCATGCTTTGTTTATACTCTGTATCTTCAGGATACCCTCCCTAGTCTCAGGAAACCTAATCCCACTTATTCTTGGGGCCTAACTACAGCCTCTCCTGAAAAGCCTTCCAGAAGAGCCCTGCAGGGGATAGTGCTTTTCCCTCCCATACCTTGAGCCGGTGCTGGGCACACTCCCTTATTAGAAGCTGGTGTCCTATTTCTTTCGTGCCCTTTCTCGCCTGGCTCCCTCCCGCTGCCCTGCACATCCAGGTGCCCCATCATGGGGAGCCTGTCAGAGAGGAGGCACCTACAGCCAAGAGGGGAGGACACACGAGCCAAAACCAGAGTCAAGTACCCAGATTCAGAATACCCAGCATGAGATTCAGAAAACAGTTAACATAGTAACCCCACAAACGTGGTCTGTGATGGACAATGCAAGAAAGAAGTCTTGGTGTGATTTAACAGAGGACGCTCTCCATCGGCGTCTCAAACTTTACTGTGCATTTGAGCCACCTAGAAAGCTTGTTAAAAATGTAAATTGCTACCCACAGAAGCTCTGATGCACTAGATTGGAGCCTAGGAATCTGCACTTCAACAAGCTGGCTGGTGTTTCTGATGCATAACAAAGTCCAGGCACATGCATCAAGGAACATTAAGCCCAGAATTAGAGATTTGGCTTTACCTGGCATGGGATGGTTGTTCCTAAGTTGAGAAGACCCTGACCCAGACACAGCTCATAGGGGGATTGTGTTCCCCTGTGATGGGACTTGTGTGTCTACTTAGGTCTGTTCATGAACAGTTTGGGGGTGTGACTGTTTCCCTCTCTGGCATTTGGCCGGCAGCCCCATGAGCAACACACTGCCAGACTTGCACAGGAGGGGTGTTAGCAAAGGCACCCCCTCTGCGAGCCTTGCCCAGTGCCCTGAAGGTCACCCCACACCAATGCCACTGTAATTCAGTCCCCACTACAGCAGGGTGAAACATCTGCTTCCCATGACCACAGAGCAAAGGCAGAAGCAGACAGGTTGATCATGACTGAGAGCATCTGTTTTAAACCAGGCTAACTGCAGGTTGGGCAGAAGCAGGGCAGGAGGCAGTGGTGGAGCGCTGCCCTGGCCTGGGCACCTCTTCACACCCCTCTCCCTAACCCAGTCTTTTCTTTCCTATAGTCAGCAACACTTTCCTAAGCACTGAAGGACAGATACAGGAGAATGTTAGGAAATAGACTCTAGATTATTGGGGTCTCATCAGGGCAGAAGGTAAGGGTAAAGGTGGGTGTCTCAGGGGGCACTAGTCCTAGCCATTGGGTCTGAGGATGGAAGATTAAGTGAGCCTCAGTTTCACTGCCCATGAGAAAATGTCTTGAGTTGCCCCACAGCAGTGACCTTTCTCCCAAGCTCCCAACTTCCTGCTGAAGAACTCCATGTAGAAGACTGCAGTGGACTCACACTCAGTGCATCTGCTATCAACTGACACTCCTTCCTTCTGGCCACCAGTCCCCTCCGGGTCCCCTCTCATTGATATTCTTATCCCCAGGCCCAGACGCTCTGACTCATCTTTTCGTCCTTCCTTCTTCCTTTCCTTTCCTTTCTCTTTCTCTTTCTCTTTTTATTTTTTTGAGACAGGATCTGGCTCTGTCGCCCAGTCTAGAGTGCAGTAGAAAGGACATGGCCCACTGCAGCCTCTACCTCCTGGGCTCAAGCTATCCTCCCACCTCAGCCTCCTGAGTAGTTGGGACCACAGATGTCCACCACTGTGCCCAGCTAATTTTTTAAAATAATTTTGTTGAGATGGGGGTCTCACTATGTTACCCAGGCTGGTCTTGAACTCCCCTGCTCAAGCGATCCTCCCACCTTGGCCTCCCAAAGTGCTGGGATTACAGGCATGAGCCACCATGCCCAACCTTGATTCATTTTTCTATTCCTCACTCACTTCAGCCCCAATCGCTCACCGAATTCTGTCCATTTCACCCACAGAACATCTCATACCTGTCCCCACCTTTCAGAAACCACACCTGCCTTAGTTCAGGACTTCGCTTCTGTCCCGGGCCTCCAGGAATTTACTAAGGGGTCTTCAGACATCTGCTCTTCTACCTTCCTAGCCCTTTGGTTCCCAGCCTGGCACTCTTAAATATCTAGGGGTCTTCAGTATTTAAAAGAACTACTGGAAACTATACATTTACCCCAATAAAGCACCACAGACTATTGATAAATGTAATGTGTTAAATGTCCAAAATCAAACTGCCAGATCTATGGGGGTAAATTAATGAAAGGGATTTCCTGGTAATGAAAGGTTAGGACCCACTGCCAATCTACTTCACACAGCCCCGGTTAGCTATCTCTCTGAAACAAAGGTCTAATGTCACCTCTCTTAAGACCTCAGTTCCTTCAAATTCCCTGCTGTGGCATTTGAGTCCAGCCATCATTGGGCCCTACATGGTCACTTTCTCTCTCTACCCAGGCTACATTTTCCAAATACCCATGCACTTTCACTTTTCCATGACTTTGCTAATGCCTCTCCCTCATCCTAGAATGTTCTTCCCTCCCTCCTTTGCTCCTTGAAATCTTTCTTATCCTTTACGTTCTTGCTCAAACATCCCTCCTCTATCTTTCCTGAGTTCTGCGTCTCTCAGGTCATAACTATGAGCTCCTTCTTGTTTGTCCTTGTAAGTCCAGTGTTTGTACCTTCTTTCTAGCACATATTTTATTCCAATGTATGTTACAGTAGGATCTCCCACATCAGAGTAGAGGCTGCCTGAGAGCTGACGCCCATGGATGGCCCCACTTTGTCCACACTTTGCATAGTCCCTGACACATATTAAGTGCTTGATAAGTGTTTGTTGGATAAACAGACATGTGAGTGAATGAGTAGACAGGTTCTTTTGCAGGATAAAATCCATATCATCACAATGACCCACAATGATCCCACTGCCCCTGTGGTCTCAACTGGCCACATAGGACCAGAATGGTCACTATATTCCAGTAATACTAATACTAATCACAGCAGCTGTCATCTGTTACATGATTATGACGTGCCAGTCACCATGCCAAATTCTTTACATACATTATCTAATTGAGTTCTGACATCAACCTTTTGAGGTAGGTAATATTAATATCACCTCATTATATGGAAGAGAACACAAGGAAGAGAAGTAAAGTAACTTGCCCAAGGCCAAGGGAAGGAACTGAGAGTCAAGCCTAGATGAACCTGGTGTTATTTGCTTTATTTTGCCTGTGAAGGGCATGGGCACCACCTCAGCCTGTGCCCACTGACTAAGCCAACAGCACAGATGACAGGTTTCTCTCTTGCCAGGGAGACTGTGAGTTCCACAGGGCAGATTGGGCCCAGGCCACAAAGGACAGACCACTGACTGGGCTTGCCCTTCCCTGGCCAAAGTGCAGGTGCTACCCGGGCCTGTGCCACTGACAGTCCCCAGACCGCAAGTGCTTCCTCTTCCCTACACCAGCCTTCCTCCCTCTGCGAGGCAGTACCTGGTGTCGAGCACCTCTGATGATGGATGCTTTCAATATTTTGGTCAGTCCCACTAAGAAGTTTTGAATATAAACTGGGCTAGCAGGAAAAGGTAATTAGGCAGTGCTTTCCTGATGAGGGAAGAGGATCAGCAGGTGTCAGATCAGGGATCAGAGTCCTGGTGTGCATTTAATCAAGTATTGCTGTTCTGTTCACATGTTGGATGGCAAAGCTTGAAAAAGTCTTAACCCATCTCTTTCTTCCTAACTCCCGGTAGAGGTGGAGGAAGGAGCCCAACGGTGCCCTACCCCCAAAATCAGCAAAACAAAACAAAACTGAAACACAAAACAGAGCTGTCAGCATCCCACGCCTCCTTCTTCTGCATTCTCAGCCCTTGATTATAAAAAAAATAACCAAAAAAGAACAGAGAGAACCCTGGGGACAAGGCTCTAGACAGACCCATGGCAGACAAAAGGATTGGAGGAAAGGGAAGGAATGCTTAAAAAGCAGTTAGGCAGTAGCTTGGAGTCATCTTATTTAAATTCTAAACAAGACCAGTATTCTGAGATAACAAAAGCCACTGTGTTTAATTAAGGGCACAAATGGTAGAAATATGAGACAGGAGCTTTTACGAGCTGTTAATGAGATGGATGAGAAACCTCTAAAAATAAGCCACAGCAAGTTTAAAGGGTAATTAGGGGTTCAAAAATAAACAGAGGGTGTCAATTTAAGAAAAGTTCCCTGTGAGGGCTCCTCCAATGAGTCCTCAGTAGGTAGGGCAGGCCAAAAAGAGAGCCCCCCAAGGAGTCAGGAGGCAGGTATCCTCTTCTAACTTGGCCTTTGCTCCTTCCTAAACTTTTAAGAATCCTAATGAGCTCCCCGGCCCCACCACCACCCACAACAAGCAAATAAAGCCACTGTGAGGCAGCCTATGCCTTATTTAACATGTAGTCTCAAAAGAGGCCTGAGCAAATATTGGGGGGTGAGAAACCTTAAGAGCAAAGTTATAAAAATCAATCCAGTTCCTGCATTTGAGTTGATAGCCAAGATTTGTGCCTACGTGTGTGGGTGCATGGACACACAAACACACAAACCACACACTCGCACACACAAACAAACCCCCACTTATCAGTTGAGAGCTCCACTCAAGGCCATTGCACATGAATAGAGAGTAGGTGTTTGCTAACCCTTGAGGTGAAGTTCTTGCATGCCTCCCACCTCCTGCCTCCCACCTCCACAATCTTTTTCCCCTTCCCCATTACTGCTTAAAATGCTAGCACATTAGGAAGCTGTTCTGTGGTCAGGTAAGTTGGGGAAGTTCTTCCCATAATATGCCCTTCTAGGAGATGCATGTTCATACATTTAATGGTCTAAGAACTGTGATCAGGAAATCTCTTTTTGTTTGTTTAACTCAGCATTTCCCGAATCCTTTGCACAGGTAATCCTTTTCCCACAAAGTACCATTTACCATCCCTCCCCACTACCTACCCCCAAGTGGCAAAATTTGGGGGCATTAAACACTCCCCCAAAGGACCAGGAATTGTCCATAGGGAGGGATAACTGTAGCACAGGCCTCTTGCTTCTCCGTGGATGGGGCAGGTCAGTGGTTTCCCTCAAAGGGGCTAAAGAGCAGCAGGGCTAGTTATGGGGTGGGGGAAAAGGAGACCCACAAAGGGAAACAAGGAGCTCTGGGATAAGCATCCTTCCTTTAATTCATTTACTCTCCTGCCAACTTCTGTGCATATATCAGGTAATACTGGTCTTTATGATTACAAAGTGGTGCCCACCTCTGGAGAGAATTCTGGTCCAGATTCTGGTCCAGTGCATATAGCTCTGCCCTGCCAATTCTGAGTCCCTTCTGCTCCTAATGGGAGCTGAAAAGTGAACTCAGTCAGAAGACCTGTGCAACCCAGGCAAAGTATTATAACTGAACCCATTTTTATCACCTTTGTTCATTTGTAAAATTAGGACAATAACAACAGCTACTTTACAAAGTTGTTTAGAAGAGTAAATAATATATGCCAACATTTAATATCTTGTGGTATACTATGCAATATGAAGTATTTGTAATGATCAGAATACAATATTTTCTCTTTCCCTCTACACCTCCTTGGGTGATTTCCTCCACTCCCAGGTCGTGATTCCACCAAAATGTAGATGGATCTGAAAAACATATTTCCACCTAGATCTGTCTCCTGAATGCTAGATTTCTGCCACAGATTGGGATTTATTGTAAGAAAGCAGAAATCCAATGAAATCCAAGAACAGAAAAGTAAAATATTGCCAGATATGAGAGGTTCTAAAATCAGGAGAAACCCATTAAGAACAGAAGCAACAACTCTATCTCTCCCTCTCAGGAGTCACCAGTCTCCAGGTGTCTGCTCCATTCTCCCCTGGCACCCCACCTCATTCCTGTCTACTCATCATGCCCCCAGTGTATAGGACCCAACTGAAGAGCTCACTCCAAGTGATAATAGACCCAATGTCTCCTTGTTCAAAATTCGGGAGAAAGAGTCTGCTTTGATGAGCCTATCCATTCAACCCTGACAATGTAAGTCATAGGATTTGCTGCCCTGGGTTAGGTGTCCATCCCACGTCCATGTGGCATATAATGCTGTCCCTTCCAGCATCATTGAATAAGACAAATAATGAAAGCCTGTCAGTTTCATTCTATTGCTTGCCTGGCACACATAACCTTTTCCTTATTTGGACATTTTCAAAGGTGCTTTCGTCTAATTGATCAAATTTACAACTATAAATCATACATCCTCTCCCCCTAGGAAATAACTTGAAGTCATATTCTGCTCCTCATTCAGAGGCAGTGAGTGTCTCAAGGCCATCTCAAAGGTTGCCTGCCTGCCTCAGAATCCACAATATTCAGGTTATATCCATTCCTCTCCTGTCCAAAGGTGACATCTCATCTTCCTACAATCTATGAACTAAATGGTAAACTTAACCTCTGCCATAGCCCAATATTCAACAATGGAACAAAAATGGGAAGATAGCAGAAAACAATCATTTACTTAGAAGAGGAAAGAAAGAGATCTCTAGGATAAGAGCCATACAGTGGCTACTTTTCTAAGCAAATATTTAATCCTGAAGCTACAGGGAACCCTGACTGACACTGTAAGGCCAATGTCCTTGGAAGCCTGCATATTCTTAATAGTTGAAATAAGTCCTGAGGACCAGGCCCATCAATTTTCTGTTGCTCAGAACCCAGGATTAGGCTCTTCAATCTGACTATCCTTCTCTTAATGACCGATGCCACTTAGTACAAAAGGGACGTAGGCAAAAAGTGCTAGCTATTTCTTTCCTAATCTGTCTTTCCTTATCCATACTTCAATCCTGGCTGTTAGACTTGCCTCCCAGTGGGAAGGGATCTTCTTGTTTTGTAGGGAAGGCAGAGTAAAAAATGCCTTGGAGAAGCTTGTGGGAGTGTCATGTTCCCCAGCAACTCCTTCTAGATAATCCTTTTCCAATGGCCTAAATATCCATCTTTGTCAATCACAGCTTTAGCACTAGAAACTCAATGAGACAGAAAATTAGGACTAGACCACAGTTTGGCAAGGCCCATTAGTTTCTGGATTTGAATCTAAGTAATCAGAGAGCTCCAGTTACAGACAAAATGGGCTTCCTGCCCCAGGATTACATAATCACCTTGCTTTTCTTATTTGCTGATAGACAGGCATTCTGGATAGAAACGTGTCTCTTTGCTGCTGGCCTTAATCTAAGATTCTAAGCAATAAATAATCTGCTTCCTTATTCTTACATTCAGTCATCAAGCCTCCCAGAGCTCCACCTTTTGTATGGTTATGTCCTGGGTCTCAAGGGATTGCAGGTGACACTTAACTAGTTTTTCACCAAAAATCACAGCCTGCAAAATTCTCATCTTGTAATTTATTTTAGATTATATCTTCTCCCAGTGATACCATAACTGTCCCATATTTTAAGGCTCTGTCACTTGAAACCCCACTCCTGGTACCAATTTCTATTCTAATTGCAGGCTTTCTGGTCATATACTAAAAAGGATTAAAGTTTAAAATTTAAATATTTAACATTTAAACACACACACAGAAAGAGAGAATTCACAAGAAACAAGAACAGCCAGGCTCAAGGAAATTAGAACTGAAAGTGAGAACATAAACCAGGCATCTTTTCTTTCTCTGTCTCTTTCTCATGGGCAGTGACATATTCTCTCGGTTCTTCATCAATTTGTGTCTGTTCCATTCTTTTCTCTTTTCAGGTCTTTCAGGAAGACAATGGCCCTTTCAGCAACTTACATACGGGCCCAATGGCTATCACAGCCCCTGAGTTTGTAAGACCTTCCAATACCAACGTCCATCAGTTACTGGCAGTAGTCAGTGGCTTGGTTGGTTGAAACTCTCCAAAAACAAAATCTGATTGACATAACTCATTTGTTTGAGCCACATGTGATGGTTAATACTGAGTGTCAACTTGATTGGATTGAAGAATACAAAGTATTGGTCCTGGGTGTATCTGTGAGGGTGTTGCCAAAAGAGATTAACATTTGAGTCACTGGGCTGGGGAAGGCAGATCCACCCTTAATCTGGTGAGCACAGCCTAATCAGCTGCCAGTGAATATAAAGCAGGCAGAAAACCGTGAAAAGGAGAGACTGGCCTAGCCTCCCAGCCTATGTCTTTCTCCCATGCTGGATGCCTCCTGCCCTCAAATATCAGACTCCAAGTTCTTTGGTTTTGGGACTCAGACTGGCTCTCCTTGCTCCTCAGCTTACAGATAGCCTATTGTGGGACCTTGTGATCATGTAAGTTAATACTTAATAAACTCCCACATATATATATATGTATATCATATGTATCATATATATCCTATTAGTTTGTATTTATATATATAAACTAATTTTATATATATCCTATTAGTTCTGTCCCTGTAAGAGAACCCTGACTAATACAGATTTTGGTATTGGGAGTGGTTCTAGAGGAACAGAATATTAAGGATGGAGTTCTTTCATTGATTTTGGGGTTTCTGGAGTCAGCTGCTTAATATGATTAGACCCAAAAATGCTAAGGATTCTACTTCTAATAGTATGGAAAACACTGATAGTCCTTGGCATGAACTATTTAGACAGTTATGCAAAATAAATGCATTGGACACTCCTGATTCACTGCTCATGAGAGGCTAGTTTAGTAACTCTGTACATAATACCTTTGACCATATGTGGAGAACCAAGGAACATAACGAAGCTGGTTGGTTTCTTCTAAGTTCAGTGGGCAAAGTGATGAAAGAAAGTGATGAACTCAGGGATTCTGTCTCCTGGATTCAGAAGCGGATACTGAACCTCAAATCTGCTAAGATTGCCCTTAGTGAGAGTCTTATATCCTATAGAGAAAGAGCTGAAATTGTGGAAAAACAGACACAAGCTCTTATTATGTGAGTTCCTGACCTGCAACAAAAGGTGCATGCACAGCCTCACCAGGTGTCTACTATTAAAGTGAGGGCATTGATTGGAAAAGAATGGGACCCTGCAACTTGGAATGGGGATGTGTGGGGGGACCCTGCAACTTGGAATGGGGATGTGTGGGAGGACCCCGATGAAGCTGGGGACACTGAGTTTGTAAACTCCGATGAAACTTTTTTGCCAAAAGGAACAGCTTCCCCATCCCCAGTAGTGGCAACATCCCCTCCCTGACCCATGCTGCCATCAGCCTTTCCACCTCTGTCTGAGGAGATAAACCCTGTGCTGCCTGAGGCAACAGTGATGGCCTCCCCTGAGGCAGTTGCCAGGCAAGATAATGTTGATTCTCCTCAGGAGCCACCCCCAACACCCCTGTTTCCTTCTAAACCCATAACTAAAATCTCAGTGGGCCGCTAGAGGTGAAGTTGATAGTGTGACCCATGAGGAGGTTCACTACACTTGAAAAGAACTCCTTAAGTTCTCTAATCTCTATAAACAGAAATCTGGAGAACAGGCATGAGAATGGATATTAAGGATGTGGGACAATGGTGGAAGGAACATAGAGTTTGATCAGGCTGCATTTATTGATTTGGGCCCACTAAGTAGGGACTCTGCTTTTAACGTTGCACCTCGGGGAGTTAAAAAAGGTTCTAATAGTTTATTTGCTTGGTTAGCTGAAATATGGATTAAATGATGGCCCACCGTGAGTGAGCTGGAAATGCCTGATCTTTCTTGGTTTAATGTACAGGGAGGGATCCCAAGGCTTAGTAACATTGGGATGGTGGAGTGGATTAGCCACTTTAGACCTACTCATCCCAGCTGGGAGGGTCCAGAAGATATACCCTTGACCAATGCCTTGTGAAATAGATTTGTGAGGGCAGCACCTGGATCTTTGAAGAGCCCTGTAATTGCTCTTCTCTGTATGTCAGATTGAATGGTGGGAACTGCAGTTACCCAACTACAAAATGTAAATACAATCCTGAGGTGGCAGGGGCCAAGTGGCAGCACTCAACCATAAAAGGCAAGGTGGGTGTAGCTACTGTAATGGACAGCAGAGGCAAAGTGGCAATTAGAATAGTCTGACTCATGCAGAGCTCTGGCATTGGATACTTAACAACTGTGTTCCTATAGGTGAAATTGATAGGAAGCCTACTGCATTCCTACTTAATTTATACAAGCAGAAAACTTCTAGGTCAAATGGATAAAAAACTAACATGAATTATAAAAACAGAGAATCATGGCCCCTCAATCAGTTTCCAGACTTTCCAGCCAGTTTACAGACCCAGAACCCCTTGAATGAAAGGGAGGCCAGGTCCCCTTGAGAAAAGACCCCACTACCGACAATTTATACAGTAACTCTCTCTCCCATCCTTCCCCAAGGAGACCTCCAGCCTTTTACCAGAATAACTGTGCAATGGGGAAAGAGAAATTATCAGACATTTCGGGGACTACTGGACGCTGGCTCTGAGTTGGTGTTGATTCCAGGGGACCAAAAATGTCATTGTGGTCCTCCTGTTAAAGTAGGGGCTTATGGAGGTCAGGTAATTAATGGAGTTTTAGCTCATGTCCAACTTACAGTGGGTCCAGTGGGTCCCCAGATTCATCCTGTGGTCATTTCCCCAGTGCCAGAATGCATAATTGGCATAGACATACTTAGCAGCTGGCAGAACCCCCACATTGGCTCCCTGACTGGTAGGGTGAGGGCTACTATGGTGAGAAAGATCAAATGGAAGCCATTAAAGCTGCCTCTACCTAGAAAAATGTAAATCAAAAACAATATCGCATCCCTGGAGGGATTGCAGAGATCAGTGCCACCATCAAGGACTTGAAAGACACACAGGTGGTGATTCCCGCTACATCCCTGTTCAGATTCAGGGATCTCCCATTCAGTTTGTGCAGAAGACAGATGGATCTTGGAGAATGACAGTAGATTATTGTAAGCTTAACCAAGTGATGACTCCAGTTGCAGCTGCTGTACCAGGTGTACACATTTCCTGGTACCTGGTATACAGCCATTGACTTGGCAAATGCCTTTTTCTCCATTCCTGCCCATAAGGCCTGCCAGAAGCAATTTGCCTTTAGCTGGCAAGGCCAGCAATACACCTTTACTGGCCTACCTCAGGAATATGTCAACTCTCCAGCTTTATGTCATAATCTTATTCAGAGACACCTTGATTGATTTTCGCTTCTGCAAGATATCACACTGGTCCATTACATTGATGACATTATGCTGATTGGATCCAGTGAGCAAGAAGTAGCAAACACACTGGACTTATTTGTGAGACATTTGCATGCCAGAGGATGAGATAAATCTGACTAATATTCAGGGACCTTCTACTTCAGTAAAATTTCTAGGGGTCCAGTGGTGTGGGGCCTGTAGAGATATTCCTTCTAAGGTGAAAGATAAGTTGCCGCACTCAGCCCCTCCTACAACCAAGAAAGAGGTACCACGCCTAGTGGGCCTATTTAGATTTTGGAGGCAACACATTCCTCATTTGGGTGTGTTACTCCACCCCATTTATCAAGTGACCCAAAAGGCTGCCTGTTTTGAGTGGGGTCCAGAACAGGAGAAGGCTCTGCAACAGGTCCAGGCTGCTGTCCAAGCTGCTCTGCCACTTGGGCCATATGACCCAGCAGACCCAATGGTGCTTGAGGTGTCAGTGGCAGACAGGGATGCTGTTTGGAGTCTTTGACAGACCCCCATAGGTGAATCACTGCGGAGACCTCTAGGATTTTGGAGCAAGGCTCTGCCATCTTCTGCAGATAACTACTCTCCTTTTGAGAGACAGCTTTTAGCCTGTTACTGGGCTTTGGTGGAAACTGAACATTTGACTACAGGGCAAGTCGCCATGCGACCTGAACTTCCTATCATGAACTGGGTGCTTTCTGACCCATCTAGCCATAAAGTGGTTCATGCACAGCAGCATTCCATCATCAAATGGAAGTGCTTTATACATGATCAGGTTTAAGCAGGTCCTGAAGGCACAAGTAGGTTACATGAGGAAGTGGCTCAAATGCCCATGGTCTCCACTCCTGCCACCCTGCCTTCTCTTCCCTAGCCTGCACCAATGGCCTCATGGGGACTTCCCTATGATCAGTGGACAGAGGAAGAGAACATTAGGGCCTGGTTCACAGATGGTTCTTCACGATATGCAGGCACCACCCGAAAGTGGACAGCTGTAGCAGTACGGCCTCTTTCTAGGACATCCCTGAAGCACAGTGGTGAAGGGGAATATCCCAGTGGGCAGAACTTCAATCAGTGCACCTGGTTGTGCACATTGCAAGGAAGGAGAAATGGCCAGATGTGCGATTATATGCGGATTCACAGGTTGTAGCCAATGGTTTGGCTGGATGGTCAGGGACTTGGAAGAAGCATAATTGGAAAATCGGTGACAAAGAAATTTGGAGGACAGATATGTGGATGGACCTCTTTGAGTGGTCAAAAACTGTGAAGATATTTGTATCCCATGTGAGTGCTCACCAACGGGTGACCTCAGCAGAGGAGGATTTTAATAATCAAGTGGATTGGATGACCCATTCTGTGGACACCACTCAGCCTCTTTCCCCAGACACACCTGTCATTGCCCAATGGGCCCATGAACAAAGTGGCCATGGTGACAGGGATGGAGGTTACACATGGGCTCAGCATCACGGACTTCCACTCACCAAGGCTGACCTGGCTACGGCCACTGCTGAGTGCCCAATTTGCCAGCAGCAAAGACCAATGCTGAGCCCTCAATATGGCACCATTTCTTGGGGTGATCAGCCAGCTACCTTGTGGAAGGTTGATTATATTGGACCTCTTCCATCATGGAAAGGGCAGAGGTTTGTCCTCACTGGAAGAGACACTTACTCTGGATATGGGTTTGCCTATCCTGCACACAATGCTTCTGCCAAGACTACCATCCGCGGACTCATGGAATGCCTTATCCACCATCATGGTATTCCACACAGCATTGCCTCTGACCAAGGCACTCACTTTATGGCTAAAGAAGTGCAGCAGTGGGCTCATGCTCATGGAATTCACTGTTCATACCATGTTCCCCATCATCCTGAAGCAGCTGGGTTGATAGAATGGTGGAATGGCCTTTTGAAGTCACAGTTACAATGCCAACTAGGTGACAATACTCTTCAGGGCTGGGCCAAAGTTCTCTAGAAGGCTGTGTCTGCTCTGAATCAGCATCCAATATATGGTACTTCTTCTCCCATAGCCAGGATTCACAGGTCCAGGAATCAAGGGCTGCTAGTGGAAGTGGCACCACTCACCATCACCCCTAGTGATCCAATAGTAAAATTTTTGCTTCCTGTTCCCACAACATTTAGTTCTGCTGGCCTAGAGCTCTTAGTTCCAGAGGGAGGAACACTGCCACCAGGAGACACAACAATTCCATTAAACTGGAAGTTAAGATTGTCACCTGAGGCCAGGTGCGGTGGCTCATGCCTGTAATCCTAGCACTTTGGGAGGCTGAGGTGGGCGGATCATGAGGTCAGGAGATCGAGACCATCCCGGCTAACATGGTGAAACCCTGTCTCTACTAAAAATACAAAAAAATTAGCCGGGCGTGGGGTGGGTGCCTGTAGTCCCAGCTACTCGGGAGGCTGAGGCAGGAGAATGGTGTGAACCCGGGAGGCAGAACTTGCAGTGAGCCGAGATCGCGCCACTGCACTCCAGCCTGGGTGACAGCAAGACTCCATCAAAAAAAAAAAAAAAAAAAAAAAAGATTGCCACCTGAACACTTTGGACTCCTCCTACCTTTTAGTTAAGAGGCTAAGAAAGGTGCTGGCTGGGGTGATTGACCTGGACTATCAAGATGAAATCAGTCTACTACTCCACAACAGAGGTGAGGAAGAGTATGAATGGAATACAGCAGATCCATTAGGGCGTCTGTTAGTATTACCATGCCCTGTGATTAAGGTCAATGGGAAACTACAACAGCTCAATCCAGGCAGGACTACAAATGGCCCAGACCCCTCAGGAATGAACATTTGGGTCTCTCCACCAGGAAAAAAACCATGACCTGCCGAGGTGATTGCTGAAGGCAAAGGGAATACAGAATGGGTAGTAGAAGGTAGTCAGTAATACCAGCTATGACCACGTGACCAGCTGCAGAAATAGGGACTGTGATTGTCATGAGTATTTCCTTCTTCTTTTGCTAAAAACATGTTTGTGCATGTATACACTTGTGCTAAGAAAATATCTTTATTTTATTTCCTTTTCCTTTTTCGTGTGACATAAGATTTATTGACTTCATATCAGCATTTAAGTATTGTTAACTTTATGTAATAGTATTTGGGTTGGGGATTGGTGCATTTCTGGTTGGAAAAAGGATAGTTGTATTAAGTTAGATGCAATTATGACATTATTGTCTTTATTTGCAGATTATGAATGATCTCAGGAGATGTGTATGGGCTCAAGTTGACAAGAGGTGAACTTGTGCTGGTTAATACTGAGTGTTAGCTTGAATGGATTGAAGGATACAAAATATTGGTCCTGGGTGTATCTGTGAGGGTGCTGGCAAAGGAGATTAACATTTGAGTCAGTGGGCTGGGGAAGGCAGACCCACCCTTAATCTGGTGGACACAATCTAATCAGCTGCCAGCAAACATAAAGCAGGCAGAAAACAATAAAAAGGAGAGACTGGCCTAGCCTCCCGGTCTACATCTTTCTCCCATGCTGGATGCTTCCTGCCCTCGAACGTCAGACTCCAAGTTCTTTGGTTTTGGGACTCGGACTGGCTCTCCTTGCTCCTCAGCTTACAGTCTATTGTGGGACCTTGTGATCATGTAAGTCAATACTTAATAAACTCCTATATATATCCTACTAATTCTGTCTCTCTAGAGAACCCTGACTAATACACCATATCATACATGAAAAATTACTGGCTAGCCAGTGTATTCACTGCCATTGTGTCTGACATTGATTCCATGTCCAGTCAGCATCCGCGGACATGTAAGAACCATGCAGTCTGTAATTCTGTCCCTTCCTAGAGTTATGAGCAGCCAAGCATCCTGAAACATACATAGCAGAATATCCATATATTATACATATCTCTACTTGGAATCCATAGTCCCTGAAAAAGAGTCACAACCCAAACTGAGATTATAATCTTTCCGTACCCCAACTCTTCTCCTTCCATGATCCCAATCTCAGTGAATGGCATCACCATCCATATGGTTCTCCAAACTAGAAATGAGGGTGCTACCCTCCACTATGTTTTCTACTCTATTCCCCACATCTAATTAAACATCAAAGTTTACTGATTTTTCCTGCCAAATATCTCTTGAATTCATCTACCTGTCTTGAAACCACCAGAATTAGATTATGCTATTATAATCTCATCGCTAGTTAATCCCAATAGCCTTCTAACCAATCTCCCTCATTCCATCTTTCTCCTTCCAAAACATATGATATTCAGACACATCTGATCATGTCTCTCTCTGCTTAAAACCTTTCAGTAGTGTTCCAATGTTCAAAACCCTCCATAATTTAGCCTTCACTTACCTCTCCAGTCTTTCCACTTGACTTCACTCTGAGATAGAGCTAGGCTGAGCAATTTACAGTTCCCAGAAGCCACATTTTCCAGTTTTTCTTTCAGCTCACCTTTGTTCATGCTCTGCACCTCTCAGGAAGCCTTCCCTGACCTCTCTTAGTCTACATTATATGTGTTTTCTGTGCACTCTCATAAGGGATTTAGCATTATCATAGTTCTTATCACTCTGTATTGTAAGTGCCTATTTCTTTATCTGTATATACCCCAAGACGTTAAATTTCTTAAAGGCAGGGACTGAGTCTTTTTGATCATCGTACTTGACACATATTCAATACAGGTTTGTTGAATAAAAGAGACACATTTATCTGTAAGCACTTCTTTGTTATTACAATAATTGCTAGCTTTTATTCAGGGTCTTCTATTTTGTAAAGGATATTCACAAGTTGTGTCTCATTGGATCATCCCAGCAAACCTGACATAAAGTCTTCCCAGCTCAGACACAATGCCAAGAAAGAAAGAAAGAGGAATGTCACTCTTATTTACCTAAGAAGGAAATGTAATTCAAATATATTAAGTGACTTGCCTGTTGGCAAGTGTCTAGTACTGACTCCTATTGGGGAAATCCATAAGCAACACAGCTGGGCAGCAGGTATCTATCTCTGTCAGAAAAGAAATCACAAGAATGAGCATGTTCTAAAGAAAAATGTGCTATGAGTAGTGACATTTGAGACAGGAGATGCTGAAGCTGATAGGAAGACAATGAGGAATCTATTCCAGGAGTTTGCAACTGCCACTTAGATACAAGGGAATGGATGACTTGGTCCTCTGGCAAGTAGAGTGGATATTATGATCCTTAAATGATGATTTATGATGTTCCCTAATGGTAGTGCATATGGCTGGGCTAAGCAAGGATTAGATACAATACAACAGGCTCAGTAAGCTGCTAAATATTGGCCAGGGAAAGGTTAGGTACGGGGTGGCCTGATTTTCCATAGAACAACATGGTGAGGTAGGCCAAGTAGAAATCAAGGGTCAGGGAGGGTGTAGAATACAGAATGGGCTTAGCTGCTGCTGCCTATGAGGGATGAGGTCTGCCACTCCATACGGCCCTGTTCCAGCTGTATTCCAATTACCATTCAGAGCCTACTCTCTTGATGATCAATAAGAGCACTATTTGTTACTGTTGTCATTTTTATTATTAGTTTAGTACTAAGACATTAGAGCACTTTAACAACAACAACAAAATGCTTCACATGTAGGGAAAAAACTTAGGAAAAAAAGACCTGGCTCAATTAAATAAGATTATGTCCAGAAAACCTAAGCCATTGACAGATCCACAGTAACAGATGCACATCTCCATTTGTAGTACCAGTCATACAGAAAGGAAAAGAAAAAAGTGACGCAAAAAACAAATAGCTACAACAAACAGCTTTGCCGCTGGGCAGATCTCAGACAGTCAGGAGTTCCTTTGCTGGTTCCAGTACTTGTAGTTGAATTAAAGCTCCCTAAATGCGGACAAAGTCGTTCTAGCAGCTAAACACGTGTTTGCATAATTGAGCTAACCAAAAGTAAATTAAGGATCTGTGTTTCTGGGATCCACTGTTGAAATGCACTGTGGTATGGCCTAGTGTGAAAAAAAATCATTAATCCCAGGAGCTGATAAGGCAAGGGTTTTACCCGATGACTGAGAACTACAATTTTTAACAGGAAGTAATTTCTTCCAGCTGTCTGCCTTGCAGAGTTACAGAATTTCCAGCTATTTCAAACGTCTTAGCCCTTGCCCTGCTAAATTGGGCTCAGCCCAGCCCCAATTCCAAGAATGTAAATTTAATTTAAGACATACATAATTTGAAGATGGCTGGGTGCAGTGGTGCATGCCTGAAATCCCAGCACTTTGGAGGCAGAGGCAGGCAGATCGCTTGAGCTCAGAAGTTTGAGACCAACCTGGGCAACATGGTGAAACCCTGGCTTTACAAAAAATTAATTAGGTGGGTGTGGTGGCATGCACCTGTAGTCCCAGCTACTCTGGAGTCTAAGGTGGGAGGATCAACCTGAACCCTGGAAGTGGAGGTTGCAGTGAGCTGAGATTGCACCACTGCACTCCAGCCTAGGCAACAGAGCAAGACTCTATCTCAAAATATAGATAGATAGATAGATAGATAGATAGATAGATAGATAGATAGATAGATACATAGATACATAGATAGATAGATAGATTTAGATAGATATATATGTATTAGTTCCCCGTTTTCCCATCATCCTTTAATCTGGTGGGGATTAATTTGAGAATGCAAGCCCTAGTATGGAAAAATGGGCCTCACATTGTGCTCAAAGTCACTTTCATTTTAGTCTTAGCTGGGCCACTATTATATCTCTCACATCCAATCTACAAGTGCTGTTGGCTCTATCTCTAAACTATCTCCATTTCCAGCTCCAACCCAACTCCTACCATTGCAGGGTTTTTGGGGTGTCACTCTTCTGGCCGGAAACCTCCGTGATCAGTGTTACCTTTGCCCAAGTTTTGCTCAGACCCACTGGACTCATTCCACCCACTCAGCCTGGCACACTGCACTCAGCTCATGATACCAGCCTGGATCCCACACCTGCCAAGGGGGAGCCAGGCATGGAGCGGTGAGGAGTATGTAAGCAAGCAAGCATGGGGTCTGGCACTGCACACAATCAGGCATGCCAGCTGCTACAGGGGACAGGCAGCTCCAGGTGATAGTATGGGTGCAGACTCTCTGCAGGGCTGCAGCTGGATCAGGTGCACAGCAAGCAGCTTCCACAACTGCCACTGGGAAACACAGCAGCAACCAGAAGCTTGGAGATTCCAGGAACCACAAGGCCCCAAAGAGTGAGTCACAGCTCTGGCTCGGGGAGTTCCCATGTCTGGGCTCCCCATAGGGCTGCAGCTCTTCTCTCCTTCTCTTTACCTGCAATGTGGTGAGCAAGGGGCATGTTTCAGCCCTGTTTGTGTTATAGCCCTTTCAGCCTTGCCATTCAGCAGGTCCCAAGTTCTTGTCTTGAGTCCAGGAAGAATGAGGTACATGGACAAGTGGATGGTAAGCAAAGCAAAGAGAAGCTTTATTGAGTGACTGAATGGTTCAGAGGAGGCCCTGGAGTGGTAGCTCCTCTCTGCAGCTGGTCATCCTGACATCTGCTCAGCTTTGGCTGAGCCCAGGGCTTTTATGAGCCTCAGTGGGGAGGAAGTGCATGCTGATTGGTCCCTGGGCAGCCATGGGCAGGCCCAAAAGAGGCACCACAAGCTCCCACTCTGGTCTGTGGGACTGGCAGCCTGGCCCCCACCCAGCCTTCAGGCCCTCTCTGGCCTGAAGGGGCAGGGCTCCCACTTGTCCCCAGCTCCTGCTGGCTCCATGGAGTGGGCAGCCCCAGCCACACCTCCCTGCTGCAGCTGGCATGATGGCAGTGGCAACTCCAGACAGGCTGCCACTGCCATGACTACCACTTTAAGTCACCATCATCTCTCCCCTCTCTTTGGCTTGCTGTAAGGGCTCCTAACTGGTCTCTGCTTCCACTCTTTCCCCCGCAGTGCATTCTCCACACAACAGACAGATCCTTTCCTTTGTAATTTTTAATATGCATTTTAAAAATATATATAAAAGTATAGTATAATAAAGCCCCAATTATTTAATTATTTTCTGAAATAAAGCAAATCCTAGTCATCATAACACATCACCCATTGCCACTTCCACATTGCCACTTCCACATCTCCAACTAATACAGACTTTCTTATTTCTTGTTTGTCTTTTTGTCACTCTCAGTATATGCTTAACAGACTTTCTTTTAGCCCCAAAGCATGCTATTATCACACTTAACAAAATAAATGATAATTATGTAATATAACCTATCTAATACCAAGCCCATATTCAAATTTCCTAGGTCATCTCAAAGATCTCTTTTTACAATTAGTTTGTTTCAATAAGGATCCAAACTAAATCTAAACATAGTGTTTGCTTATGTCCATTAAGCCTCTTTCATTCAATAGTAGTCCTCCCTTCTTTCTTTTCATGTCATTGATTATCCTCTTTAAAATATAAATTGATCAGGTCATTCCCTGCTTCAACCCTCCTGCCCCCCAACAGCTTGCCTTTGCAGTTAGAATTAAACCCATAAACCTTACCATGCTGATATTATTTGGCTCTGTGTCCCACCCAAATCTTATCTTGAATTGTTATCCCCAGGTGTTGAGGGGAGACCTGGTGGGAGGTGTTGTGTCATGGGGGCAGTTTCCCCAATGCTGTTTTGTGATAGTGAGTTCTTACACCATCTGATGGTTTTATAAGTGTTTGGTACTTCCTCTTGCTCACTTCTTCTGTCTCCTGCTGCCCTGTGAAGAGATCCCTTCCACCATGAAGAAATTTCTGAAGAAAAGAAGCTTAATTGACTAACAGTTTCACAGGCTATACAGGTAGCATGGCTGAGGAGACCTCAGGAAACTTACAATCATGGCAGAAGGCCAACGGGAAGCAGGCAAGTCTCATGTGGCCACCAGAAGAAAGAGCAAAGAGAGAAGTGCTACACACTTTTAAGCAACCAGATCTCATGAGAACTTACTATCACAAGAACAGCAAGGAGGAAATCTGCCCCCATGATCAAATCACCTCCCACCAGGCCCCTCCTCCACCACTGGGGATTAAAATTCAATGTGAGATTTGGGTGGGGACACAGAGCGAAATCATATCAATGTGCATACATGGGAGTCTTCAGAATGGAGGATTTCTTTGGAAGGAGTTATTGCTATCTTATGAGAGTCAACTTCTTCTACCCAAGGGAAAGGGTTAAAAATGGGGAAGGAGGGTGTTACCTCCTTCAATCCTGGAGTGAGAGGGCTTTAGAGGACCATTTAGAGAGCATCCTGTGTGTTCTCTCAAGTTGGTGAGATGGGAGGAGTGTTAGATATTGAACTTGGGCTTGACTCACTGAAAAAACTTAAGTGGTTAGTCTGGGAAAACAGGAAAGAGGGTGTTATATTGGTCCCAGTCTGCATTTTCAGAGCCTGTTATGAAGACAGATGCTTGAATATATTCTATGGACTAATATGGACCATGCAAGAAAAATCAGAGAGCCGTTGTCTTGGGTTCTGCTCAATGTGGGCACCTAGAAGATGCAGTAATTCCAGCAAGAAGAAGCTGAAAGTAGAGGCCTATTCTTCCTAGGGGCTAACAAAGAATAGCAAATAAACTCTCACAATTAAGATGCATCCACCCGGCTTTAACCATCTACCAGGCCCAAAGAACACAAAATCTCCCAGGCCAGTCTAGCAAGGACTGCCCCATCCCCTTACCACCACCAGCACCCCCTCACACACACTACCCCTTTGAAAGAAGCAATATATCAGCCAGTGAAGGGGTGGGTTGCCCCTCCACACCTGTGGGTGTTTCTTGTTAGGTGGAACAAGAGACTTGGAAAAGAAAAAGACACAGAGACAAAGTATAGAGAAAGAAATAAGGGGGCCCAGGGGACCAGCGTTCAGCATACGGAGGATCCCACCGGCCTCTGAGTTCCGTTAGTATTTATTGATCATTCTTGGGTGTTTCTCGGAGAGGGGGATGTGGCAGGGTCATAGGATAATAGTGGAGAGAAGGTCAGCAGATAAACATGTGAACAAAGGTCTCTGCATCATAAACAAGGTAAAGAATTAAATGCTGTGCTTTAGATATGCATACACATAAACATCTCAATGCCTTAAAGAGCAGTATTGCTGCCCGCCTGTCCCACCTCCAGCCCTAAGGCAGTTTTCCCCTATCTCAGTAGATGGAACATACAATCGGGTTTTATACCGAGACATTCCATTGCCCAGGGACGGGAAGGAGACAGATGTCTTCCTCTTGTCTCAACTGCAAAGAGGCGTTCCTTCCTCTTATACTAATCCTCCTCAGCACAGACCCTTTACGGATGTCAGGCTGGGGGATGGTCAGGTCTTTCCCTTCCCACGAGGCCATATTTCAGACTATCACGTGGGGAGAAACCTTGGACAATACCTGGCTTTCCTAGGCAGAGGTCCCTGCGGCCTTCCTTCTGCAGTGTTTATGTCCCTGGGTACTTGAGATTAGGGAGTGGTGATGACTCTTAAAAGAGCATGCTGCCTTCAAGCATCTGTTTAACAAAGCACATCTTGCACAGCCTTTAATCCATTTAACCCTGAGTGGACGCAGCACATGTTTCAGAGAGCACAGGGTTGGGGGTAAGGTTACAGATTAACAGCATCTCAAGGCAGAAGAATTTCTCTTAATACAGAACAAAATGGAGTCTCCCATGTCTACTTCTTTCTACACAGACACAGTAACAATCTGATCTCTCTTTCTTTTCCCCACAAGCCAGCAAGAGGGAAGATGGGAGAGAAGATAAAATAAGAGAGAAAAAAAACTATCTTCCCTTCCTACAGTCAGGATGCCATCAACTATAGGCCATAATTCAAAGGTGCTAACTCAACTTTTGGATAAAATAAAAGCACTTAATCATTGTTTTCCATCGGACATTCCAGTTTTTAAACTGAGGCTGTCTTTACAACTTAAAGTGACCAAAGGATTGTCTATCACCTAGGAGTGGGCAGAACAATCATGGAATCTACCCACATTTCCAGTATAGGAACAGATCACGACCACTGAGTATACTTCAAATAGACGGTGGATAACAAAATAAGTTATACTTTGAGCCTACAAATCATGCATTTAGCATGTCAGCTTGTTATCTGTCTCCCTTCACTGGCAGGCAAGTCTCACAAGAGTGTGGACTTTGTCATCCTAACATTGTATCCTTAGAACCAAGAAGAAAGTCTGGCATGTATTAGTAATAAATATTATCTAAGATTGATCAATGAGCTCATCTTTAGGTTCTCCAAGTTTCATGTCTCCAAATAACTGTCCTTCTGCTTTGGGGCTCATTTAAGGTGTCTAAGATAGCTGTATTAGATAGGATAAGTTAACTGTCATGACAACAACTCAAAATATCATTGGGTTAACAGAAAACAACTTTATTTCTTGCTCATGAAAAGTCTAATGAGAATATTTCTGGGCAACTCTCCTCCAACCAGTGACTCAGGGATCCAGGCTCCTTCCATCTTGTAATGCTATCATTTTCAACATGCAGTCTCTAAGTCTTGGAAGGGGAAAAGAGTGGAGTAAGGCACAGCTGATAATTCATCTCCTCAGCTTATAAATGGCACACATTATTTCTGCTTACATTCTTTTGCTCAGTGCTAGTCCTATGGGTGCAGCTGAAGACAGTGGATTGAGGAGCATGGTATATAACTAGACAACTGCATCCTAACAATACCTCTACACTGTGAAAGGAGAGCTTGCATCTTTGGTGATCAGCTACCACTGCTGCCACAGTAGCCACCTGGAAGGACTGATTAAAGGCCTGCCTTACTTGTACAAATGAGCCCTCCTCCCACATAAAGGAGCCCAGACCATGAAGCCTTGCTAGATATCTGGGCTTGACTAACCCCAGAACCACCTCTCTGGTGCCAGCTGTTACTTAGTCCAGCTTCCTCTCAGCTCTACTATCTGTTGAAATCCTGCTATTTCATCAGGAATCTTAGAACTGAATATCTACCTGCCACATCAGTAAAGACATCCATACCTAGTTCTGTGGGGGTAAAAAGACCACATCCACCCCCATAGCAGGGTCAGCTGCCAAGCACCAGTTCCATCCAGTGAGGTCCCTCTGCTCTTACCCATGTTGCTGTGAGGAAACACCCAAAACTCTAAGAGCCCTAAATACCTCCTTCTCTTTACAGATGGAGAACTGGCACCTGGAGCTGGTGGATGGTGGAAGTCCAAGGTCACACTGTCAGTGGCAGAGCTAGAATCAGAGCCCACACTTCTGGCCACACTTCACATCACACTACACATCGAAGGCTGCCACCTCCTCAATCCCCCAATCACTTGCTGTTTTACTCAAACTGAGCTTCCATTGTCCTCCTATCCTGAGAGCCTTCCCAGGCCTTCGACTCAGCCTTACCTCCTTCACTTGACCCCCAAGACACGCCTTCCCTGGCAGTCTTCTCCTACCCGCTGGGATGGTACCCAATCCACGCTTTCTCCTTGGGTCTCATTTGGATGTTTTGTTCCATGCTGAGCATCTCCCTGGCCCCACCTTTATGGATGAGGAAAGTTAACACCCAGAAGGCTGAGGTGACCTGCGGAGCTCACACTGCCAGTTGTGCAGTTTGAAGAAGGCGCATCCACACACACCTCTTTTGCATCTCCCAGACACTCTTGGCCTTACCTCCCCCTTTTCATGCAGCCATCAGTCCTCAGTGAGCTGAGAGCATCTTCAGCTCAAACCTGATCCCCATCACCCCAGCCCTGCTCTCTTCCCATCCAGGGCTCCTACCTGTGTTGAGGGGAACCTGGAAATGCCCGGGAGTTAACATAGGCCAGTTTGTGGAGGGACAAACCTCAACCAAAGAGGGATGGGAACTAACTGAATGCTTCTCTTTCTTTCCTCCAGATAGACAATTCTGAGAGCTTGTCAGATGGCTTCTCAGGCAGTCCTATGCAACCAGGCAATCAGCGAGTAGCTCACTTGCCAGTATGTCTTTGAGTGAGCTCTCCCTCCATCCTGCTTCACCCGCTCTGACTCTCACTCATGCAGTCTCCCAGGAAATCCTCGCATTTCAGCCTTTGTCTCAGGCTTTTCTGTCCAGGGACCCCAGCCTCACACAGAGACAGAGCAGGGGAGCCATAGGAATGCCTGGCTGCCCAGTTGGGTCCCATGAGAGGGTGTTTGTCTTGGTTAATTTACCATCCCCTACATCTTGTCTTTAGTCTTGTTGGTTCAGAAACTTAACTTTTTCAGAAGCAAAAGGGGTAGCTCCTGTTACCCAAGCCACAGGATACCAGTCTATTTAGTTACCCTAAAAAACAACTGTCAAACAAGACAGAGTCTTCTTGAGTGCACCTAATGGGGCATCTTCTCTTTGTAGCTGAGAAATTCAACAAGCCTCATGGGCAGAATGTGCCTTGGTGAGCAGTGAAGCTCTAGCAGTTCTAGGGGATTTTCATCATCCTGGGACACCTCTTGGCTGAGGCCCTGTTAGTTCATCAGAAGAGCCTTGTGGAGGAGAGAGTGGTGAGTTGGCTTGGCCAAGAGCTCTCCATGTTTGCCCTGTCACAGTCCTATTTTTCTGCTTCTATGTCATTACTATTGTTTTTATTATTATTGTAAAGAGGGCACTATTTGGAAAAATTATTAATGTGTTTTTCTCTTTTGTGTTTCAGAGAATATGACCTTTTCCCTCAATTGGCCCCAAGCATTCCTCTGCCTTGGGAGAGATTAAATTGCATAGGCAGAATAATGCAAAAAGAAATAAAGAGCTAATATTCTGCTATTGACATTTAAAATGAGATTTCTCTGCAAGGCACTAATTTTTAGATTCAGGCTATTGTCTTGAGAGAGGTGGAATTGCCAATTGACTAAAATGAGAAAATTAGAGGCAAAATATCTGGGCTGAGTCCAGGTTCTGCCATTTACCAGTTGTGTGACCTTGAACAAGTTACTGAATTTCTCTAGGACTTAGTCTCCTTATCTGTAAAATGGGGTAATAATAGCACTGACCTCTGGGGATTGCTGTGAGAAGTTAATGAGCTAATACATGCAAAACATAATATTATTGAATTCTTTCTAGATGTCAAGCACTATAACACTTAGAAGCAGTTAGGAAGTATCTGGAACATAGCAAGTATTCCATAAACACAGGCTATCATCTTCAAAACTCCTTTATCTTCCCCTTTAGTGTTGCAGGAACCAGCTTTTAGAGTGCCCGTGCAGCCATGAAGCTCTCTCTATGGTAGGTGGAGGATAGAACCCAGTAAGGAAAGCCTTCTTTCAGTCCTGAGGGATAATGGGGAAAGGAGGTGAGGAAAAGAGAGGGAAAAGAGAACAGTCCGCCATCACACACGATCACACATACCACACACACACACAGCACACGTGCACAATATATGCCACACATACACCACACCACACTACACATACAACCTACTACACATGCCATATATGTACCACACATCACATACTACACATACACACCATATACTACACATACACACCATATACTACACATACACACACTGCACATACACATGCCACACACCATATATCACACATACACACACTGCACTTACACACCATATACCATACATACAAATGCCATGTACACCACACATGCACACACCACACACCACACATACACAATATATGCCACACATACACACACACCACACATACTGCACCACACTTACTACATATCACACACACCATATACCATATATATACGACACACCACACACACACACATCATACACCTACATACATGTACATACACACCACATACATATTATACACACACACACACACACCTCTCAAGCCACCTACCACACACACACCACAGTTGGAACTGAGCTTCTGAAATATCCAGGAAATGAAAAGGGCTAAGAACACAGAGACCTCATGTGGCAGAGCACAAATATAAGGGCCCAGTATCCTGTTAGGCAGAACCAGGCTGTAATTTGCTTCTCTCCGTTCCAGAGGCTTTGCCTTCCTGGAGTTCCACCACAGAGAAGACCATGAGCAGACCACTAGGGTTAGGGAGCTCCGCCCCACCGAGAACGCTAATGGACAGCTGAGTCTGCCAGGGAGGACTGTGGGGTCCTGGCCAGGCTGAGAGTCCAAATCACAAATCCCTCTAGCTGCCAGCTTCAGCCATGCAAGCAGTGACCGGGCTAGGGACAAGAGATAGAGCCCTGGAGACTCCAGGAACCAGTGGCACCATCGCATGCTTCCAAGGGGGCAGTAGGGAATGGGGGGTGAGGGGCCAGAAGACATTGAAAGCTGGGAGACCAGGTATTTTTACACAGAGAGATTGAATACTTCCTAGATGTGTTGTTTACATTGTCTTGAATTGAACTGAATCTAGAGTTTTCTTCAAGCTACCCAAAGGCTGGAGACAAAAATAAAGATTCCAATCTCAGACACTTGGAAGACTGAGGCCTGAGGATCTCTTGAGGCTAGGAGTTCAAGGGCCAGCGTCTCTAAAAATGAAAAATAAAAATAAATAGATCACAGTTCCCTCTGGAAGGCCAAGGTATGGTATAAGTTTTATGACCTTGACACTGTATTTATTGTTGCTGTTACTTGTGGATATTATCACTCACTTCCAGGAATTGCCCTCTCCACCCACAGGGCAGTCCCGACAAACAAAACATCTTTTTATTAAGAGGTCCTGCCACCTCTCTTCTCCACTCTCCCAACCCCAAAGAGGATTGGTCCAGAGTGGACACCTGGCTCAAGCTGGATCCCTAAGAATCTCAGCCTTGGGAATTGGAGATTTTGATCTGAGGAAGATGAGCTTAGTTGCTCAGACAAGCTCATGGAAAATTTCCAGAGCAGTGATTCCCAAATTACTACAGGAGCTTCCTGGTGAGCTTCAAACTAATCCAAAATGCAAATCCTCATATGAAAATTATCATGTGCAAATGATTTTTATACATAGTCATAAATTTTTATATATCATGAGGGACTATTTCCTAATAATGTACTAAATGGTCATTAGGGGTTTCTAAAATCTATAATTCACCAATTAAAATGATTGTTATAAGAGTGTCCTGATGCAAAGGAGTAAGAATGATAAAATGGACTTTGGGGACTTGGGGGAAAGGGTGGGAGGTGGGTGAGGAATAAAAGACTACACACTGGGCACAGTGTACACTGCTCGGGTGACGGGTTCACCAAAATCTCAGAAATCACCGCTAAAGAACTTACTCATGTAACAAAACACCATCTGTTCCCAAAAATCTACTGAAATTTTTTTTAATGAAAAAAAAAATAGAGTGTCCAACGAACTCTAACTCTATATTCTGCTATGGACGCTGCCTGCCAGGCCAAGGCCCTCAACGTTGGGGTGCTCTCACAGTGCACAGGCACACGGGGAGTTGGAATTCCTGCAATTGGGGGTAATAACGGGACTTTATTTTCAGTGCTTCACCATTGTTGCTTTGAATTGGCTGTGGGTTTTGATAGCTTGCTTACATTGGTCATTAATTATAAATTATTATAAATTTGGTTTCATGTTTATTCAGCTTTAGAATTACCAGTTTGTTGTGCATAGTGATCTTTGGGGCCTACAATTTTTCAATAATTAGACTTTGAAACTATCCACTACAGTTCAAATAACAATCATCACACCCTTTACATGCATATGTATGCATATTCCCCTTTGCAACATAGTACAGTGATCATTCATGTAATAGGACTTTATCTTCTGGAAATTGGAAATAATTAAAAGGTTTCAAAGTTTTGCCCTTCTTCAGTGGGTCACAGTGAAAAGTTTGGGACTTCTATCCTAGAAGAAGGACCCACAAATATCTCATGTTAAGCCCCTAAAGATGCCCTGATTCTTGCCCTTTCAGACAGCTTAGTCAAGCTCTTTTTGATTCCATGGGTATATACAATAAATTGTTCTTTTGACTTTAAAGAGCTTGAGTTGATTTTGGATATTCATATCAAAAGAACCTTAACTAATAAAGTTCTTATATTTTAGGTAAGGACAAAAATATGAATGTCTTTAGTCTTTTCCCTTCCCTCTGCATTCTAAAGAA
This sequence comes from Homo sapiens, assembly GCF_000001405.40. Lineage (NCBI taxonomy): Eukaryota > Metazoa > Chordata > Mammalia > Primates > Hominidae > Homo > Homo sapiens. The sequence continues at coordinate 114,051,857 of NC_000001.11, read as the reverse complement.
AATTCCTCGACTCTCTATTTTTGGGATTAGGCTATGGGTGAAATGGAGAGGGTAAAAGCTAATCAGGGTAACGTTACAAGACACATGGCAACTAGGGAAAGAGAGACTCAGAAGGCAAGAGGAGTTGAACTAGAGAGGAGTGTAAAAGGAGCCAGGTGGGTCGGATTATTCTGGAAAAAGAGTGAGGAGAACTTTGGGGGGAACAGCCACCATAATGAGTGGGGTGATAGATGGGTACAGAGGACTTTGAGAATGTTTTACTATGTGCAGAGACCAGCCCAAAGTGGCCAGCACTGCTCAGGTTTGAACCCGACCCATCTTCTTCAGTGTACACGTATTTTTCCTATACAGGTGTAATAATTAGAACCTAATCACTAGGTTACTACTCACTAAACTACAGTCACATTTTAGTCCTACCTCCTTGAGATTCCACTTAAGGTGTTTTGGGTATTCCCAAATTCTTAAATCTCATATTACAGACAATCTCTTGGTTTATTCCCATGGACATATGATTACATCTGCTGAAAGGTTTTTTTTTGGTTGTTTCTTTGTTTGGGAGACAGAGTCTTACTCTGTCGCCCAGGATGGAGTGCAGCAGCCCAATCTCAGCTCACTGCAACCTCCGCCTCCTGGGTTCAAGCAATTCTTCTGCCTCAGCCTCCTGAGTATCTGGGATTACAGGCACACACCACCACACCTGGCTAATTTTTTGTATTTTAGTACAGATGGGGTTTCACCATGTTGCCCAGGCTGGTCTCAAACGCCTGAGCTCAGCCAATCAGCCCACCTTGGCCTCCCAAAGTGCTGGGATTACAGGCGTGAGCCACTGCGCCTGGCTAAAAGTCGTTTTTATTAGTTTATCTCTAAGGCAACCTTAGTTCCAAACTCTTAGAGGGTTTGCTAAGCTGTTGCTAGCCCCCTTTTTTCTGACTTCTAGGCCTCACTATACGGCCTCTGAGCCTGCTGCTCTTTTCACTACCCATGGGACCTCCCTACATTTCTGCTAATTACCTGATTGTCTGTGTTATCCATCCACTCAATAGACAGCACCATGAGGTTAAGACCTAATAGTTCAAATACTCTTGTCATGTTGGTGAATCAAAATCAACCAGGGAGCTTTTATACAGTGTGGGTTCCTAGGGTTCCAACTCAAACCTACCAAATATGAATTTCCCTGGGAGAAGCTCAGTCATTTGGAGAAAAAAAGACTCCCCTGGTGATACTGATTGATACTTCTGATTTCAAAACACTGCTGAAGTGTGTATATTTTTTAAGGATAGTTCAATGTCTATGATGTTGTATATCCTACCCATAAATCCTGGAGTGTTAGGCACATTAAAGATTAAAGATCAGTTAAATAAATTCCTGCTTGTTTGACTAAATAGCCTGTAAGTTAATAAACACTCTTTTGACTTAGTAAATATTTGTTTACTACATTACCTAGAGAAGTAGAGGCCCCTGTGAAAGTGAAGTTCTTGCAGGATTGTCATATTAACAAAGATTTACAATGGCATCATAAGGGACACAAAAGAGACAAAAATCAGTGTTGTTAGTTGCAGACAACAGAATCCACTCTAACTGGTTTAAACAAAAGGAAGCTATTAAAGAGATTAGATGATTCAAAGATTCTCTAGAAGAGCCAGAGAGTGGGCTCAGAGGCTACACAATTAAGAACAATGCTCCCAAACACTCTGCAGGGGCTCCTAAAAAGACATCACTGGCCAGGTGCAGAGGCTCACCCCTGTAATCCCAGCACTTTGGGAGGCTGAGGCAGGTGGATTGCTTGAGCCCAGGAGTTTGAGACCAGCCTGGACAATATGGCAAAACCCCATCTCTACAAAAAATACAAAAATTAGCCAGGCATGATGGCACATGCCTGTAGTCCCAGCTACCTGGGAGGATGAGGCAAGAGGATCACTTGAGCCTGGGAGGTTGAGGCTGTAGTGAGCCAAGATCACACCACTGCACTCCAGCCTGGGCAACAGAGTGAGACCCTGTCTCAAATTTAAAAAAAAAAAACAAGACAAAAGACATCACTGTCCCTGCCACTCGTCACACACACGGCAGCCCTCACTGAGGACTGGATGCAAACAGCGCCACCACCACTGTCTCTGAAAAGCTGAAACCTCCATCACCACACTCATCACAAAGTAGATGCTGCTTTCCCCTGTCATTCACATCTAAACTAAAGCCTTATGTGAGTCCAGCTGTTGGCAGATTCACATGTCTGTGCCTAAGTTACAAGGGCTGGCTGAAAGGGGACATTGAATTCCTGCTTCTGCCTTGGAAAGTCAGTTGATAAAGGGCTTACTCTTCCTTTTCCTACTCTTCTTCCTCTTCTCTTACCTTCCTGAACAATTCCATTCAAAAGCCATTAGATAGGGCCAAATTAGACCTCTGCACTGGGGAAAGGGAGGTAGTTGTTGTGTCCCAGAGTAGGCTGTCAGGGCCAGACTAAAGTGAGTTGTCTTCACAAGGGAAGAGAGGGCAGGTCCAGTGCAGAATTATCAGAGCCTGAGTTGGGTGGGGAGAGTACAGGGTAATGGAGCCTGAGCAGGGTGAGGAGAGATGGTGTCCACACAGGAGGAAATGTCAGAGTCCAAAAGAGTGAGGAAGACAGAGACTAAATATTTGTGTCCACCAAAATGTATGTGTTAAAGCTTAAGTCCCCAGTGTGACTTAGAGGTGGGGATTCTGGGTGATAATTAGGTCATGACAGTGGATCCTTCATGAATGGGATAGTGCCCTAATGAAAAGAGGAGGAAGCCAGGTGCCGTGGTTCATGCCTGTAATCCCAGCACTTTGGGAGGCTGGAGTTGGCAGATTGCTTGAGCTCAGGAGTTTGAGACCAGCCTGGGCAACATGGCAAAACCCTGTCTCTACAACAACACAAAAATTAGTCAGGTATAGTGGCTCACACCTGTAGTCCCAGCTACTCAAGAGCCTGAGGTGGGAGAACTGCTTGTACCCAGGAAGTTGAGGCTACACTGAGCCATGATCATGCCATTGCACTGTAGCCTGGGTGACAGAGCAAGAGCCTGTCTCAAAAAAAAAAAAAAATCTGTTTCAAAAGTTTAAAAAAGAAAAGAGGAAGACATGGGATTGCTCCGTCTGCCTTCTTCCATGTAAGGACCCAAGTAAGACACAGCCATCCATGTAAGACACAGCCACCTGCAAACCAAGAAGAGCATCCTCACCGGACACCAGATCTGCAGGTGCCTTGATCTTGGACTTTCAAGCCTTCAGAACTGTGATCAATAAATTTCTGCTGTTCAAGCCACCTCATCTGCAGTATTCAGTTGAAGCAGCCTGTGATAGTCAATTTTGTGTGTTAACATTACTGGGCTGGGGGTTGCCCAGATCACTGGTAAAACATGATTTCTGGGTGTGTCTGGTAGGGTGTGTCTGAAAGATATTAGCATGTGAATCAGTAGACTGAGTAAAGAAGATCCGTCCTCCCCAGTGTGAGCAGGCATTGTCTAATCTGTTGAGGCCCCAGATAGAACAAAGTGATAGAGGAAGAGCAAATTCTCTCTCCCTCCTTGAGCTGGGACATCCATCTTCTCCTGCCCTTGAACATCAGAGCTCTTGGCTCTTGGGCCTATGGCATCTGAAGCTGACACCAGAACCTCTCCCCACCAGATCCCAGGCTTTTGGCCTCAAACTAAGAGTTATACCATTGGCTCCCCTGGTTCTCAGGCCTTGGACTCTGAATCACACCACCAGCTTTCCTGGCTCCAGCTTATAGATGGCATACTGTGGGACTTCTCAGCCTTCTGAGTCACATGAGCCTCACATGAGCCAATTCTCGTCATATTGGTTCTGTTTCTCTAGATAAGCCTGACTAATATACAGCCCAAACTAAGACATCACACACGTGGGGGTACAGCCCAGTGCAGGGTATTAAAACCTGAGCAGACTAAAGGGGGCATTTGCATAAAAAGGTGACCCGGAACAGGGTGTCAGAGCCTGAGAGGAATGAGAAGGATGTTTAAATGGGAGTGGAACATTGCTATATGGGTGTTGGAGCTTCAGAGGAAGAGGAGGATTTTGGTAGAGGGAGCAGCCTGATGCAGAGTTCTGGAGCCCAGGCAAGGTGAAGAGAGCATCATCACAGGCAGCAGTTGCAGTAGCTCAGTTGGGTAGAAGAGCTCAAAAACGGTGAGAAGGGGATCCTTGCAGCAGAGGGGTGGCAATGGGAGGTGGCAACATATAGAGAAGTTGAACAAATAACACATTAAAAATAATAGAGCTAGGTTTCTTACTGTTAGACATGGGAGTTACAAATATGGAAAGGGAGAAAACTAGAATGAACACCGTGATTTGGGACTGGAATTGGAATTGGAGGTAGTGGAGTGGATTTGTGGTTTTTAACATAGATAAATAGATATAAAAATAAATACATATATATACACACACTTGCATGTACATATATTCTCTATCTCTGCCTCCCAAGAAAGCAGCAACATCTCCATTGTAATAAGCACATGCAGCACCCAGATTGTGGCTTCTAAATACCATTCTCACGTAAAAGGAACTAGGGCATCTTAGAGAAATGATTAATTCCACCTGGGCATGATGGCTCACACCTGTAATCCCAGCACATTGCAAGGCTGAGGCAGGTGGATCACCTGAGGTCAGGAGTTTGAGACCAGCCTGGCCAACATGGTGAAATTCTGTCTCTACTAAAAATACAAAAAAAAAAATTAGTTGGGCATGGTGGCACACACCTGTGGTCCCAGCTACTCAGGAACCTGAGGCATGAGAATTGCTTGAAACTGGGAGGCTGAGGGTGCAATGAGTGGAGATCACACCACTACACTCCAGCCTGGGCAACAGAGCAAGACTCTGCATCAAAAAAAAAAAGAAAGAAAGAAAGAAAGAAAAGATAAAAGAAAAAGAAAAAGAAAAATGGCTAATTCCATGATGCCTTACTGTGCTGGAGCTGCCCTACAAAATGCTACAGACTAGGTGTACTAAGAAACAGACATTTATTTCTCACAGCTCTGAAGGCTGGGAAATCCAAGATCAAGATACCAGTGATTCCATTCTTGAGGGTGCTGTCTTCCTGGATTGCAGATGGCTGACTTCTCACTGTGTCCTTGCATAGTGGGAGAGAGAGAAAGAAAACAAGCTTTCTCTGGTCTCTTCTGAAGACACTAATCCTATTAAATCAAGGCCCTGCCTATATGACCTCATTTAACCTTAATTACCTCCTTATAGGCCCTATCTCCAAATACAGTCGTATTGGAGGTTAGGGCTTCAACATATAAATTTTGAGGAGACACAATGCTGTCCATAGCACATGACTGGGGCAGGGAAAGTACAGAATGAGCCTATGACATCCTGTTTTGCCCAAAAGTAAGAAAATCTTCAAAGAATGATAAAGATGTATCAAAAAAGACCCAAAAGCCAGCTTGAAGGGGATTCCAATGGTTAAATCTGGTGGAGAAATCATGAAAATAAATGATATTAGTAACATTATAACCCTGTGAATAAAATAGAAACCATGAGTCACTACTGATATAAATAAATAAAGGAATAAATTGATAAAAAAGAGGTATGTACATAATGACTAAGTACCTCCTCACAAAATGCTTATTAATTACAAAGGGAAAAAAGAATAACTTATAGAGGAGAGGTCAGGTAGATATCACTTTAATTAAATCATCAAAGTTAACATCATCAGTAATGGGACAAACAGAAATCATGTACCACCTGACAGGATGCAGTGAGAACACAGCATCACTCCTGTAATATTTGTACCCAAGGTGTATTACCTGCATATAATCATGAAGAAACAATAGACAAGCCCACGTTGAAGAAGATTCTACAAAATAACTGGCCTATCATCTTCAAGGGAAAGATTGAAAGAGACATGACAAATAACGCAATGTGTAATCATAAGTTGAATCCTTTTGCTATATAATTAACACTATTGGAACAATCAGTGAAACTTGAATAGAGCCTGCAAATAGATGGTAGCAATGTAAAGAAGCCAGGAAACCATAATCAGACAGATGTGCACTCCACCTCCTATATCATCACTTTGCTCTCAGACTTAGCCAACAACATTACCTCCTCCTCAGCAGAGAATATAGAGGCCATCAAGATTGGATTGACTACCTCCACCTCCTGCACGACACCCATGCAACTTATCTTTCTTCATTTCCATCTTTACCGCTTTCCCTCTGGCCTCGGTGAAAGCAATGTCCCTCCACCTGTCCAAGTCCAGCCCTTCTGCCCTAGATTCCACATCTCCTACCTCCTTCTCCTCAAAAACGTGGCTGCATCAATCAGTCATGCTCAGTGTGTGGTCTCCACCCTACTCTTTCTATTGGTTCTTTCCCTCAGCCATGCTCAACGATCTTCTATTATAAAACATTTTTCCAAAGCCCTCTCTTTTTCTCCACAATTACTATTTCAGACCTTCATCACTTTACTCAAGCTCACCATTTCATCAGAGAATCTAAATTTTATACAACAGAATCCATTCTAGTAGTTAACTAGAAAAAAAAATTGTTTTCAGATATTATGAGGTTACTCACAGTATCCCTGGAAGTACTAGAAATTTGGACTCCAAAGGTATGAGACTGAAAACAATAACTCCTGCATTTCTTTCTTACTAGCCCCTCTTCTTCACTTCACAACCAAACTTTGTGCAAAATAAGTCTACACTTACTGTCTCCACTGCCTTCCTTCCCCTTCACTCTCTGTCCCACATTCCACTGAAACTGTCCTTGTTAAAATCACTTCTGACCTCCTAGTTGCCAAGTACATGGACTCTATTCCCCCCTGAAATCTCTACAGCACTTGAGACTATTGCTCTCGTCCCCTTCCTGACACTCTCCTGGTGTCCATGCTTTTGTGTAATTCCTTCCCTATGAATGCAGGTAGAACCTGTTAGTTGCTTCTAACCAATGGAATATGGGAAAAATGATGGGCTGTCCCTCTCTTAAGTTGTATTATATGGCAAAGGTGAGGGTATGTCATTCCCGTGGGTGCATTACCTTATTTAAGACTCTGCCATGGCAGGCTGGATCAAAAGATTCCTCTTGCTGGCTTGATGAAGTAAGCAGGCATGTTGAGGAAGCCAACATGGCAAGGAACTGCAGAAGGGACCTGAGGGTGACCTCCAGCCACTAGCCAGCAAAGCCAGGCTCTCAGTCATTCAACCTCAAGCAAATGAATTCTGCCAACAACCTGAATGAACAACAACAAAAAGCTAATTCTTCCCTTGTCAAGTTTCCAGATGAAAATGCAGCCTGGCTGACACATGATTATAGCTTTAGGAGACCCTGCACAGAGGGTTCAGTGAGACCATGCCCGGACTCTTGACTCACAGAAACTCCGTGATAATATTTGCATGTTATTTTAAGCTGCTGATTTTTTGTCATTTATTACACGGCATTAGAAAACTAATACAGCCTTCCTGAGGCAGGTAGATCCCATAGTGAAAGAAGGCAAGTAGATTAGCCATTCATGCTCATTCCATCTCCTAAACTCGACACTCAAATCATTGAGGGCGGCCAGGACCGTTTATCTGATGATGGTGCCTGCATATGGAAACATGAAGGCAACGGGAAGGAAAATCTCTCCATTCACCAACACCTCTGCCTCAATACAAAGCAAGAGTGGGAGAAAGAGAGAACTGTTAGGAGGATACAACCATAGTTCAGACAAAAGATGACAATGGCTTGAGTGGTACAGTGGCCAGGATGAGAAGTCAACAGATCTGAGACATATTTGGAAGGTATAAGTTGCCAGACTTGCTAATTGATTGGATACAGAGGGTGAGAGAGAAAAGATCAAGAACAACTTGTAGGTTTCTGGCTTGAACAACTGGGTATAGTGGTGCCACTTACCAAGCAAGGAAACACTGGGAGAGAAACAGTTTGGGGAAAGAGTGAAAAATTGAGTTCATTCTGGACATGTTAAGTTTCAGTGCCTGTGAGACATCCAAGTAGAGATGTCAATTAGGGGGCTGGATATGCCAATCTGGAGCTCAGAAGAGAAGTTGGGGCTGGAGATATGAATGTGTGAGTCACTGGCATAAAGATGTTATTTAAAGCTGTGGAGAGGTGTAGAAGCACCTTGGGAGGGAACGTAATCGTGCCCTTCCAGGCTCTCCCCCACGCCACCCTCCACACTACTTACTGGTCGTTCTAAAATGCAAATCCCATCATGTCAGTGCTAAGAATTATGCAATTGCAGTCAAAGGGATTTTTTCCCCTTCTTTTAAGTTTCAATTTTGCAGGAATTTTGTTTAAACTGTAAAAGGAACGCTATGTTAACATATTGTACATTGACCTAGTTTCACAGAAGAAATTATATAGCACTGATTAAAAGCCAGTACAATATTTGGAAAGTGGAAGAGAAACAGAGAACACAAAGAAAATATAAGACGGCAAGTGAATAATTAAATTATAGCAAGTGTGTTGCCTTTAACACTGCTTTCCCAGAGTAACTAAGATAATTTATAGAGCCAGCCAAAGATTTTAATTGCCTAAAAGGCCACTCTGCAGCTGTGTGACCTTGGAAACTGCTTTGACCTTTCTATGTCTCTTCGCTTTTTCTGTAAGGTGGGGATAATGATGTTTGCACTGCTTTCCTGGAAAGGTCGCTGAGAAGGCCAGATGAGATAATGGAAATAAAAACACTTTGAAAAGTTTACAGGAGGAGGAGGTCATAAGCTCCTTGGGTTCAGGGACTGCAACGTTTTGTGCTTATATCCTCTCCACCCAGCAGAGTGCCTAGAGTTCATTATAGGATTATTATCAGAAAGGGAAAAAATGCTTCCTGGGCTCCCTCTTGCCTTCAGAATAAATCTCAGTTGGGTTCCCTGAGAGCAGAGTCTAAGATTAAGACCTGGATGCAGATCATTTATGGGGTTGTCTGGGTTGTCCCCGGAGTGAGGGAGCAGGAACAGAGACCAAGAGAACATGCCAGAGTGTGGCACAACAGGGACACCACTGTGGAAGGCAATAGGGACTCAGTTCTGTGAAGATGCCGAGATGCTTCCTGAATCACTTCCGGGACTGTCCACCTGAAAGGTGGGAGTCTAGAACAGTGACCCACCACTCCAGCCCCTCCACTGCATGAGGTTGTCCTGGAGTATGACAGCCATCGACCCTCTTCAAGGGAAGCGCTGTGGCCTCAGAGACTCCTGGGGCAGAAGGTGGAGCCTGCTTGTGGTAAAACTTCTCATTGAGCAGTTGGCTTGGGCTTGCATAGAACCTTCCACCACTGTAGCAACTAAAGCCAGAGGTAGGCCAAGGGAATGTGATGTTGGGCACCAAAAGCTGTCTGCTACCAGATCCAAAACCTTCTGCCCGCCATTTGTCCTCCTATAGCTCCTAGCCCCACTTAAGGGGATTTTTCTGCTGTCAGACTGCTACACAGGCAGCCCTAGGGGGCTATTTTTTACCTCATATCCCTGACACCTCCCTATGCCACAGCTGATTGGATCAAGGACAGGCACCTGTCCTGAAGGCAGCCAGACTTTAGGCACACTAGTAACCCATAATTAGATAAAACCAATCAATCAGATTCTCTCCCTGGGGAATTCAAACTGGGAAACCCAAGAACATGAGTCCATCAGCAGCAGGTGTTGAAAGCAGCAGGATGAAAGGCAAGGATAGGGCTGTAAGAATAGGTCGAGTCTACCAGGGGGCCGACTGATCTAGAAAATTTATCATAAAAGAGATGATTCTTGACCTGAGTCTTATAAGGTGATGATGTGTTAACTAGACAGGCAGATAAAATGAACCAAAGTATGAGCAGACCAAGATTATAGAAATTAAAAGGTAAGGTAGAGAAAAGGTGAGTGAGGATAAGAATAAGCCAGTTGGTGTTGGGTCAGGTGGAGATGCCTAAAGGGGGACTGGATTTCCTTAAAAGCACAGAACTACCTTGAAGATGTTCCTGCTGCTCCTGAGGCCAGGTCATGCAGCTTCCTTACACCTGTGTCTTCTGACCACCCCACACTCCTTCAAATAAAGAGAATAATGGATTCCAGGCACCCACAATGTAGCCACTCTCCATATACTCCATATGTTCTCAGGCCAGCCCTGCCTCAAATTCCTGGGCAACTCTGTTTATTCTTTAAAACTCAGCTTGGACATCAGATCCTTTCTTGACTCCACTGTACCCCTATAGCCCTGAATCACATGCCTTTCCTCTGTCCTCCGGATACCCATATCCATCTCTACTGTAGCATTCTTTGAGTTCCAATTATTGATATTCTTATCTGTTACCGTTACACTGAGAACTCTCTGAAGATTGGGGAAAAAATTAATTACCCATTCATTTAACAAATATATGTTGAGTGTTATGTGCCACACATTGTTCTGGACATTGGAGACATAAAAATGAATAAGGAAGACAGAGTTCTTGCTCTCATGGAGCAATTGTTGGATGGATGGATGGATGGATGGATAGATGGTTTGGTAGTTGGGTGTGTGGATGGAAGGATGAGAGGGTGGAAAATGGATGGATGGAGAGATGGATGGATAGATGCATGTATGAGTAAATACATGGATGAAGCTTTGATGTGTAAAAGTCCACTATAAAGGAATAAAAGGTTTTGTCTTTGGTTAAACATTTACAGTCACCTCTTAGTCCAGACCTATCTGTATTCCTGTGTTAATTATCTATCACTATGTAACAAATTGCCCCATGACTGAGTGGCTTAAAATAATTATTACTTCACAGTTGTTGTGTGTCATGAATTTAGACAAAGCACAATGGAACACCTGGGGTCTCAGTTGGAAGCCTTGAAAGCTGGGACCTGAAATCACCAAAAGGCTTGACTGAGGGTGGAGTGCCTTCTTCCAAGGTGGCTCACTCACATGGTCATGGCAAGTTGGTTACTGCTGATGAGTGCCTCTCCATGGAGCTTCCTGAGTGTCCTCATGACATGGCAGTTGGCTTGTCCCTGAGTGAACAGTCCAGGAGGGAGCAGGGCAGAAGAAGCAATGCCTGCTATGACGTAGCCTCAAAAGCCACAGACCATCACTCTCACCACATTCTAGTCATTAGAAGCAAATTACTCAGACTGGTGCACATTCAAGGCAATAGGAATTACACTCCACCTTTGAAACTGTCTTCACAGGGTTCACAGGAATCACATGCTGGATTCTGGGTAGAAACATAGTTATAATAAAGTATTAATCAGCTGCACTTTGGCCACATCCTTGTAACTGAAAGTCAGGTAACACTAGTTACTGACTATTCACATCCCTCTTGCTCCCATTAGGCAGGATTTCTGACCTTAGAATCATTTTGGTTAAGAATTGCTTAAGACGTTCTGATCTTAGAATCTTTTGGTTAAGAATTGCTTAAGATGTTCTTCAGATCCTGAATTGTGAAACTACTGAAACCAACCAGTTTGAAGACTCGCCACAGAGGAACCAAACCTGAATAAGAATGCAGTTGCTTCATCTCCCTGACCCATGACTTCTCCCTGCACTCTTCAACCAGTCAATGATCCCCACACCTTGGCCCACTCCAAACCCCTCAAAATCCCCAGCTCCAAATTCCCTGGGAGGTGGATTTGAGATTTCTTCCTGTCTCCTCATTCGGCTGCCCTACAATGATTAAACTCTTTGTCCACTGCAGTGCCTGGTATCTCAGTATATTGACTTGCTGCACATTGGGCAAATGAAGCTATTAGGATTATGATTACACTTTTGATGGGAGTAGTGCCTAAGAAGTTGTGGACATATGTTAAAACAACACAATCCCTCTTCCTCAGGCCTGCAAATTAATTTGTTTTCTTTTTTCCAGCAGTCATCAACTCCTATCAGACTCCTCCCTCCACAAAATCCCCACTCAACAGTACACAGTCTTCCCAATTTAATTCCTACCAGGCTTCTCTAAACAAGAATAACCTTTGCATCTTAAGGGTTTTACCACTAATCCTTACAGAAAAGAAAAGAAAACTGGCCAGGCACGATGGCTCACACCTGTAATCCCAACACTTTGGGAGGCCAAGGCAGGCGGATCACGAGGTCAGGAGATAAAGACCATCCTGGCTAACATGGTGAAACCCCATCTCTACTAAAAATACAAAAAAAAAATTAGCCAGGTGTGGTGGCAAGTACCTGTAGTCCCAGCTACTCAGGAGGCTGAGACAGGAGAATGGCATGAACCCTGGAGGCGGAGCTTGCAGTGAGCTGAGATCTTGCCACTGCACTACCGCCTGGGTGACAGTGAGACTCCATCTCAAAAAAGAAAATGTTTTGTAGAGACAGGCTCTATGTTGCCCAGGGTGGTCTCAAACTACTGGGCTCAAGTGATTCTCCTGCCTCAGCCTCCCAAAGTGCTGGGACCACAGGCATGAGCCACTGCTGCCAGCCTTACACTCCTTCAAAAAGTCTACAAGGCTATTCGTGATGTTGCTTTGGCTCACCTCCCCTGACATCCACTTTTGACCAGAAGGAACTAGTTTCACCACCAAGATCTGTCTCACCTGTGGGCCTTTATACAAGCTGTTTGCTCCACCTGGAAAGTTTGCCTCCCCAACCACCAACCCTCATCCTGAGACTGCCTCACTCCTACTCACCTTCAGGTGTCAGTTTGGAAGTCTTCTTTTCCAGGAGTGTATGCCTGACTTCACCTCACCCCAAGCTAACGTACTGGGCTTGCTCCCACTTTCCACATGCAATTATAGTTTGCTTTATTATTTATCTATTTATGCTGTTGACAAAAAGGGCCAAACTCTGTAAACTATTTGAAGAGATATGTTCTGAGCCAAATATGAGTGACCCATAATGGCCCATGACACAGCCCCAGGAGATCCTGAGAACATGTGCCCAAGGTGGTTGGCCTACAGCTTGGTTTTATACATCTTAGGGGGACATAAGACATCAATCGATACATGTAAGCTGTACATTGGTTCAGTTCAGGAAGATGAGATGGGGCAGGGGCCTGCTTTCAGGTCACAGGTAGATTCAAAGGTTTTCTGGCAATTGGTTGAAAAAGTTTATATAAAGACCTGGAATCAATAAAAGAAGTATCTGGCTTAAGATAAGGAGCTGTGGAGACCACAGTTCTTATGCAGATGAAACCTCCAGGTAGCAGGCTTCAGAGAGAATAGGTTGTAAATGTTTCATATCAGACTTAAGATAAGGAGCTGTGGAGACCACAGTTCTTATGCAGTTGAAACCTTCAGATGGCAGGCTTCAGAGAGAATAGATTGTAAATGTTTCGTGTCAGACTTAAAGAGTCTGTTTTCTCAGTTTTAAGGTCTCTGTTTTAATGTTAATGCTGGTCAGCTGTGCCTGAATTCCAACAGGAGGAAGGTACAATGAGGCATGTCCCCCACCTCCCATCATGGCCTGAATAGTTTTTCAGGCTAATTTTGGAATGCCCTTGGCTGAAGAGAGGGTCCATCAGCCAGCTGAGAGCTTAGTGTTTTATTTTCGGTGTACAATACTGTTAAAACCTGAAGGCATAAACCAGGTGCTCTATCCTCACCACCTAACACCATGCCTGACTCATAGTACTTGCTCAGTGACATTTGCTGATTGAATTGAGGAAAGAAAAATAGCTCAGAGCAGTCTGAGGTAAGTAAGGTCTACAAAATTTATCAGGTCTAGAGAGACATGAGTATGGGAATTCGGTTAGGTGAGGAGGGTACTCACATACCCATGCCTGCCTGTCCTGGGGGCAATTGTTTAAAGGCATTTTGTTCCTGACTAGCTGCCTCACCCATTATCTTCATGTTTTTGTGTTCTTTGTATCACAAACTCCATTTAAAGGATCTCCATTTAAATTCCATTCCATTCAAAGGAATGGAATTTGTGATACAAAGAATGACACATAGCCAATCAATCAATCAATAAAGAAGAAGCAGTTCCTAAGTTGTTTACCAAGAATTTTTTTAACATAAATTCTGTCTCTTCTTTTCCTTTGGAAACCCACTTGTAACTACCACTAGTTTGAGTGTATATTCATGGCAACTTGAGTCTCTGCTGCCAGGTTGCAATCCTCAAGCTTGGCCAAATAACCTCTCAACTTGTACTAATTTTGCCTCAGCTTCTTCCTTTTAGGTCATCATGTTACAGTACGTAGCTAGGCAGACATGAGCAGGGCAGGAGAGAGGCCCCCCAACCAGAAACATCAGGCAACCATCAGGTGATGGTCAGGTGGTTGTTACACTGTTTCTCTGAAATAATAATTGATCGCAGCCAGTGCCAGGGAAAGGCAGTCTCCCAATAGATAGAAAAAACCTGAAACGTGTGATCAGCAGCTTCCCAATAAGATCTCGGGAGTTGGGCAAGTGGGCTCAAGCATGTGCACTAAGAGGCAAAATGGCAGAGTTTAACTTTCATGCACGTCCGCGTGAAGAGACCACCAAACAGGCTTTGTGTGAGCAATAAAGCTGTTTATTTCACCTGGGTGCAGGCAGGCTGAGTCCGAAAAGAGAGTCAGCGAAGGGAGATAAGGGTGGGGCTGTTTTATAGGATTTGGGTAGGTAAAGGAAAATTACAGTCAAAGAGGGCTTGTTCTCTCGCAGGCAGGAGTGGGCGTCGCAAGGTGCTCAGTGGGGGTGCTTTATGAGCCAGGATGAGCCAGGAAAAGGACTTTCACAAGGTAATGTCATCAGTTAAGGCAAGGACCGGCCATTTACACTTCTTTTGTGGTGGAATGTCATCAGTTAAGGTGGGGCAGGGCATATTCACTTCTTTTGTGATTCTTTAGTTACTTCAGGCCATCTGGGCGTATACGTGCAGGTCACAGGGGATGCGATGGCTTGGCTCGGGCTCAGAGGCCTGACAATAACCTTCTAGAAACATTTGAGTGGCAAGAGAAGAATGCCTCAAGTAAGCATGTGTACAACTGCAGTAAACACACTGCATATGTGGCCCCTCCCAAGTGCTGGCAGGCCACTGCGCATGTGGACAGCCCACCCCAAGGGAAGAATCGGGGGAGAAGGGATGCAAGACCCCAAAATATGCCAACATATAAAACCTTAAGTCAAAGGTCAAACTGTGCACTGGATCTTTTAAGTTGCCTGCTTGGCCTTCTTCCAAGCATACTTTACTTCCTTTCATGCCTGCTCTAAAGCTTTTTTATAAAGTTTCACTGCTTCTCTAAAACTTACCTTGGTCTCTTACTCTGCCTTATACCCCTCAGTTGAATTCTTTTTTCTGAGGAGACAAGAATTGAGGTTGCTGCAGACCCATATGGATTTGCCACTGGTAATAAATGTATTGAACAATTGATCAGAGGCCCTTCATTGCCCTCTTCCAGGTGTCCACATCTCTGTTCTCTGGAAGGCCTGCCTGGGCCCAGGACTGTTTCTGTCACATGCACTTGCCTGAAGAGCCCTGACTTAGTAGACAGGTGGGTGGCTCTTAAGGTGGGTTTAGCTCTTCTGTGACTTTTTCTGTCCTGAGCCTCTATTGGAGCTAAGCCTCATTCACTGCCACGTGATGTGGCAGACTGGCACCACCCTCACCAGAGTTCCAACCTTGTAATCCATGTGACAGATCCCTCCTTCCTCCAAATCTCCAAATAGCAGGGAAATTACTTGTCATTTGGTCATTCTCTGTGCCTGGGTAATCAAAGCTGTCACCTGGGGTGTGTCAGATGACCACTGATTATGGATTCTCCCCTTTCCTAACACAGCCTAGCCAGTCTTCGTCAGACTGTATAGTTATTTTATTTATTTTTACCTTTTTCATTTTTACACCTCTGTTCTAGGCAAACACAAACTCTATAGTAATATCTCTGATGGCATTTGAAGCAATTCTTTATCAAAGTTCTCCAAAGCTAGAAAGACCTGGAGCACTGAAGGTTGTGATCATTTAGTCTCCATTTCCGAACTAGTGTAGTGTGTAGTTTGAGAGATTGAGTTCTAGAGCCACACTGCCTCAGACAGATCCTAGTTCCACCACTCGCTAGGGGAATGACCTTGGGCAAGTCACATGAACTTTTAATTCAAGTTTGTCCAACCTGCAGCCTATGGGCCATATGCAGCCCAGGATGGCTTTAAATATGGCCCAACACAAATTCATAAACTTTCTTAAAATATTATGAGTTTTTTTTGTAATTTTTTTTTTTTTTTAGCTCATCAGCTATTGTTAGTGTTAGTATATTTTATGTGTGGCCTAAGACAATTCTTCCTCCAATGCGGCCCAGGGACGCCAAATGATTGCACACGCCTGTTTTAATCCTTTGGTTGCTCATCTATGAAATGGAAATAGAAAATAATAGTGTCTTTTCTTAGTATTACTGTGAGGATTAAACAAGACCATCCAGGTAAAAGAGCTTAGAACAGAGTAGCTCCTCAAATAAAGGAGAGCTACCATTATCTGTACATAAGAGAAGGCAACGCCTCGGGCAGAATGTTCCCCATTCTCTAATTCCCTTCCTCATCCCACTCCATCCCCTTCACAGTCCCCACTGTAAGTCCTTCCTCAGTCAGGATATTCTTCCTCTCCTATAGGATGAGGAAAACCTAAGCCCACTCTCCTCTTGGTCCTGCCATTTCCTCAGGCGGGTGTCAGTATGGTCTTCCTCCATCCAAGGCTCTGCTAATCAGCTGAGAACTACGCATGTGGGGAGGGATGATGAGCAGAAATAGTGGATTTTTCACCTCCATTTCAGCTCCTCTCCATGAGCAAATGCTGCAGTCTTCTTTCCCTGAATGACCTAAAAGAAAATACCCCTTTGCAATTCATTTTCTTACAAAGACCTCAGTCTAGCATATGTAATGCATGCATATTCTTCCCATTAACACAGCTTTGACCCTACTCTTAAGGAAGTAATTATCCTGGCCTTATTATGCTAAAGAACCTTTTGCCTACGTTCTGACCTGGTTTTTATTACAAGGCGTCTCCCCGTTAACTACAAAGGCTTCCATCTGAATTGGGAGATTAATGGTACCATCTCCTTGGCATAATTTCTCTGATCCCCAAATTCCTCTTTTAATGATAGCTGTTTTTCTTGCTGCTCATTTCGCTGTTCACTTCCATCTTCCTATTTCGAAGCTCCAAACCCTTGTGGGAACTCCCACTCAGCAGCAGTTTCTAGCTGGATGGGCACCTCTTGGTCCCAGCCCACTGTAGAGATGACTAACCCATCCTAAACTCAAAGATGAATCACTCAGATTACCAGCTCCCACCAATTTTTCACAGACCCCGTTACCTCCTAGGGTGCCCATCTCATCCCACCCTGTCCTCCTGGAACAGTGGTTCTCACCTTTGTCCACTCCTCCGGCATGCACTTGTGCTCACATTCCTAGCACCAGTGTTATGAAAGAGGGGTCCCAATCCAGACCCCGAAAGAGGGTTCTTAGATCTTGCACAAGAAGGAATTCCAGGTGAGTCCACAGAGTAAAGTGAAAGCAAGTTTATTAAGAAAGTAAAGGAATGAAAGAATGGTTGCTCCATGGACTGAGCAGGGCATTTCTGAAAGCAAGAGGAGTAAGGCGCCCACCTTATTAGGTGCAATGCATGTTTATATATGAGATAACAAGGCAAAAAATCATGAAAAGGATGTGGTCTATTACAAGGGCTCATGACAAAGGATTGTTAATCCTTGTGTAACTACTGACTTTTGCAAGAATCTATATTACTATCTTTAAAGCAAAATTTATTACTAAACAAAGAATGCTTTTGTGCTTAAGATAGCAGGACATCAAGACATTTCTTGGGTCTGTTAAGTCCTGGGTCTGTTTGGTAAACATTATTAACCTGTTCCCTTAACTGTAAACACCCTGTGACTGCGAATCCCTAACCTCCTGGGAATGCAGCCCAGCAGGTCTCAGTCTCATTTTACCCAGCACCTATTCAACATGGTTCCAAAGCTTCTGACAGTAAGACACCCCTGGATTTTCTTTTTTCTTTTTTTTTAAACTTTATGCTTTGTGGCATTAATAAAACCGTCCTCAGGTAACGCTCTATCCCCAGTCCCAACCATTATTACAAATCTTCCCACAACTGAGCAACACTCCCCCACATCCCATTAAAAACCTGCATTCTCTACCTATTGTATTCCAGAGCTACAATTTCTAGAAGCTTCTTAAACATGCAATAACAACAAACACAATTCCTTCTAAGGGAAAAGAAGGTCCAACCCCATCGCAAAATTCCCCAAGAAACAGGAAAGCGTTAATTCCACCTTAAATCCCAAGCAGTCAATAACCCAGTGCCCATAATGGGCTCTGCAGATCACCCCACCCCACCATCTGCCCCAATTTCCAAAATCTGCTCAGCAACCAAAGCCATTAAATCCAGAAACTAATTTGTAAGGAAAACAATGAAAAGAGTAATAATCTCTCCGTAGGATGCCAATGGAAGGTCCCACAGGGACTGGTGCACTGTAGAGAAAGGAGAAGGGTACCTGGAAAGAAATGCCTATTAACATTCAAAGCCCCCTAGTGGAATGGAAGCTGACCTGCTGCAGAATGAAAATGTCCCAGCCCACAGGAGCCTGCACTCAGGTTCGCTTTATTTATCCTGCAAACAGGAGTTGCTAATAGCAAACAATCTTGGGCCTGCTCCCCACAGCTCAGGGGTAGCTCGCAGCGCTGTCCCCAAGACACGTGCCTGGGTTGCTTTGGAGCAATGCTATTTGCAAAAGGAGAAAAAGAAAAATGAAGCAGGGATGTGGAAGTGGGAGAAAGAGCCAGAAAGGCTGAAGAGTAAGCTGGCAGAGAGGGCAGTCTGGTGGTCTTTGCACAGTTGCTGCAGCGGGGGCCAACCTTGCCGAAGGGAAATACTGATGTGATCTTCTGTTCTTCATGGATGGGGGCCAGATACTCAGAAATGGGGAGAGATTCACCTTGAGTCATCCAGTGAGTCACAGACAGGAGGCAGAAATAGATCTTATGACCCACTGTTCACTGTCAAAGACATCTTTTAGCATCTGTAACCAGGATTCCTGAGTGGGGATGGATTCGGGTGCTCCTTGCATTCAGATTGGTTCATTTGATGAGATGTCTGTTCTCTTCCATTCCAAAGGCAAGTGATTTAAAGTCAAGACAGACCAGGATCTTCAAACAAACTTTCCTGGCCAAGGCTACCTCTCTACTCACATTAAGTATGTCTGTTTCCCATTGTTGGCAAGGTAGAATTCATTTGCTTCCTGTCTCTCCTTTGCCCGACTGCTGTCTTGCTTCCACAACACCAAGTCCATCTAGGAATTTTAGATCTCGCTGGGGCCTCATGCATTCCAGAAAGCCTTTCTTGATTAGATTGCCCCAGTTTTGTTCTTTTCTCTTACTTGTATTTTATTAGGGCTTGTGACAGACAGTGGGAACTGCTTACCCAACATCCAAGGTCCCTTCAGCTCCTATGTTGTCAGAAGTCAGATTCAGTTCTGATATTCACCCTCCCCCTGTGCTCAAGGAGGGTGTTCCTTGTCACACACGTCCGTGTGAAGAGACCACCAAACAGGCTTTGTGTGAGCAACAAGGCTGTTTATTTCCCCTGGGTGCAGGTGGGCTAAGTCCAAAAAGAGAGTCAGTGAAAGGAGATAGGGGTGGGGCTGTTTTATAGGATTTGGGTAGGTAGTGGAAAATTACAGCCAAAGAGGGTTGTCCTCTGGTGGGCAGGGGTGGGGGTCACAAGGTGCTCAGTGGGGGAGCTTTTGAGCCAGGATCAGCCAGGAGAAGGAATTTCACAAGGTAATGTCATCAGTTAAGGCAGGAACAGGCCATTTTCACTTCTTTTGTGATTCTTCACTTGCTTCAGGCCATCTGGATGTATACATGCAGGTCACAGGGGATATGATGGCTTAGCTTGGGCTCAGAGACCTGATATTCCTGTCTTCTTATATTAATAAGAAAAATAAAATGAAATAGTGGTGAGTGTTGGGGCAGTGAAAATTTTGGGGGGTGGTGTGGAGAGATAATGGACGGTGTTTCTCAGGGCTGCTTCGAGCGGGATTAGGGGTGGCGTGGGAAGCTAGAGTAGGAGAGATTAAGCTGAAGGAAGATTTTGTGGTAAGGGGTGACATTGTGAGGTTGTTAGAAGAAACATTTTTCGTATAGAATGATTGGTAATGACCTGGATACGGTTTTGGATGAATTAAGAAACTAAACGGAAGACACAAGACCCGAATAAAAGAAGTAGAAAAACAGATATTAAAGGACTAAGAATTGGGAGGGCCCAGGACATCCAGACATCCAGGACATTAGAGAGTGCCTAAGGGGGTTCAGCGTAATTACTTGCTTGGTCCCAAGTTTAGGCTCTATCCTTGAGTTTTTTTATGTTGTCACAAACCAAGTCAGACTGATTTAGGTAAAAACAACACTTTTCATTTAAAAATATACAGAGTCTTTTTTTTTTTCAGTGTGTAAGTTGAGGCCTCAGCGATTTTGGAGGAAAGAGAAATGCAAAGCCAGCAATTGTTTGTTAAAGAAGGATTAGAAACGGCTAGGAGAGAGTGAGAGAGATTGATAGTGTGGTGGAGATAGCTGGGGAGAGAGGTAGAGAGTGGCATAAGAATGAGAATGAGAATAAGAGTGAGTATAAAAGTAAAGAATAGGGCTTCATCAGGGTGAAAGTATTGGAGCGTACCCTGTCAGCAAAGATTATCTATCCACTTTAAGAGAGACTTAAGGGTGGCGGTTTGAGGTAAAACCAGGAGATATCAGTTATGCTGGTTCGAAGGAAAAGTGTAAACCGGCAATGTAAACAAGAGCAGGGCATTTATGGGTAGATGAGAATGGCGAATAGGAGTATGACTAGACAGAAGACAGTAGGGATGACAAGTTTTTGGGGTGCAGTTCAAGTTGGGCTGGTGTCTGGAATGAGACTGGGGCCTAATAAAAAGGAGCATCCATACAGGAGCGCAAATGGGCTGTACCCTGTAGCAATCCGAATTCTGAGAAGGGCAAGTGGTAAAAGTACTGTCCAGTCCTTTTTAAGTTGGAGGCTGAGCTTGGTGAGGTGTGTTTTGAAAAGACCATTAGTCAGTTCTACTTTTCCTGATGATTGAGGACGGTAAGGGGTATGAAGGTTCCACTGAATACCAAGAGCCTGAGAAACTGCTTGGGTGATCTGACTAGTAAAGGCCTGTCCATTATTAGACTGTATAGAGGTGGGAAAGCCAAACTGAGGAATTATGTCTGACAGAAGGGAAGAAATGATCGTGGTGGCCTTCTCAGACCCTGTGGGAAAGGCCTCTACCTATCCAGTGAAAGTGTCTACCTAGACCAAGAGGTATTTTAGTTTCCTGACTCGGGGGATGTAAGTAAAATTAATTTGCCAGTCCTGGGCAGGGGCAAATCCCTGAGCTCGATGTGTAGGGAAGGGAGGTCACAGGGCCTGAATAATCCCTGAGGAGCAGTAGCATAGCAGATGGAACACTGAGAAGTGATTTTCTTGAGGATAGATTTCCACAATGGAAAGGAAATGAGAGGTTCTAAGAGATGGGCTAGCAGCTTGTAATCCATATGGAAGAGGTTATGAAATGATGACAGAATAGAATGGGCCTGTGAGGCTGGAAGAAGATAGTTTCTTTGGTCTAAGAACCATTTGCCTTGTTTGGGAAGAGACTGATAGGTGGAAGTTTCAGTGGGGGAGTAGGTGGGAGTGACCGATGAGAAGGAGAAAAAGTGGCCGTGAGGGAAAGGAGTTGGAACACTAGTTGCTTCTTTAGCTACCTTATCAGCATAAGTGTTGCCCTGAGCAATGGGATCTGATGCCTTTTGATGGCCCTTGCAGTGAATGACTCCAGCTTCCTTTGGAAGTAAAGTGGCCTTGAGAAGAGTTTTTATTAAAGAGGCATTAATGATGGAGGACCCTTGTGTAGTGAGGAAACCTCTTTCAGCCCATAAAACAGCATGGTGGTGCAGGATATGGAAGGCATATTTAGAGTCAGTATAAATATTGACGCGTAGTCCTTTTGCAAGAGTGAGGGCTCGAGTTAAGGTAATGAGTTTGGCTTGCTGAGAGGTAGTGGAGTGGGGCAGAAAGTATATGCATCAGGTTTGAGGAAGAAAATCGATTTTGGAAGTTATGAGAACTGTAGAGAGTGAGTTGAGCACAGTTTGTGATTTTGAGGGCCTCTAAAAGTATTATGGCGGTGTCAGCCACCACGTGGAGACATGATGGCCAGCCTAAAACAGTAAGGTCAAGTTGTTTGGACAAAAAGGTTACAGGGCATGGTCCGGCTCTTGTGTAAGAACTCCGACCACACAGCCTTGCATTTTGGCTGTATGTAATGAAAAGGGAGTGATGAGTTAGGGAGAGCCAGTGTGGGCGCCACATGACAGAACAAGTGAGGCAGAGTTAGCAGGCTTAGGATCAGCTGATTTCAATACTTTCAGTGGGCTCTGGGGCATAGGGACCATCCATAGTTGCCTGGTACCTGACCCTGGGGTGATCAGGGCAGGTGGATAGTGGCCCAGAGTATGAGAGCCCTGTGAGTGCCTCATAAAGGAGGTGGTTGGGGTGTGGGCTCTGGATGGGTTGGTTTGTATCTGAAAGTCACACTTCTGGGCAAGTGATTTACTGTCTCCAGGAATTGACTAGCCCAGACAGGGACAGTTTCTCAAGGGTCAGCAAGGCCCCCAGAGGTCAAAGTATCAGAAATACGGCAAATAGAAAGGCATGATTAATACAATTACCCTGGGAGCTGCTGCCAACAGAATTCCTGAGAAGACACTCCAGGCTCCTTGAATTTGTTGAACTACCCTGAATTCTCTAACTTTAATGTTCTCATTATATGACATAACAAATCCCTTACTGTTTTAGCCATGTTATTCAGCTATTAAGTTACTTGCAGCTGAAAGCATCCTAACTGATATGGTATTTAAGCCTTCAGTTTACTCCAAACGTAAAAATCCTAACTCCAACTTGTTTTGTTGCACTAGAATTGCTTTTTCAAAAAATAATAATAATAAGTTGCTGGCCGGGTATGGTGGCTCACACCTGTAATCCCAGCACTTTGGGAGGCTGAGGTGGGTGGATCACCTGAGATCAGGAGCTCCAGGCTGGGTGAAACCCTGTTGTTACTAAAAATACAAATTTAGCCAGGTGTGGTAGCGTGCACCTGTAGTCCCAGCTACTCAGGAGGCTGAGGTAAGAGAATCACTTGAACCTGGGCGAAGGTTGTAATGAGCCAAGATCACGCCACCGCACTCCAGCCTGGGCAGGAGAGTGAGACTCTGTCTCAAAAAATAAGAAGAAGAATAAAAAATAAAAATAAAAAAGAGTTGCTTGAAATAACATCATTCCCAGGCTGCGGGAACTACAGATGAAGTCACAACTGGTCACATTTGTTTAGAATTTTTTTTTTAATTTTTAATTTTTTTGTAGAGACAGGATTTCACCACATTGTCCAGGCTGGGCTCAAACTTCAGGGCTCAAGCGATCTGCCCACCTTGGCCTCCCAAAGTGCTGGAATTACAGGCATGACCCACCACACCCAGCCTAGAGTTTCATATTTTTCAGCCTCTCTGAGTTGCTGCATAACCTCTCCAGAGTTAAATAGGAAGTGAACACTAAGTGTTCTGAATCGAGTTGAAGAAGGAGAGAGGTATCTTGTGTTCATCTTTTTCCCCTCCTGATTCCTGAATCTTCTTGTCTGACATTTCCTCTTGAAAATATGTTTGGACTTAAAGCAGGCGAGATGATTGGAAGAGGAGTTGTGATTAGGAAGGGAAGAAGGTAATGAAATTTGATGTTATTAGACTGTAGGACCAAATAAGCAAAATGGGGGAAACATTCTCAAGACTTCAGTTTACTCCAAAGGTAAAAATCCTAACTCCAACTTGTTCTGTTGCACTAGAATTTCTTTTTCAAGCAATAACCTTAGAAGAAATAAACTTTCAAGAAATAACCTTAGAAGACAAGGTTTCTATACTGGCTTGGGTGCTATATAGATATGTGTCCTCTGCCAAATCACATCACATTTCTAGGCTTCAGTTTTCTTAATCATAAAATGAGGTAATTGGACTAAATCAATCCTGGTCACTGCAAACCTACTAAAAATTCCATAATTATAAACAGATCATCTCAATCTTCTTTCTGCTAAAACGCCAACCACATACAATCAAGTTCTTTATTAGAGACAAAGACTGTTACATGAATTGAAAGGACTGGTTGTAAATGGCTCTATTTGGCAGGGCCCTCTACCAAGATATGGAAATAAGTATCATCCATGCTAATACTAATACCACCACTATTATGTGTCAAATTGTGTTCCTACTTTCCAGTACCACAGAATGTGATCTTATTTGGAAATAGGGTCCTTGCAGATGGAATTGGTTATGGTGAGGTCATATTGATGTTGGGTGGGATCTTACTCTAAAATAATTGGTGTCCTTACAAGAAGAGGAGAGAGATATACAGAGAATACCATGTGAAGACACAAAGACACACAAAGAGAGTCAGCCTGGCGTGGTGGCTCACACCTGTAATCCCAGCACTTTGGGAGGCTGAGGCAGGTGGATCACCTGAGGTCGGGAGTTCAAGACCAGCCTGACCAACATGGAGAAACCCCATCTCTACTGAAAATACAAAAAATTAGCCGGGCATGGTGGCACATGCCTGTAATCCCAGCTACTCAGGAGGCTGAGGCAGGAGAATAGCTTGAACTTGGGAGGTGGAGGTTGTGGTGAGCCGAGATCGCGCCATTGCACTCCAGCCTGGGCAACAAGAGTAAAACTCTGTCTTTAAAAAAAAAAAAACACTCACGAGGAGAAAACAGCCATAAGACGACAGAGGTGGGAGATTACAGCGATGCATCTACAAACCAAGGAATGCCGAAGATTGCCAGCAAACCAACAGAACTAGAAGAGGCAAAGGAGGATTCTCCCCTATAGGTTTCAGAGACAGCACGGCCCTGCCAGTGCCCCAGTTTCAGACTTCCAGACTCCAGAACTGTGACACAATAAACTTGTGTTATTTTAAACCATCCAGTTGACGGTATTCTGTTACAGCAGTCTTAGGAAATGAATACAACTACCAATAGTTCACATTCATTGAATGCCAACAGCTAATATTCACGAATATTAATATATTACTGTGGGCCAGTGCTAAGTATTCTATGTACAGAATCTCTTTCAACTGTCACAACAGGCTTATGAAGTTAATACTATTTTTATCTGTATTTTACAGGTGAGGAATGTAAGATCTGGGGAGTTAAGATCATGCCCACAGTCATCTAGGTAAGTGATGAAGTTGGAGCTTTGAGCTGCAGGATCCTTTGGTGTAAGGGTTTAAGGGGATTTCATATATAATATTTGAGGCCTCTGTGGATACCATGCTTTTTACAATATTCACTTTGTTCTGCCTGTTTATAATTTGTTTGTTCAACCAAATTGAATGAATAATAAAGCACTGCAAATTTAACATGTCCCATATGGTATTCTTCATTTTTCTCTTCCAAGCCTCTTCTTCGATTTCCCGTTAAAACACCTCCTTCAGGTTGGACATAATGACTCATGTTTGTAATCCCAGCATTTTTGAGGGGTGGGCAACATAGTGAGATCCCACATCTCTATAAAAATCTAAAAAATTAGCTGGCATGTGCCTGTGATCACAGCTACTTGGGATATTGAAGTAGGAGGATCACTTGAGCCCAGGGGTTCAAGGCTGTAGTGAGAGCTATGATCGCACCACTGTACTCCAGCCTGGGAGACTGTGTGAAACCCTATCTCAAAAACAAAAACAAAACCTCCTTCCCCCAGTCTCAGTTGGAGACTGCATTTGTTCAAGCCACAATCCTGAATCATCCTCACTTTCTCCACTCATCCCACCCACAGAAAAAACCAGCAGGTCCTGGCTCCTCGGACTGTGTATTAAATCAAATCCTATCTCACCATCCCTACTGCTGCCTGTCCATCCTAGCCCCCAGCCTTCCTCCTCTGAGTTTACTGCTATCAACAGAAAGAGTCAAACTCTGTAAAATATTTGAAGAGATGTATTCTGAGTCAAATAGGAGTGACCAGTGGTCTGTGACATAGCCCTCAGGAGATCCTGAGAACATGTGCCCAAGGTGGTCTGGGCACAGCCTGGTTTGTTTGTTTGTTTGTTTGGTTTTTGAGACAGGGTCTCACTCTGTTGCCCTGGCTGGAGTGCAGTGGTGTGATATCGCTCACTGCAGCCTCAACCTACCAGACTCAAGCAATCCTCCCACCTAAGCCTCCAGAGTAGCTGGGACTACAGGCACGCACCACCACACCTAGCTAATTTTTGTGTTTTTTGTAGAGATGGGGTTTCACCACATTGCCCAGGCTGGTCTCTAGCTCCTGAGCTTGAGCGATCCTCCTGCCTCAGCCTCCCAAAGTGCCAGGATTACAGGTTTGAACAACTGCACTGGGCCACAGCCTAGTTCTATACATTTTAGGGTTATATTAGACATCAATCAAATATATGTAAGATGTACATTGGTTCAGTTCTGAAAGGTGGGACAACTAGAAGGGGTGAGGATGGGGCCTCCAGGTTATAGGTAGATTTAGAAATTTTCTGATTGGCATTCGGTTGAAAGAGTTAAGTTATTATTTAAAGACCTGGAATCAATAGAAAGGAATGTCTGGGTTATGATGATAAGGGGTTGTGGAAACCAAAGTTTTATTATGCAGATGAAACCTCCAGGTAGCAGGCTTCAGAGAGAATAGATTGTAAATGTTTCTTATCAGACTTAAGGTCTGTGTTGATGTTAATGCTGATCAGCTTTTCCTGAATTCCAAAAGAGAGGAGGGTATAATGAAGCATGTCTGACCCCCTCCCCCGTCATGGGATCCCATTTGGGCACCCCTCACTCTCCTGCAAGAGAGAGAGCTGTTCTCCTTTCTTTGTTTTGCCTATTAAGCCTCTGCTCCTAAATCAGCTTCTTGTGTCTGCGTCCTCAACTCCCTTGGTGTGAGACAACGAACCCTGGGTATTTTTTTTTTTTTTTTTTGAGACGGAGTCTCGCTCTGTCGCCCAGGCTGGAGTGCAGTGGCGGGATCTCGGCTCACTGCAAGCTCCGCCTCCCGGGTCACGCCATTCTCCTGCCTCAGCCTCCCAAGTAGCTGGGACTACAGGCGCCCGCCACTACGCCCGGCTAATTTTTTGTATTTTTAGTAGAGACGGGGTTTCACCGTTTTAGCCGGGATGGTCTCGATCTCCTGACCTCGTGATCCGCCCGCCTCGGCCTCCCAAAGTGCTGGGATTACAGGCGTGAGCCACCGCGCCCGGCCCCGAACCCTGGGTATTTACCCCAGATAATGATGCCACTTCAGAGAGAGATGAAAAATAAGCAAAAAAAAAAAAAAAAAAAAAAAGCTAATTAAAATATATGTAGGCTAATTTTGCCATACTACACGTAGGCATATAACCCCTACCTATATAAGCATTAAGAAAATTGTAACATTTTGAGTTGGTCTGGTGGAATTATCTCCGACCTTCTCTCTGTATCCAGTTACAGCAATAATTCCTAGTTTATCTGCTTTTTGTTATTGGGCCATGAGAAAACGCAGCCAGACCCGGCTTGGTTCCGGGAACGGGATTAGAGGAGTGAGCCTGTATGTAGGCTAACTTTGGAATGCACTTGGCCAAGAGGAGGATCTGTTCAGATGGTCAGTGGGGCCTTAGAATTCTACTTTTGGTTTAGACTGCAATCCTAACCAGCCTCCCTGCTGGTAGCTTCCACTGCGGCTCCATTCCTCACAAAGCAGCTGGCGTGGGCTTTTGCTGTTTCAATCAGCTCATATTACTCTCCTGCTTAAAACCCTGCAGAGGCTTGTTGTTAGGCTTTGAATGAAACCAACTTCTTCCCTGGTCCACAGGCTAAGATGGTCTGGCCCTTGCCCTCCTCCCTCACCTCATTCTCACTCTCTAACCATACTGCTGCCTCCCTCTCTGTGATCCTCAAACATTCCTCAGGGCGTCTGTACTAAAATACGTTCCCCCTAGAGCTTCACCTGGTGGCCTCTTCTCATTATTCAGGTCTCAGGGCCCTTCCCTGATCCCCAGATTTAAAACAACCCCAGTTCCTAGCCCCACTCTATCTCATTACTCTCCTTCATTTCCTTCATTCTCTGAAAATTAGCCTACATATGTTTTAATTAGCTTTTTTTTTTTTTTTTTTTTTTGCTTGTTTTTCATCTCTCTCTGAAGTGGCATCATTGTAAATACCCGGGGTTCGTCATCTCACACCAAGGGAGTTGAGGATGCAGACACAAGAAGTGGATTTAGGAGCAGAGGCTTAATAGGCAAAAGAAAGAAAGGAGAACAGCTCTTTCTCTTGCAGGAGAGTAAGGGGTGCCCAAATGGGACTTCCGGCCTGCAGCAGAGTGCACTGGAGTGCACCGGATTTTATAGACAGGCTTGAGGAGACGGTGTCTGATTTACATATGGCCCACAGATTGGTTGGACCAAGTGTGAGGTTTACATAGCAGGAGGGGACACTGGCCACCCCACTCTAATCTTATTATGCAAATGGGCTTTCCACTTGGCCAGTGCCATGTTGTCTGCTCCCTACTGCACACATGGCTGGAAAGGAAAAGGGAAGATGGAGCCGCCATGTTAGACATGCCTAGCCCCAGGTAGCCTGTTGGCATAACTGCCGGCACTCACCTGTGCAAGCTTCTAGTCGGCCTTTCTATGTCTGCAGCTCAATTTTACAGGCTGCTCTTTGTTAGAAAAGAAAATGATTTGGGGGCTGCTTTTCATTAAAAGGAAAACCTTACTGAGGACTTCCTTACCTTCACTATCTGCCTAAATAATTCATTTTTAACTCCTATATCATCTCCATTAGGATTGAAACTTCATGGGAGCAGGGGCCTCCTCTATCCTGGTTTACTGCTTCATTCCAATGCCCAGAATAGTGTCTGACACATAACAGGTGCTTCATAAAGGCTGCATGAGTGAAACATAAAGGTTCTCACCCTGGGGTCCATGCTTTTGGTGTCTCTCATGTCTTTTGCTGCTCCTAGTTCAGTGTTGTGGCCCAAACAAGTGTTCATCGAATGCTTACTGGCCGGATGACCAGAGAATTCTTTCTTCTAGAATTTCTGATCTTCTCAAATATAAAATTTTCTGGGTGGTCCCAGTATTTCACATTCAGAAATCCATCACACAGTGCACATAGATGAGACTCAGACATTTGTTTTCCATTTTTTCTCTAGAGGGTATCTCTGTGAAGCAAGACAAGGTCATCCTCCACATCCTCCGCATGAATTGACCTCCCCCAAACTTGGGGCCTAACTGTCCAGCTGAGCTCATATATGTAAGTACTTCCTGGATTTTTAATTACTTCCAGAATAGAGCACACATTTGGAGCCCCTTCCCAGTCATTCTGCATGTCCTACCACTCCAGTCAAACTGCTTGGTATCTTGAGTTTTTCTGTCGCAGGGGACAAAGAAGAAAACTAAGAACTATATATATTTTTAAATTAAGTCCATATTTGATGCTATTCTCAGATGCATTGAATCTATTTGTAATAAGTGAATGTGGATTTGTATTTCTTAAAATTGTTTTATCGACCGTGCACGGAGGCTCACACCTGTAATCCCATTCCCAGAACCAAGCTGGGTCTGGCTG
Source organism: Homo sapiens (assembly GCF_000001405.40). Classification (NCBI taxonomy): domain Eukaryota; kingdom Metazoa; phylum Chordata; class Mammalia; order Primates; family Hominidae; genus Homo; species Homo sapiens. The sequence continues at coordinate 114,022,364 of NC_000001.11, read as the reverse complement.
CATTTTCTCATGGCCCAATAACAAGAAGCAGACAAACTAGGACTTTATTGCTGTAACCGGATACAGAGAGAAGGTCGGAGATAATTCCACCAGACCAACTCAAAGTGTTACAATTTTCTTAGTGCTTATATAGGTTGGGGTTATGTGCCTACGTGTAGTACACCATTCACCTAAGTCTATTGGTAACTAATTTCGTTTCAACTAGAAGGTCAGACGCAGAAAAATGCTTGCTAAGTCCGATTAAGCTGTGAGGGCCCTAGTACCTTAAAGGCCTGTCTACTGTGGTACCAGAGTGATTATTTCTGTCTTATCTCCTTTACAGCTTGGTCTGGAGAGCTGCCTCAGACTCTCCAATGGATCTATTCAAACAGCTGCCTCTGTTACCTTGACTCGTCTCAGATTTCGTCGAACTGAGACAGGTCCTGGCACTAGGAATGTAAGGCTGTCTCTATTATTTTGATTTGCTCCAACAAGGGAGAAGCCCATGCAAGGCTCCTGCTGACCATATGTTTCATTTCTAGCTTTGATGTCTGGATATCGATTTCCCTAGGTTTAACTGTTTGCTCAACATTAAGGCAGCTCTGTGGAAATTTGTCTGTGTAATTGGAGTGCTATGCAGGCCTGTCTGTGTGGCTGTCTGTCATGCAGGCCTGTCTGTGTGATTGTCAGGGAGAAATGGCCTGCCACAGTCCCAGCACTTTGGAAAGCTGAGGCGGGTGGATCATATGAGGCCAGGAGTTCAAGACCAGCCTGGCCAACATGGCAAAACCCCATCTCTACTACAAATACAAAAAAATTAGCCGGGTGTGGCGGCACATGCCTGTAATCCCAGCTACTCAGGAGGCTGAGGCATGAGAATTGCTTGAACTTAGGAGGCGGAGGTTGCAGTGAGCTGAGATCACACCACTGCACTCCAGCCTGGGTGACAGAGTGAGACTCTGTCCCCCCCCTAAAAAAATGATTTCTCCATTTCCCTCAATAGTCTTTTTTGCTGGCTGTATTAGTCCATGTTTACACTGCTGATAAAGACATACCCGAGACTGGGAAGACAAAGAGGTTTAATTGGACTTACAGTTCCACATGGCTGGGGAGGCCTCAGAACCATGGTGGGAGGTCAAAGGCACTTCTAACATGGCAGCAGCAAGGGAAAATGAGGAAGATGCAAAAGTGGAAACCCCTGATAAACCCATCAGATCTCATGAGACTTATTCACTACCATGAGAACAGTATGGGGGAAACTGCCGTCATGATTTGAATTATCTCCCACTGGGTCCCTCCCACAACATGTGGGAATTATGGGAGTACAACTCAAGATGAGATTTGGGTGGGGACACAGCCAAACCATATCATTCCGCCCCTGACCCCTCCAAATCTCATATCCTCACATTTCAAAGCCAATCATGCCTTCCAACAGTCCCCCAAAGTCTTAACTCATTTCAACATTAACCCAAAAGTCCACAGTCCAAAGTCTCACCTGAGATAAGGCAAGTCTCTTCCACCTATGAGCCCGTAAAATCAAAAGCAAGCTAGTTACTTCCTAGATACAATGGGGTTACCGGTATTGAGTAAATACACCCATTCCAAATGGGAGAAATTGGCCAAAACAAAGGGGTTACAGGGCCCATGGAAGTCCGAAATCCAGCAGGGCAGTCAAATTTCAAAGCTCCAAAATGATCTCCTTTGATTCTATGTCTCACATCCAGGCCATGCTGATGCAAGGGGTAGGTTCCCATAGTCTTGGGCAGCTCCACCCCTGTGGCTTTGCAGGGTATAGCCCCCAACTCCTGGCTGCTTTCTCAGGCTGGCGTGGAGTGCCTGCAGCTGTTCCAGGTGCAAGTAAGTGCAAGCTGTCAGTGGATTCTGAGGTCTGGAGGACAGTGGCCCTCCTCTCACAGCTCCACTAGGCGGTGCCCTCATAGGGACTCTGTGTGGGGTCTCTGACCCCACATTTCCCTTCTGCACTGCCCCAGCAGAGGTTCTCCATGAGGGCCCTGCCCTGCAGCAAACTTTTGCCTGGGCATCCAGGCATTTCCTTATGTCTTCTGAAATCTAGCTGGATGTTCCAAATCCTCAATTCTTGACTTCTGTGCATCCACAGGCTCACCACCACATGGAAGCTGCCAAGGTCTGGGGCTTGCACCCTTTGAAACACTGGGCTGAGCTATACCTTGGCCCTTTTTAGCAAGGGCTAGGGCAGCTGGGATGCAGGGCACCAAGTCCCTAGGCAGCATACAGCATGGGGACCCTGGGCCCAGCCCATGAAACCATTTTTTCCTCCTAGGCTTCTAGGTCTGTGATGGGAGAGGCTGCCATGAAGACCTATGACATGCCCTAGAGACATTTTCCCCATCGTCTTGAGGATTAACATTCAGCTCCGTGTTACTTATGCAAATTTCTGCCGCCATCTTGAATTTCTCCTCAAAAACTGGGTTTATCTTTTCTATTGCATCATCAGGCTGCAAATTTTCTGAACTTTTATGCTTTGTTTCCCTTTTAAAACAGAATCCTTCTAACAGCACCCATGTCACCTCTTGAATGCTTTGCTGCTTAGAAATTTCTTCTACCAGATACCCTAAATCATCTCTCTTGAGTTCAAAGTTCCACAAATATCTAGGGCAGGGGAAAAATGCTGCCAGTTGCTTTGCTAAAACATAACAAGAGTCACCTTTGCTTCAGTTCCCAATAAGTTCCTCATCTCCATCTGAGACCAACTCAGCCTGGACCTTATTGCTCATATCAGTATCAGCATTTTTGTCAAAGCCATTCAACAAGTCTCTAGGAGGTTCCAAATTTTCCCACATTTTCGTGTCTTCTTCTGAGCCCTCCAAACTGTTCTAACCTCTGCCTGATACCCAGTTTCAAAGTCGCTTCCACATTTTTGGGTATCTTTTCAACAACACTCCACTCTACTGGTACCAATTTACTGTATTAGTCTGTTTTCATGCTGCTGATAAAGACATACCCAAGACTAGGAAGAAAAAGAGGTTTAGTTGGACTTACAGTTCCACTTGGCTTACGAGGCCTCAGAATCTTGGGGGGCGAAAGGCACTTCTTACATGGTGGCGGCAAGAAAAAATGAGGAAGATGCAAAAGTAGAAATCCCTGATAAAACCATCAGATCTCATGAGGCTTACTCACTACCATAAGAACAGTATGGGGGAAACCACCCCCATGATTCAAATTATCTCCCACTGTGTCCCTCCCACAACACGTGGGAATTATGGGAGTACAATTCAAGATGAGATTTGGATGGCGACACAGAGACAAACCATATAACCCATTAACTTTTAGGCTCTAAGAGTGGTTCTCAACTCAAAATCCAAGGCAGGGGTGGTGGGAGAGGGAGTCTCTCCAGGTCCCACAGTAAGAACTGCAGCAGTAGGGTTCCTGAAGCCCTTGAAAAGTCTGCAGAAGCAGAGATAGCTGAAGGAAGATTGAGCCTTAGATGGCAAGCCCTGGACTCAGTTGCTGCTGTTCTGAGAAAACAACATCACACAGGACATAAAGTCTGCAGTGTAGCAGTTTGTATAGGGCCCTGCCCTGCTGTCACCACAGTCACCCATTTCCATTCAGCGTAATTACTCCAAACCAGAAAGGAGAAGGAGGAAAATGATTTAAAGAGAATTAAGTAAACTTATTTATGGTATTTGCCTGTAGGAAGGAAGCAGCAGTATATTTTGAGCAAAGTTACCTTCCAACAAAACTATCCAAATTCTTCCTCTTTTAATCAAAGGTGTTGAGAAAGCAATCTGATTAAGCGTTGTGTTTTGGTTAAGATTCTTTTGGTTAGGCCAGGTGCAGTAGCTCACGCCTGTAATCCCAGCCCTTTGAGAGGCTAAGGTAAACTGATTGCTTGAGTCCAGGCATTCAAGAGCAGCCTGGGCAACATAGCAAGACTCCATCTCTACAAAAAATACAAAAAAAAGTAGCCAGATGTGGTGGCGTGTGCTGGTAGTTCCAGCTACTTGGGAGGCTGAGGTAGGAGAATCACCTGAGCCCCAGGAACTCAAAGCTGCAGTGAGCCATTATTGCACCACTGCACTCCATCCTGGGTGACAGAGCGAGACCCTATCTCAAAAAAAAAAAGATTATTTGGTTGTGAATAATAAAAATCTATTTGAGCTAGCTTAAACAAAATAGGAGAATGAATGATATGGATATACGAGTATCTTACAGAACCCAAGATCAGGGAGAAGGTATGTCAGGAGAGAGTTAAACCAGGAGCTGGAAAACCTACAGAAACCAAATCAGCCATTTCTTGTTTTTCTCTCACTCTAGGTTCACAAAGACTCTCACCTCTGCTTCCCTCTACGTCTCTCTTCCACTCTTCTCTCTCCATAGACGGGCTTTCTCTGCTTCTCTCTAATGAGCAGATAGCATGAGGCAGGGAGGATTCTCAAAGGGATTACTGAGGGCTAGGCATCAGTCCCCCAAAATATCTAATCCATGTCATTACCCCATAATATGGCCCCATGATACATATGGCCACCTTTTCATTCTGCCACTCTTGCTGCTCTGTTCCCTTAACTCCTGTGACCTCAGGTTGTTAAAAATGACTATAATCTGGCCCTTTATTCATAGCTTTTCTTATCTGAGAAAGTATCATTTGTTACTAGAACTTTCTAACAAATACTAAAATCATTTTTCCAGAGTTGTTATTTTCTTCTTCCCAGATGCCTGAACAGGTGTCTCCAAACTCCTAATGCACATTCACTCTCAACCTTGGGAACTGAGTCAGTGGTCCTGGGGCCATTTTAGTTAAGGCTAAGATATTAATGTAATAATAATAATAATAATGGGAAAAGGGAAGGAAAGAAGAAGAGGAAGTGGACATGGAAGAGGAGCTAGCAATTAATGAACATTTACAACTGCCGGGGATTGTAGCAAACATCTTAGGGACTCAGTGGCCAGTCCCTTCCTCCAGCAATTTAGACACATTGATAGCTATAATTGTATTACACACCCACATTCAGGATCACTGCTGTCCCCTAGAAGTCTCTGCAAGTGCTTGGTTTGATTGCACAAAATATTTCTGATTATTTTCATTTACACAAATAGCTTTCATTTGTACCTAATCACTATGAAGCACAAATATGATTATGTGCTGATTAACTTTGCTTTAAGATTAATTTCAACATTAAACTCTGCCCATTATTTTAGGCTTCTTAATTTGTTGTGTGTACGGAATTGATTGTATATTCAAACTTAAAGCAATTAGAGGACACATCATGTCCTGGAATATTAGGATACAATACAGAGGGCGCACAAGTCCTTCCCCAAGCAGTAGAGATAATAGAATATTCTGAACAATTAACCTTAAGATATCTGAATATCTTTTTTTTTTTCTTTTTGAGACAGGGTCTCGCTCTGTCACGCAGGCTGGAGTGCAGCAGCATCATCTCTGCTCACTGCAGCCTCTGCCCCGCCAGGCCGAAGCATCAATCTTCCTACCTCAGCCTCCTGAGTAGCTGGCACCACAGGCACGAACCACCACACCCAACTATTTTGTTTGTATTTTTAGTAGAGATGGAGTCTCTGCCTTATTTCCCAAGCTGGCCTCAAACTCCTGATCTCAAGTGATCCTCCGCACCTCAGCCTGCCTCCCCCAAAGTGCTGAGATTACAGGCATGAACCACGGCACCCAGCCCTGAATATCATTTTGAATTTTAGAGTCATGGAGGTATACGATATGGTCTAGTTGTATTTTTAAGGTGCTAAACAGAGAGGTGGGCAGTAAGATACTGTGGAGGAGTACTGGTACTAACGTCAAATGCCATGGCCAGACTGCCTGCAACATTACTAGCTATGTTACCTTAGGGAAGTAGGGATGTGGGACTGTGTAGGGGAAACTAATATTTGTTGAATATATACTATTATAAGTACTAGCACTGTCAGATGCTTTAGGAATAGTAGTGGTAGTAATGAGAACAATCATATAGAAACCCAGATAGCTAGCATTTATTAAGGTCTTTGTGTAGGCCATTGATAATGGTTTGGGTGTATGTCCCTGCCCAAATCTCATGTCAAATTGTAATCCCCAATGTTGGAGGTGGGGCCTGGTGGGAAGTGATTGGATCATGGAGGCAGATTTCACCTTTGATAAAGACTCTCACCTTTGCTAGTTCTTGTGATAGTGAGTGAGTTATCATGAGATCTGGTTGTTTAAAAGTGTGTAGCACCTCCCCTCTCTGTCTTCCTCCTGCTCCAGCCATGTAAGGCGTGCCTGCTTCCCTTTTGCCTTCCGCCATGATTGAAAGTTTCCTGAGGCCTTCCCAGCCATGCTTCCTGTACAGCCTGTAGAACCGTAAGACAATTAAACCTCTTTATAAATTACCCAGTATCAGGTATTTCTTTATAGCAGTGTGAGAATGGACTAGTACAGCCATGCAATATCCTATTTAATCCTCAAAATAACCCTAAGGGATCGGAGCTATCACGATCCTCATTTTACAGAAGAGGAAACCAAAGCTCCAAGATGCTAAGTAACTTGACTAAGGTCACGTTGATAAATCACAGATAGTCTAGATTTGAATCCAAATCTGTTGGGCATCAAAACTTTAGTCTTTCCAGTTCTTCTAGATTATCTCCAAGGTTAAGTAATCCCTAACCTCCCAGAATCTGCTTCCTCATTTATAAAGTTGTATAAAAATATCTTACTTAAAACAAAAGATCTTTTTGTGGCTCAACAAGATCACATACCTGAAATAGCATATATTGTAAAATACTAGAAAATGTAAACTTGCTAGAGACTTAGAAAATTTACCTGTTTTCCTTGAGGCAAATAGGTACATGTTCCTCTCTTCCTCTTTTCCTCTCTCCCTTCCTTCCTGACATCCTGCCTTCCTGCCTTCCTTTCTTTGATTTTTGTTCTCCCCCTTCCATTCCTTTTGATCCCCTTTTTGTTCTCCTCTGCTTTCTTTCCATCCTGCAACAACTTCATCCCCACCCCGACCCCTGCCTGGTTTAGGAAAGAATTAACCAGAGAGCCCGGGAAAAGTGTGCATTTTAATTAGTCATCTATGATTCATTGGGAAATGGCTTTGTTACTCTGAAGACAGAAGGAGACATGGATTTTCTCACTTACACAGAGCTGGTTGCACACCCAGCAGGGGCTCCAGGCACAGTTGCTAAATGATGAATGATAGCATACCCAGGTAGGTTACTCACTGGATAAATATGAGCAATTTCTTTTTAGGGGATCATCTTCATGCTGAGTCTTGGACACCAACCTGAATTCTCCTACAGAGAAACTGGACATCTGCTCTTGATGGGGTGTAGTGGATAAGGCATAGCACCTGTGATCAGGAGATCTAGATCTGAGTCTCAGTTGTGACACTTTTTTCTGTGTTACCTTGGGAAAGTTATTTACCCTCTCTGAGCCTCAATTTCCTCACTAAAAGGGGATCATGGTACCAACATGTGTTAAAAGAGTATTAAATGAGATAATAAGTACTTTGTAAACAATGTGTTTGTAATTAATCATGAATCTTAGTTTGATTATATGATTATAATTATGTTTTTTTCCAGTAATGGAAAGAGGGCAGGGATAAAAGGCAGTGAGTGGCCTGAGCTTCTAAAAATTCTCATGAGAAGGATTCATAGAGGGTTCACCTGGTTCCTTCTAGGAGTTTACTCACAGCCTTATAATTTTCATTATTTAGAAAAACAATCACAGATGTCATGTATCACAACTTGCAGAGAACACACCTGCCCCTGAGACAGAGCAATCATGATGATGGTGGGCAGATGGGGTCAATTCTGGGGAACTGGGATTCCTTGTGGGAATGGAGGCCATTTCCCCATGGGTGACTCACAATGGCTGAAGAAGGGAGAGGCAAGTATCTATTATACACAATTAGCAATCACCCCACAACCCTGGCTCATGTGAACCCCACCACCACCCCCAAAGCTATTGCCTTTTGCATAGTCCTCCACCCCACCTCCATTCCCAACTTCCCAGACACTCATTTTAACGTGCTTTCAGGAGGCAGGAATTCTGGTAGGAGGGAGATATCTCACGAGGTTTGCCCTGAGACACTCCTGCCCCTGACCATGAGGGCAGGCTCCTATCTCCTCCTCCTTGGGTCCAGGTCTGGCCACACCCACATGAGAAGGGAGTGTGATCCCTGAGCATGCCTTGAATGTGGTGTTAGAAAATGGGACCCACATAAAGATTCTGCCACAAAAGTGCTGTATAACTCAGGGCAAATCACTCACTCTCTCTGAGCTTCAGCTTCCTCTGCAGTAAAATGGAGATACTAATACTTGCCCTGACTTCCTCACATTGCTGATGTGAACATCAAATTTAAAAACCAAAACAGGGCCGGGCACGGTGGCTCACGCCTGTAATCCCAGCACTTTGGGAGGCCGAGGCGGGCGGATCACGAGTTCAGGAGATCGAGACCACGGTGAAACCCCGTCTGTACTAAAAATACAAAAAATTAGCCAGGCGCCGTAGTGGGCGCCTGTAGTCCCAGCTACTCAGGAGGCTGAGGCAGGAGAATGGCGTGAACCCGGAAGGCGGAGCTTGCAGTGAGCCGAGATCACGCCACTATACTCCAGCCTAGGCGACAGAGCGAGACTCCATTTCAAAAAAAAAAAAAAAAAAAAAAACCAAAACAATAGAACAAAAAAAAATCATGAGGACTAAAATGCTGTTTAAATGTTTAGTTTTAGGAGAACAATGAAACAGTTAAGAGCAATAAGCCAGAAGAACACATAGCAATGTGGCTGAATCTTAAAACCATGGTCCTGAATAGAAGACAAGAAACATAATGAGCTATATCACAACCCTATTCACATAAATTAAAAATCCGCAGCCACAAAACAATGATGTGTGCTTTTCAAGATTCAACATTAAACAAATTAAAACAGTGATGGGATATAGGGGATGGGGATAAAAAGAATGAATGAATAAGTGAATGAATGAATGAATGAATGAATGGCAGAGTTCTTGCATGGACCATTGATGACACTGTGAGATGAGATGAAGGGCGGAATAATCCTGTGTACCTGAGATCCAAGAAAAATGTTTGTTATTATTAAGCATCAGCTTTGTTAAGTAAGGGAATTGACAACACTTTCTTCTGCAGTCTAGTCACTCTTTGATTCATTTATTCAACAAAAGTTGGTTGGGTCCTGATGCAGTGACTCATGCCTGTAATCCTAGCACTTTGGGAGGCCAAGGCAGGAGGATTGCTTGAGCCCAGGAGTTTGAGACCAACCTGGGCAACATACAGAGACCCCTCTCTACAAAAAGTGAAAGAATTAGCCAGACATGGCAGCTTGCGCCTGTGATCCCAGCTGCTTGGGAGGCTGAAGCAGGAAGATCGCTTGAGCTCAGGAGTTTGAGGTTGCAGTGAGCCATGATCGCGCCACTGCACTCCAGCCTGAGTGACAGAGTGAGTCCCTGTCTCTAAAAATATAAATAAATAAACATTGGTTGAACATCTACAACAGGCCAAACTGTGCAGAGTACCAGTATTATAAGCTTCCCCCCGCCCCAAAAAGTCCTGCCTTTATTTACTGACAAGAAAACAAATGCTCACAGTATGGTATGATAGTGTCTGACAGAGATGAGGACAAAGGAACGCAGAGGAAAAGTCCCTCACCCAGCCTGGGGGAGAGGGAGGAGGCTGTGTCAGCGAAGGCTGGAAGAAGGATGCTTGAGCTGTGCTGAAGTATGTGTATGGGTCAATCTGGTGAAGAAGGTAGGGATGTATTTTAGGTATAGGAAACAGCAAGTTCAACAGCACTGACACGTAAAGCAGCAAGCAGCTCCGTACAGGCTAGCATGGACTGGCCCACAGCAGAGACCTGGGGAGGCTGAGGCCAGAGATGCAGCCCACTCTGAAAGGCCTTCAAGACCAAGACAGGGACTTCAGAGATTCCCTAATTGCACGGAAGCCAATGTGGTTTTTCCCTGGGAGAACATCACACCCAGATATATGTCTTTAATAGCCACCATGGCCACAATGTGGAGATGGGTTAATGGAGAGAATCTTGGTGTGGGGGAGGCCATTCAGGAGGTTGCATGAACACTGGAGGCCTGAACTAAGGCAGTGGCTGTGGGGATGGAGAGAAGGGACTGAGGCTGTGAGATGGTAAGAAGCAGAGTCCAGGGTTATGTTGACTGGTGTCTGACTGGACATGGAGTAGAGAAGGGGTAAGAGAGGGTCAGAGATAATGTCCAGGTTCCTGATTCAGAAATCAAAGTAGCTGACCATGCCATTCTCCAGAAAATGACATCCAGGAGGAGGGACAGCCTTGGGTAAAGGGTCAGAAGTGCAGAAGGTAGTTGTGCACACAAACACAACTCAGTAGAGGGCTCTGGTCAGAAATATCTATATTTGGCAGCACTGCCATACAAAGCCACAGGAAGAGATGATACATCTGGAAACATTTAGAGGATGAAAAGAGAAGAGGGTCAAGAATGAACCATGCATTTAAGGGACAAGCAAAGGAATTGTAACCTGCAGAAAAAAAAGAAAGAAAAGACCAGAAGAGATGAAATTAAGAATAAGTGAGACCAGTGTGGTGGCTCATACCTGTAATCCCAGGGCTGTGGGAGGCCAAGGCAGAAGGATTGCTTGAGGTCAGGAGTTTGAGACCAGCCTAGGAACCATAACAAGATTCTATCTCTGCAATATGTATGTGTGTGTGTGTGTATATATATATATATATATATTTTTTTTTTTTTTTTTTTTAATTAGCCAGGTGTGGTGGTGCACACCTGCAGTCCCAGCTACTCAGGAGGCTCGCTTGAGCCCAAGGGTTCAAGGCAGCAGTGAGCCAAGATCATACCACTGCACTCCAGTATGAGTGACAGAGTGAGAGTACCCACACCACTGTGGAGTGAGAAACAGAGAAAGGGGAAGCTGTAGGTGCAGAGAACTTTCAGGAGAGCTGTCTGTAAAAGGAAGGAAGACAGAACTAGAGAAATCAAGGAAGAAATTGTTAAAGGATGAGAACAACTTGAGTAGATATGGAGGAAAGGATTTAGGAGAGAGGAAGAGATTGAAGATGTAGAAGAGAAGGGAAATTTGATGGAAGGAAGTCATAGCAAAAGAGAGATATGAGGATGGAGGGAAGTGCATAACTGAAGGAATTCACATGGACTGAAGAAGGGACACCTCCTCCCCTCGGTGCAATGAATTGTCCAGCTTTCTTAGAATAATATTCCATATGTAGCTCTATGCTCCCTATAAAATGAGACTGACATCTGTTAATGAGATTACTGTAAAGCTAATTTCACTTCATTCTTTACCTCATTTCCTCTCTCCCTAACTATCTCCATTAATGACAAGAGCAGTGAGGTGCCCTGAGAAGCAGGAGGCGGTGCCCAGAGCCGGCAAGGGTGGGGAGAGGAAAAAGGAGTCCAGCCTATGGTAGGACGTGAGTGGCTTCAACACCCCTCAGAACCCAATGCCTCCACTGAACCACGAAGCAAGCTGAGAAGCCCCGCCAGCTTATGGGGAAAGTGCTGGCTTCCCTAGAGTCTAAACCTGTTCTAACTTTCCCCTGGTTCCAGCTCTGGATCCACCTCTACATTTTTAACTCACCCTTGCCCCTTTGGTTTGTGGGATTTTTCTTTCATTGCTGACTTCTGATTCTTGGCTCCTTCTCAAGAGTTTTGCCTTGTGTTCAATTCCTTGATATGCCAGCTTTTGACTACCTTCTCTAAAACTCATGTACTTATGCTCCTCCTCATTCAAAAGGGGATTCGAGGGTTGACAAGGGGGTCATAAAGATAAAAAAGGATTATGTCATTGTGCACACATCACAGAGTGTACTTACAGAAACCTAGATGGTGCAGCCTACCACATACCTAGGCTACAAACCTGTACTGCATGTTGCCATACCGAGTGCTGCAGGCAATTGTAACGCTATAGTATTCGGGGATCTAAACATATCTAAATGTAGAAACTGTAAAGTGAAGGTATGGTATAAAAGATAAAAACTGTACACCTGCATAGGGCCCTTACCATGACTGGAGCTTGCAGGACTGGAAGTTGCTCTGGGTCAGTGTGTGAGCAGTGAGAGAATGTGAAGACCTAGGACATTACTGTACCCTACAAGGATTAGAAACACTGTACACTTAGGCTATGCCAAATTTATTTTAAAATTTTCTTTCTTCAATAATAAATTACCCTTAGCTTACTGTAAGTTTTTACTTTATACACTTTTTAAATTTTTTTAACTCTTTGACTTTTTTGAAATAACAGCTTAAAACAAACATATTGCACAGCTGTACAAAATATTTCCTTTATATTCTTATTCTATAAGCTTTCTTCTACTTAAAAAAATTCTAAATATTTTTACTTTGTAAACTTTAAAAAAAAATTAGACACAAACACATTAGCCTAGGTCTACACAGGGTCAGGATCATCAATATCACTGTCTTCCTCCTGCACGTCTTCTCCCGCTGGAAGGTCTTTAGGAGGAATAGCACACACAGAGCTATCATCTCCTATCATACCAAAGCCTTCTTCTGGAATACCTCCTGAAGGACCTGTCTGAAGTGAAGCTGTTTTACTGTTAACTTTTTTTTAATAGGTAGAAGGAGTATACTCTAAAACAATGATTAAAAGCATAGTAAATACATAAGCCAGTAACACAGTTATTTCCTATAACTATCAAGTATTACATACTGTATGTAATTGTATGTGCTAGACTTTTACATGACTGGCAGTGCAGTAGGTTTGTTTACACCACATCACCACAAACACGTGAGTAATGCATTGTACTCTGACCTCATTAGGCAATAGGAATTTTTCAGCTTCATTACAATCTTATGGGACCACTGTGGTCTGTGTGGTTCATCACTGACCAAAACATTGTTATGTGGCATGTGACTGTATATCAGTATATATGTTGATCAGATTTACACTATAATATATTGAGAGGAGATGAAGAAAGTGACTGTGAGAGATAATAAATGTTTATTGTTTTAACCTACTAAGTTTTGTGGTAATTTTTGTTTCTCACTACAAAAATGGAAAAGTGGAAAATAAATAGACAATGTCTAAAACAGAAAAAAGTAGCAATATAAGCTTGTTATTTAGAGATATGAAAGTGATATCCCAAAAAAGCTGACAACAGTTGGAGCTGGAGGATGTACTTCTAAGATGGCTCACTCACACAGCTGGCAAGTGAGCTCACACTGCTGGCTGTTAGCAGGTGGTCTCAGTTCTTCACCACATGGACCTCTCCATTGTGCTGTTTGAGTGTCTTCACAACATGGCAGCTGACTTCCTCCTGAGTGGGCAGTATAGGAAAGGACATAGTGGAAGCCACAATTCCTTTCATGACCTAGATTGAGAAGTCACATTCCATCATGTCTGGTATATCTTATAGCTCCACAGGTCAGCCCTATTCTATATGGGAGGTGACTACACAAAGGCATGACTTACTAACACGCAAGGATTGCTGGGGGCTATCTGGGAGGTTGCCACGCAAGTATTCAAAAAGTGGAAATTTGCCTGACACACTGAACCTCATCCTTAATTCTCTTAATGATAAGTACATAAAGAGGGAGGCCAGTGGCATAACTGCTCAGCCTTGTTCAATAGAGCTAGCCAGCCAGAGGCCAAAACCATATGTTCAAGTCTCTGAAGGTCTGACTTATCTGTGAATAAGACTAATGGAATCTAGAGGAACGGTGGGAATGCATGTCTTTTATCTCTATTAATGCTATTTTTTGCAACCAAGCATTTGGTAAATTTTGAGCTGCAGGGAGCTCAGTGTTATGCTGACAAGTACATGGGGTTCAGCTCCTCCCTGTTACCAATTAAGGGCAGCCTTATTCTTTAATAGGCTGGGCTGGAGATGGGCTGTCAGCCTCCTGTGAAAGTGCAGGAGCTTAGCTAGGGCACATGCTTGGCTGGAAGGAGAGCCTCTTGCATGTAATACCTGTCCTAGATGCAGACAGTCTTGGCATTTAGGGCATCCAACTTTAAATCCATGTCCTTCCTCCTTGTCCAAGATCAGAAAAATAATTTATTTCTTCTTTTTAGTTCTATCAACGCTTCAAAGTCTAGCTCTAAAGTCCCCCCCATCCCCCACCCCCCACATCCAGCCTCCCTCACTGCCTTCATGTCTGCTCTTCTGCCCCCTCCAGACCAGTATCCAGGCCTCTTGGGCCTCTTTCCTGCTCCCCTGTGCAACCTTACTGATACAGAGGGAATTAACCAAGACTGCCAAGGAAAGTTGGGTACAAAGCAGGACTCATAAGCAAACAGATGTGGACATATTGACTCCAACAAACAGCACTGTTTCATTCAGATGTGGGACAAACCCAGATACCCCTGTCAGCTTGTACCTTCCCAGACCTCAGGTTTGCTCAGAAGCCCTCTTACCTTTACAAAGTGTGCCTTTAGAAAAGGATGATTCCGGGGGCAGAGAGACACCCAGAAATGATACTCAAAATTATGTGTTTGTTCAGGCATTTCTTTTTCCTAGAAAATGCCTGAACATTTTCATCAGATTCCCAAGGCCCAAAGAGGTTAAGATTCCTTGTCAGTGGACACAAACCACGGCGTGCAGGCCAGATGGGGCCCTGTGAGGTTACTGGTTTGGACCACATACGGTTTTGGGAGTTTCGGCAACGTTTAAAAGTCAGATGATTTTGCGCAAAAATCCAGATTCCTGGCTTTTAAAAAAAAATGAAAAATGAAGCAACCTTGAGCCCACATCCCCTGGTGGCAAAAACTGGCTGGCCCAGGGCAGCAGCTGCCCTTCAGATGGGGCAGGGGCTCCCCACAGTCCCCAGTGGACACATTTCTTTTTGATGATTTTGTCTGCCATCTCCTAGTTTAGGTCCTTTGTTTAAGATCTTCAGAAACTGGTGAGTGTTTCTCCCAGCAGTTGGTTTTTATTGGTTTCAAGCCACTGTTCTCCATCTTCGGTAACTCTCCCCACCCAGCACCACACTTTCAACAGGAGCACACCCTCATGCACACCTTGGGGGGCGGGGAGCTCTTCTTTCTGCTGTGACATTTCATTACCTGTCAGAAAGACCGACCTGAGCAGGGTGCTCCTGCTGGAGTCTACCTGGCTGGAAACCAGACAGGCACCAACCCTGAGAGCCTGTTCACCTTGGTTTCTGGAATGGACATTAACAACCTCAATTTGCTCTAGATGTGACAGCTGTTGATATGGTTTGGCTCTGTGTCCCCACCCAAATCTCATCTCGAATTGTAATCCCCAGGTGTTGAGGGAGGGACCTGGTGGGAGGTGATTGGATTATAGGGGTGGTTTCCCCTATCCTGTTCTTGTAATAGTGAGTTCTTGCGAGATCTTACGGTCTTAAAAGTAGCACTTCCCCTTCACTCTCTGTCTCTGTCCAGCAGCCATGTAAGACGTGCCTTGCCTCCCCTTCTCCTTCTGCCATGATTGTAAGTTTCCTGAGGCCTCCCCAGCCATGCAGAACTGTGAGTCCATTAAACCTCCTTTTTAATAAATTACCCAGTCTCAGGTAGTATCTTCATAGCAGTGTGAAAACTGAGTGACACTGCTATCATCAGTAATAAGGGTGATACTCTGTTCTCCACCAGACCATACATTGTCTATTTTCTCTCTTTAGACTATGGATTCAGGAATTGCATTGCTCTTCACTTACTAATTCTGTGACCTTAGAAAAGTCACTTAATCTCTCTTCTGCCTCAGTTTCCTGGGCTGTAGAAAGAGGATAATAGTGTCACCCTTATAGAATTGTCATAAAGAGGAAATGAGAAGATCTAGTTTTAAATGCTTAGCCTAATATCCAGAACATTGTAAGAACACAATAACTATAAGTTATTATAATTTCTGATCTCAGTGACTTAAAAATTAAACCAAACCAAAACAAGAAAATCAAAAACAAAATAAATACTGATTTTCTCTGACTGGAGCCTTGTTCCTCAGCTCAACCCTTCTTCCCTTTGATGGTTCCCCAAAGTGGCTCCAGGAAATTCCCAGGGATCCTCCAGACATAGTTTGTTTTTTTTGTTTTTGGTTTTGTTGAGACAGGATCTCACTTTTTTTTTTTTTTTTTCGATCCTGGTCTCACTTAGGTTGGAGTGCTGTGGTACAATCATAGCTCACTGCAGTGTCAATCTCTTAAGCTCAAGCAATCCTCCCACATCAGCCTCCTGAGTAGCTGGGACTACAGGTGCATATCACCATGCCTGGCTATTTTTTTTTAACTAGAGATGGAGTCTCACTATGTTGCCCAGGCTGGCTTTGAACTCCTGAGCTCAAACAATGCTTCTACCTCAGCCTCCCAAAGTGCTGGGATTACATGCAACAGACACCACACCCAGCCGGACATAGTTCAAACCAGTCTCCTAGCTGCTGAAATGGCCCCCCACTGACCCTATGCTGGAGCTCAGACACCTAAGAGTAGCCCTTTACTCCTCTCTCCCTTCCCCCCACATTCAGCAATCCCAGGTCCTGTCATCCACAATCCCTCCTAAATTTCTCCCTACCTCTTCACTGTTCTCAACCCCACTGCTACTACCCCTGCCTTTGTGGATTTTTTCTTTCACCTATGAAATTCAATAATTCACTCATTTAGCCAATATTTATAGGTACCTACTATGTGCCAGGCTGAAGGCACCTGGTGAGACAGCAGTGAGCAAGACAGACACATACCTGCCCTCAAGGGGTTTCCATTCTACTGGAAGGAGACAGAAAATAAACAAAGAAGTAAAAGCTATAGTGAGGTAGATGGAGAAAACTACAACATGGAAATGGAACAGGGAGTTGAGGGTAGGGGACTACTTTAAATAAAATGGCTAGGAAGGCTTCCCTGGAAAGGAGACATTCCAGAGAGAGGCACAAAGGCCCTGAGGTCGACATGGCTGGCTTGTTTAAGGATCAGTGTGGCTGAACCAGAGAAGACTAGCTGGAGATAACGGGTCAGCCTGTGTGGGGCCTGATAGGTCCTTGGAATGGCTCTGGGCCTTTACCATGAGTGCAATAAGAAGCCGTAACTAAGATCTCCCCATTTCTCACCTGCATTACTGCAAGAGTCTCCTATCTGGCCTCCCTCAGGTGTCTGCCCAGCCTGTTAACTTTTTATAATTCCTATTCTTAACACCTTCAACAGGTTGCCAGAAACTGCCTATTTCCCTGTTAAAGCTTCAAAACTTTGTGATTTGCACTTAGGCCTATCTCCTTCACTTTTCTACAGCCACTACCCAAGCAACGCCCCCTGCCCTGGGTAATGGAGGACTGATTCTAATTCCCTGTGCGGCCCACAGCCTCTCACTCCCTTTTTGTTCCAGCTGTTTCCTCTGCACTCAGCATACATCCCCTTTCCCCTCTGATATGGTTTGGATCTGTGTCCCCGGTAAATCTCATGTTGAAATGTAATTCCCAGTGTTGGAAGTGGGGCCTGGTAGAAGGTGTTTGGATCACGGGGTCAGATCCCTCATGAATGGCTTAACACCGTCCCCTTGGTGAGGAGTGAGTTCACACAAGATCTGGTTGTTTAAAAGTATGCGGCACCTCCCCACTTCACACTTTCTCTTGTTCCCATTCTTGCCATGTAAGATGCCGGCTCCCCCTTTGCCTTCTGCCATGATTGAAAGCTTCCCGAGGCCTCACGTGAAGCTGAGCAGATGCCAGTGCCATGCTTCCTGTACAGCCTGCAGAACTGTGAGCCAATTAAACCTCTTTTCTTTGTACATACCCAGCCTTAGGTATTTCTTTATAGCAATGCGAGAATGAACTAATACACCTTCCCTCTCTGCTACTGCTCAAGTGCTTCCCTAACCAGCCTGAGGTGGAGAGGAGAACATCCCCCGCCAGGAGGTTCCCCATCCTGTGCATATGTCATTGTCCATTCATTCATCTGTCTGCCCTAGTAGAGCTCTTTGAAGGCAGGACAGTGCTCAGCACAATTCCTTGCACCAAATAGAAGCTCAATCAAACGTTGGTTTAAAAATGAGTGATCCTACCCTCTTCGAACCCAATCCATTAAGCTAAAACTTGCCTTTTCATCTGTTCCTAGGCACTTCCTAGCACTTGGTTTCTAGCAGTAGTCACAGTCCAATCTTTATTAGTTACATGTATATATGTGTTATATCCTCTCGTGGGTTACAAACTAACTGACCAGGAATATTGGAGTTAATTTTTACAACCACATTCCACTCTCATCCCTGCACTGCCTAGAACAATGCCTCCCACAGGGAGAGCCTCATAAAATTAAGAGTATGGGCTTTGGTATCAGACTGGCATTTGTATCTTGGCCTCCTGGCCTGTGTGGCACCGGCCAGCCATTTTGTCTCTTAGCTTTGCTCTCCTTTTTTTGGAAAAAGGGGATGCCTAGCTACTGGAGGAGCGAAAGGAGCCGCTGCACAGGGTTTACCATTGATTACGGGCTCAACAAAGGCTGTTGTTATCATTGGAGGCACTGTGCAGTATTTCTCAAACTTGTCTAAAATTCAGTCCCTTTTAAAGGAGAAAAATTTTCATAGGATCCCAGGAAACATATATGCAAAAACACAGACTTCAGTTTTGTCTTTATAAATGGTATGAGTTTCTGTAAAGCTTATCATAAAATTGAAAAGTCGAAATTCCAGCAATGCTTGGAGAACTAGCAGAACATAAGACTGCATCCACAGACTCCAATCTAAGAAGTTTTTGTTTACTAAGTGGACTTGGGGCAGAACCATAGGCGGGGGAAGGCAGGAGGCCACTTCCTTTGCTGGCAGTGTGGCTTCCCTTCAGATGACATTCTTCACAGTGGGCTGCAGAGACCAGAGATTTTTGTTCTTCCCATGGGGATTGGGGTAGGGGAAGTGGGAGGGGAACATGTGAGGAGGAGCCAAAAGGCCAGTGGTTTGTCCCTGGTGGCTCTAGCCCGGTGTGGGTCCAACCTGTGTGTGTGCGAGACCTCCCACACGAGCCCTGGAGCCAGCAGTGCCTTGCATATGATGGAGGGGAGTGGGACTGTAGCAAGAAGAGGGCTCATGAGCAGAGGCAGAAAGAAGTTCAAGGAAAACGGTGGAAGTCAGAAATTGTGTATCTCTAGCAGATGGGAAATTCACCACATCAAGAGAAGGTCATCCAAAGCAAAGAAGAACCGGGGCAGCTAAATGTAAAGAGAACCCCTGGCCCTCCTCCTTCCCTGCCCCAGACCCACAGGGTCAAAGGAAGCCTTGCAGGGGCTGAGGATCCCTTGGGGTCTGCTGCACAGCTGGTCTGTAAATGTCACTTCTCAACCCAGCCTCCCCCAACACACTCCTCCCCTCTCCTCTCCCCACTAGCACAAGCCAGTCTCTGGGAGTCACCCTGGCCACAGACCCAGAGTAGAAACATGCAGAGATTTTGCAACTTGCGTTTCAAAGAGATGTGAAGAGCTCCTGCCCCACCAGCAGCATATGGTAGCTCCTCCCACAGAGACAGGCCAAGGCCTCCGTAGTAAACAGACCAACTGGTCACATCCCCCCTCACAAAGCCTAAATAAAAGCCTAAATGATCATGACAGCCACTAGCAGACTCGTTCTGTGAACGCAGGGATCGTGGACATTCAGAATGAATCTGGGAGACAGCAGCAGCTGCCCAGGAGCAAGCGCCTCCTCTGCAGCTCTCTTTCCTCATTAGAGACCCTCACTAGAAACTATCACGCTTGGAATGCTATTCTTCTCCCCTCAGGAGACTTTGGAAAGAGCACGGTGACATTAAACCAAGCCCAGCACACTAAAATGTTCCCAGTGGCAGCTTTGCAGGGGCATCAGTGCTGTGATCCTGCAGCGACTGAATGTGAAGCCGCTCCTGGGAGCTCCCACCCGCCTCAGCGCTGGTGGGGACAGGAGAGCGCCAGGGACACGCCACTTCCAGGAAAGAATTTTGGATTGTGGAAGAGCGAGTTCTGCTCTAAATCACTGCAGTGCACCCCAACCAGTACTGAAAGAGAGAGAAAGTCGGCTGTTGCCCACAGAGCCCAAAGCACCAAGCAGAACTCCTTTTCCTCCACGTCTCCTTCGCCCACTTGCTTCCTTCCGTAGCCACTGTAAATTGGAAGGGTTTTCCAGAGGGCAATTGGCAATGTATGTCTAAGGTCTTACTTCTAGGAATTCAACCCGCCCAGCATAATCTGTTTTGTTTCCCCAAGCGGCTATCGAAGATGGCGTAGGGGTGAGGGGCAGGTCCTGGTGCTTGAGGCCGAGGCCACCTCTGGGGACGCGGGGGCCATCGTGGCTAAGCAGGCACTGCTGGGCCGGAGGGTGGGGGTCGTGCACAGCGAGGGCATCAGAATTTCTGGCAATTTCTTTTCTTTTCTTTTTTTTTTTTTTTTTTTTTGAGACGGAGTTTCGCTCTGTCACCCAGGCTGGAGTGCGGTGGCACAACCTCGGCTCACTGCAACCTCCACCTCCCAGGTTCAAGCAATTCTCCTGCCTCAACCTCCCGAGTAGCTGAGACTACAGGCACGCACCACCACGCCCAGCTAATTTTTGTATTTTTAGTAGAGACAGGGTTTCACTATGTTGGCCCATTTCTGGCAATTTCTACAGAAACCAGGTGAAGTACCTGGCCTTCCTCCACAGGTGGATGAACACCAACCCTTCCCGGACCCCCACCCTTCCTGGGCCCCCATATACCTGGTTTGGACCGCGCGAGGCCAAGCCTCCCAGGACCGCCTCAAGGTGTGTGCTGGGATCCCACGGCCCTGCGACAAGAAACAGCTGAAGGTTGTTTCTGCGGCCCTCCAGGTGGTATGTCTGAAGCCTACAAGAAAGTTTGCCTGCCTGGGGTGCCTGACTCACGAAGCTGGCTAGAAGTAGCAGGCAGTGACAGCCACCTGCAGGAGGAGAGGAAGGAAAAGGCCAGGATTTACTCAGGGAAGGAAAAGCAGCTCTTAAGGCCACAGAAACAGGCAGCAAAGAACATGGAGAAAACTGACAGATACGCAGAGGTCCTCAAGACCCATGGACTCCTGGTCTGAGCCCAATAAACACTGCTTATTCCCCCAAAAATAAATAATAAAATAAATAAACAACTAAACAAATCATCTTTTTTTTTTGGTTTTCTAACGTATATAAGTGTTATCTTTACAGTGTTATTTGTAGTAAACATAAATGGCCCAAAAAGAAGGGATCATTTGAGTTAATGATGGCATTTTTGTGTAGTGGAATGCTATGTAGCTAACAACAAAAAAACTTTTGAAGAAAAAATTATGATATGGGGGAAATTCTCATGCTATGTTAGTAATCTTTAAAAAGCATTTTCCCAAACATTATTTCTGATATTTCCAATGATGTAAAGCCAGAACAAAACAGAAGTATGTATTAAAAGTCTAGAAAGCTACATCATTGTGTGGTGGGTATATGGATAATTTTTTTCTTCTTCGTACTTTTCAGATTTCCTATAATTTACCTGTATTACTTCTCTAAATAGGGTATAAAAAGCAATAAATTGTCTTCCTAAAAGACAGACACATACTTTTACATGATATGTATGCTTTTAGAGCAAACATCACTTTGCCCCTGAGAAAAGGTCAGAGTTGGGAAAGGGCAGATGAACGCAAGACAGAGCCATTGACAATGAAAAATCAACTGTCAGGGCCGGCTACATAATTCCCAGGCCCTGTGCAAAATGGAAATAAGGAGTTCCTTTTTCAAAAATTAAGAATTTCAAGACAGCAACAGCAGAACATTAAACTAAGCTCAACCCCTTCTAAGTGCAGGGTTCTGTGCACCTGCACAGGCCACATGCCTAGGAAGCTGGCCCTAGTCACAAGTTTGAAGCAAGACACCCTGACCCAGCAGGTGAGGGTTTATAGACAGGTACACACCTGGAGGAGTTGACAGGAAGTCCCTCTGCCTCCTCACCTGTCACTGAGCAGAGTTTCATTCTTCATGAATTCAGCTTCCTAGCAATCAACCTTGGGAACAGGGACATACTTTATTACATATATATGCAAATCAGAAGCCAGCCCAGATTACTCAAACCCTAGATCAAAACCTCTTATTTTTTTTAAGGTTGGCTGCCTATTTATTCTATTTTAAGAATACCAGAAAGATGCCAAGCTATCTTCTACCCTGAAATTAATGACAATCCCTAACTAGAACGGAATATGGGATTTTAAAAAAAAAAAAAGATTTCTGATTATTTTCTCTCTAGACTCATCAAGAACCCTGACTTGCAGAGAATTATGGTCTTTCTCTGGTCCAACATCCTTTTTTTCCAGTTTCTTCTTTTTGGGTGCAGAAAGAAAATTCATTAACAAATTCACTACAGAGCATTATTCATTTCTCTTGTCTCGCTCAGGGGTTTTTAATATCAGGAGGTATAGTAAATCACCCCTGAGTAGTGATCACATGCGTTGGAGATCTAACAAGGTCCACAGAGCAGCCCTCCTGCTAATAAGCAAGCACAGATAAGATTGGAAGAAGCATGTTGATTCCTCTCTTCTAAGGGGGAGCAAACTCATTACCTAACCCTTGGATTAAATTAGGTGCAAAGCAAATCTCTCCCTTTGCAACCAGTCACAGCAGCTGCCTGCCACAGAAATGCAAACAAATCAGATACAAACCATAGCCAGCCACCTGCCTGAGCCTGAGTTGGTGAAAAATGGTTGCAGAATTGCTTAGGCAGAAACGTGCACACTAAACTTCTGCCTCTAACTTCTCCAGGAGACTTCACCGGAAGCCAAGTTAGGGGTGGGCGGAATGAGGCAGAGCCTCACTTCTACTCCGCATCCCGATGGCCAGGAGAACCCCTCTTGTTTTCTAATTGCAGCTTGTGGAGGATTGCCACATGGCCAGCCATTCCGGTGTCTTTGAACCTCTTCCCTTTTTGACCTGACCTCTTTTTTATATTGCTAAAAAATATAAACAAAATTTGAATGTTGGAAAATATCGAGAAGGGCATCTAGTTCTACTCCTCATCTAATGCTTGCATTCTCTGTACAGCTGTGCCCAACATTCATTCAGCCTTTGCTTGAACACCTCCAGTAACAGGGAACTCACTACCACCAAAGGTAACACAAAACATTTTGTCATATGGCTGACTGTTCTTCCTTTTGTTAAGTGGAACTTCTTTTTGTGTGATTTACATCCATTGAGCCTATTTCTACCTTTTATGGCCAGATCAAAAAGGGCCAGTACTGTCCCTTTGCCTTATGATGGCCTTTCTGCTACTTGAAGATACCACTCTTATTCCTTAGGTCTTTCTTTAGTAGGTGTTATTTTTCTCCTTTCTCTAAGGACATTGGCATGTAACTGAAACTCTTGGAGGCTAAGTTTTCTTATTTGTAAAATGAAGATCATATTATCTACCTCTTGGGATTGTTTTGGGGATTAAAAAGAATGCATGCAAGCATCTCACGGGAGCTGGCACATAGTAGGTGCCTAATGAATAGTAGCAGTTATGATTATCACCCTTACCTGGGACAGAAAAGAACATTGCTTCTTTGGCCTGACCAGAGCAGAATAACACAGGACTGTTTGCTCTCCTTCACACTAATGTGCTCCTACTAACGCAGCCTAAAGAGTATCATCATTTTGAGCAGCCACACCACATGGTACCTACTTATAGAAAACTTACACCAACCAACATCCTTAACTCTTTTCTGCTTCAAACCTATCATACAATTACAAGTAATTGTGAATTGGGAAGATATCTATCAAGTGCACATAGTAAGGCCTCAAAAAAAAAAAAAAAGCAGCTGCTAGTTGTTAGTAGTTGACAAATATTGTCCAGAAGGAAGAGAAAACGGAGATGCTGGCAATGAGAAGACTGGCTGTGGGTGCACTGCAGATTCCAGCGGCTCCTCGCTTCCTCTCTGCCATATTTCAATGATCTCTTACTGGCTTCACGCCAAATTCACATCCTGCTCTTCTCTCTTCAGACTCTGAACCACTTCCCATCCTCTTTCCCTCTGCAGTTCATTTACTATTCCCTTCTCAACAAGATTGGGATTTGTTCTGACATAAACTCTGTTTCCACTTGCTATCTGTCCCCTTGCTCTGAGCTCTGAGAAGCCTTGTCCCTTCTCCTTCCTCCTCTTCCTCCCTCCTCCTAAGCAAGCTCGTTTCATTCTCCTCTTTCTCCATTACATCTTTAGTCTCTGCCTAGCTCCTACCTTTTCCCTTAAAAAAAAATAAGTTTTCTTTTTTGTTATATTATTGTCTGGTGTTGGTATCAGAGTTATGCTAGCCTCATAGAATGATTACGAAGAATTCTGGCTGTTTCAATTTTTGGAATAATTTGAGAATTGGTATTAATTCTTCTTTAAAGGTTCAATAGAATTCAGCGGTACAGCCATCCAGTCCTGGACTTTTCTTTCTTGGGAGGTTTTTTAATTACTGATTTAATCTCGTTACTTGTTATTGGTCTGTTCAAGTTTTCTGTTTCTTTTTGGTTCAATCTGAGTAGGTTGTATGTGTCCAGGAATTTATCCACTTCCTCTAGGTTTTTTGATTTATTTGTGTGTAGCTATTCATAATAACCTCTAATGAACCTTTGTATTTCTGTGGTATCTGTTGCAACATCTCCTTTTTCATTTTTCATTATATTTATTTGGGTCTTCTCTTTTTTTTCTTAGTCTAGCTAATGGTTTGTCTGTTTTGTTTATCTTTTAAAAAAAAATCACATTTTTTTTCGAAATAGGGTTTCACTATATTACTGTATTGCCCAGGCTGGTCTTGAACTCCTGGCCTCAAGTGATCCTCTCACCTTAGCCTCCCAAGTAGAGAGGGATTACAGGCATGAGCCACCATGCCCAGCTAAAGCCAACTTTTTGTTACTCTGAACAAAAATTTTTTTAGTCTCAATTTTATTTATTCCTTCATTGGTCATTATTATTTCTTTTTTTTAATGTTTTTTGGACAGAATCTCACTCTATCGCCCAGGCTGGAGTGAAGTGGAGCGATCTCAGCTCACTGCAACCTCTACATCCTAGGTTCAGAAGATTCTCGTGCCTCAACCTCCCAAGTAGCTGGGATTACAGGCGTGTGCCAC
Source organism: Homo sapiens (assembly GCF_000001405.40). NCBI lineage: Eukaryota > Metazoa > Chordata > Mammalia > Primates > Hominidae > Homo > Homo sapiens. The sequence continues at coordinate 113,997,413 of NC_000001.11, read as the reverse complement.
CACACTTGGCTAATTTTTGTATTTTTAATAGAGACAAGGTTTCAGCATGTTGGCCAGGTTGGTCTCAAACTCCTGACCTCAGGTGATCCACCCACCTTGGCCTCCCAAAGTGCTGGGATTACAGGCGTGAGCCACCATGCCCAGCCTATTATTTCTTTTCCTCTACTAATTAATGAGTTTGGTTTGTCCTTGCTTTCCTAGTTCCTTGAGGTGCATTGTTAGATTGCTTATTTGAAATTTTTCTAGTTTTTTAATGTAGGTATTTATTGCTATAAACTTGGCTGTTAATATTGCTTTTGTGTGTCCCATAGGTTTTGGTATATTGTGTTTCGATATTCATTTGTTTCAAGGAATTTTCAAATTTCATTTTTCATTTCTTCATTTCAGGAGCATGTACTTTAATTTTCATATATTTGCATAGTTTCAAATGTTCCTCTTGTTATCGATGTTTAGTTTTATTCCATTGTGGTAAGATAAGATAGTTGATATGATTTCAATTTTTAAAAAATGTTTGAGACTTGTTTTGTGTCCTAACATATGGTCAGTCCTGGAAAATGTTCCGTGTGCTGATGAAAAGAATATGTATTCAGCAGCTGTTGACCGAAATATCCTGTAAATGTCTGTTAGGTCCATTTTGTCTATGGTGAAGTTTAAATCCAATGTTTCTTCATTGACTTTTTGTCTAGATAATTTGTCTGATGCTGAAAGTGGAGTGTTGCAGTCCCCAGCTATTATCGTACTGAGCTTTATCTCTTTAGGTTTAATAACATTTGCTTTATATAGCTGGGTGCTCTGCTGTTGGATGCATATATAGTAATTTTTATATTCACTTGCTGAATTGATCCCTTTAGTATTATTTGCCCCTTTTTACAGCTTTTGACTTGAAACCTGTTTTGTCTGATATAATTACAGCTACTTCTGTTTGGTTTTGGTTTCTAGTTTAGAGAATACCTTTTTCCCTCCCTTCACTTTCAGTCTCTCTGTGTGTTCACAGCTGAGGTGAGTTTCTTGTTGGCAGAATATAGTTGGGTCTTGCTTTTTAAAATTTATTCAACAAATCCATATATTTTAAATAGGGAATTTAATCCAGATACATTCAAAGTTAGTATTGATAGGTGATGACTTACTCCTGACATCTTATTGATTGTTTTCTGGTTATTTTTTGTAACCTTTGTTCCTTATTTCCTGTCTTCTTATTTATTTTTACAGTTGGAAGGTTTTCTATAGTGATAAGGGTTTTGTTGTTGCTGTTTCTTTGTTTTTGAGACAGGGTCTTGCTCTGTTACCCAGGCTGGAGTGCAGTGGCACAATCATGGCTCACTGCAACCTGCACTCCCTGGGCTCAAGCAATCCTCTCACCTCAGCCTCCTGAGTAGTTGGGATCACAGGTGTGTGCCACCATGCCTGGCTAATTTTTTCTTTCTTTTTCTTTATTTTTTTTATTTTTATTTTTTTTTGTTAAGACAGTGTCTTACTATATTGCCCAAGTTGGTCTTGAACTCCTGGACTCAAGCAATCCTCCTGCCTCAGCCTCCCAAAGTGCTGGGATTACAAATGTGAGCCACCATGCTTGGCCAGTAGTGATAAGGTTTGACTCCGTTCTTTCTCTTTTGTGTATCAGCTCTACCAGTGAGTTTAGAATTTCACATGTTTTCATGATGGTGGTTATCATTTTTTCACTTGCTGTAGGACTCCCTTGAGCATTTCTTATGCGGCCAATCTAGTGGTGGTGAATTCCCTTAGTTTTTGCTTATCTGTGAAAGATTTTATTTCTCCTTCATTTCTGAAGAATAGTTTTGCTGGGTATAATATTCTTGGCTGTCTAGTTCTTTTCTCTTAGTACTTTGAATATATCATCCCATTCTCTCTTGGCCTGTAAGGTTTCTACTGAGAAATCCACTGTTAGTCCAGTGGGGATTCTTTTATAACTGACTTGATGCTTTTCTCTTGGTGCTTTTAGAATTCTTTCTTTGTTTTTGACTTTTGACAATTTGACTATAATGTGCCTCGGAGAGGACCTGTTTTGGTTGAATCTATTTGGGGGTTCTTTGAGCTTTCCGGACTTGGATGTCCATCTCTCTCCCAAGACTTGGAAAGTTTTCTGCTATGATTTCATTAAATATGTTTTCCTCACCCTTTCCCTTCTCTTCTCCTTCTGGAACACCCATTACATAAAATTTTGTTTGCTTAGTTATGTCCTGTAAGCTTTCTTCATTCTTTTTTTTTTTTTTTTTTTGAGACTGGAGTCTCACTCTATCACCCAGGCAAGAGGGCAGTGGCGTGATCTCAGCTCACTGAAACCGCTGCCTCCCAAGTTCAAGCAATCCTCATGCCTCAGCCTCCCAAGTACCTGGGATTACAGCATGTACTGCCACACCTGGCTGCTTTGTGTATTTATAGTAGAGATGGGGTTTCACCATGTTGGCTAGGCTGGTCTTGAACTTCTGACCTCAAGTGATCCACCCACCTAGGCTTCCCAAAGTGCTGGGATTACAGGTGTGAGCCACCACACCCGGCCTCTTCATTCTTTTTAATTCATTATTCTTTTTTGTTCCATCTGCCTGTGTTATTTCAAAAGGCCTGCCTTTTGAAAAGTTCAGACATTCTTTCTTCTGCTTGGTCTAGTCTGTTTTTGAAACTCTCAATTGTATTTTTTATTTCATTTATTGAATTATTCTAGAATTTCCATTTGATTCATTTTATATCTGTCTCTGTTAAATTTCTCATTCAAATTGTGAATTGTTTTCCTGATTTCATTAAATTGTGTATCTGAATCCTGTATCTTATTGAGTTTCCCTAAGATGATTATTTTGAATGCTTTTTCTAGCATTTCATATATTTCCTTATGATTGGGATTTTTACTGGAGAATTATTATTTTCCTTTGGAGGTGTCATGTTTCCTTTCTTTTTTATATTGGTTGTGTCCCTACATTGATTTCTATGCATTTGGTGGAAAAGTTGCCTCTTTCAATTTTATGGAGTAGGTTTTGTAGGGAAAGACTTATTCATAAGAATGGGTCTTGGGGTGTCAGTTCAGTGTAGTATGTTGGCCTTGGTTCTAGGTGGATGCAGTAATGTAGATTCCATGTAGTTTCTTCAGCTGTAATTCACACTATGGTGTTTGCAAGTTGCTCAGTGGCCTAAGCTGCAATGGTGGTGCAGCTTTGCCACAGGTGGTCTTGCCAGGCTGTTTCTCAAGTTAGGAGTGCATGTGTGCACATGGTGGGTTGGCCAACTTGAGGTCTGGCTCACTGAGGTTTGGACCATTGAGCTGTTACTCTGGCTGGAAGCATAGGCACATAGTTGCTCAGCCGGCCTGGGAACATGTCTGCCAGGAGCAGCCTGCAGGGCTGTTTCTCAGGCCCAGAACATAGCTGCACAACTTCTTGGTTGGCCTGGGGGGATGTTTGCTGGGGGCTACTCACAGAGCTGTTTATTAGGCTCAGGATGCAGGTGCACAGCTGCTCAGCTAGCCTGGGGGTATGTCTGCCAGGGGCAGCCCCCAGGGCTATTTCTCAAGCCCAGGTCATGGTCATATGTCCTCTCAGCTTGCCTGGATGCATGTCTGCACGGGGTGACCTGTGGCACTGTTTCTCAGGTCCATGTTGTGGGTTCCTGCATGTTTGGCTAGCCTGGGGATGTGCACACCAGGGGCAGCCTGTGGGACTATTTCTCAGGCCCTTACTGGGGGCACAGGACCATTGGGCAGCTGAGGAACATATCTGCATGCTGTGGGGAGCTCTGCGGGGCTGTTTCTCAGGCCTTGTGCATGGGAGTGTAGCCACTCTGCTGGCTCAGGGGTCTACCAGTTGCTTGGAGACTTGGAGGCCCCTTCTGCTTGAGGAAGGGCATGCAGTAGCTTGGCTAGTTCAAGGGGGATTTCACCCTAAGCAGGATTGCCAGACTGTTCCTCCAGCTGGAAATGGGGCTGAGGGCCTGGTTTCCCTGCTGTGCAGGACCAGCATCACAGCCCAGGCTCCACGCAGCTAGTGCTGTGCCATTTAGCCAACCATCTGGGCTTGGTTGAATGAAGATGGAGCCCCAGTGCTGGGCAGGTGCAGTGGCTTTCGGCCCCCAGAGGAGGATGTACTCTAAAAGTTGGCTGCAGTCTCAAGATGGCACTGTGCTGCAGCAGCTTGTCTCACAGACGGTGGTGGGTGAGGGGTGGGAAGTGTATACCTTGTGCTCCTAATCTTGGGTGATGCAGCCGCCTGAGTTCCCGGCAGCTCTCCAAACCTGGTCTAGGGCTTGTGAGGACTGTGGGATTCTCCTGTAGTAAGGATTATAAATGTTTGCAGCAGCAACAGGGGCTGGTGGAGATCTTCTGCTTCACTTTTCCTCATAATGGAAAGTCCTGCCTGACTCCGGACAGATCTGATTCAGATGCAGAATGTGAGGCTACAGAGGCAGGGTGCCTCCATGCCGCCCTCCTGGATTTCCCCTCACCACAGGTATATCTTCACTCGCCCACTGCGCTCCAGCTCTCCACTCTCTTCAACATTTCGGTCAGATCTTTGCTGTTTATTCATTGTGTTGGTCCTTTTGTGTGCAGGGGATGAACGCTAGGCATCACTAGCCAGCCATCTTACAGATATCACTCCCAGAAAAAAAATTAAAATGTTTCCCTTTACCCTAAAAATTCTTTCATGTGATCGTTCATATAATAATAAGATACCACATTACATGCATCAAGCTGGCAAAAATCAACACATGTGGTAACACTAGGTGTTAGTAGGCCACAAGGAATCAGGGATACAGAGTGGCACGTTCACTTCGGAAAGTCTTATAGCAATGTCCAGTAAAACTGAGGACAGACACACCAGTGACACAGCAGTAGCTGCCACTTCTAGGGGTCCCCTAGAGGGACACTCTCACATGGGCATGGGAAACATGGACGAGATCATTTGCTCAGCACTATTTCAAGCAGTGAGAGATGGCAACAACCAAAATGACCAGCAGCAGGGAAGTGGGCATATTCATATACAGATGGTTAAAATAGTGAGCCAGAGCAGTGTGTGTCATCCTGGGCAAGCTCAAAAATAATGTGGCAATTTTTATTGCATGAATGATGTGAATTTTTTAAACACACAAAACAATAATATAAATTATATTAGTAAAGATATATACAACAAACATGTTTTTTTAGGTCATGGGGGCTGAGCCCGGTGGCTCATGCTTGTAATGCCAGCACTTTGGGAGGCTGAAGGGGATTGCTTGAGTCAGGAGTTTGAGACCAGCCTGGGCAACATAGAGAGGCCCAGTCTTAAATAAAAAATAAAATAAATAAAATTTTAAAAAGTCGTGGGAATAATATTAACTTAAGGATGGTGTTTACCTGTGAGAAAGGAGGAAGACTTTTCTTTTGCACACATCTTTCTGCTTTTCCTTGCCAGACAGGCTGCTGGCCAGTCCCATTCCTTGACTGCCCAAAACTCAGCACAGACACTAGACACTGAATGCTAGGTATTAAATCAATAATGAGAGCAGCTGGCATTTGGGTAGCTTACGATTTACAAACCACATTCACACGCATCATCTCATTTACTCATCGCACCGCCCCGTGAGGGAGATATTAATATCATTGCTATCTTACAGATGAGGAAACTGAGATCACACAAGCAGAAAATAGCTGAACTGCAACTTGAACCTTGGACCTCTGCTCCATGCCCTTCAACTACATGGCCCTCAAAGAGAGCATAAGCCAGCCAGATCCTTTCCAGACCATGAATCAATAAGAGCATTTCTCTGCCTCATTTGCCCTCATTAAAAACCCACAGGACATAAATCACAATTTATGGCTAATAAACTTGAAATTTACAGGCTTTCAAGTGAATATTGAAGTTTGGTTTAAATGGAATTACTCTTATCTCAACTTGAAATCCAGTGATAGAATTACCATTTCTCTCTGTCACCCCTCCCCTACTTAATTATCCTTGAGTGTTTTCAGTTTACATTTTTAGAGTTTCCCCTAGAACTCTAAGTAATATATGGCTGTAAAAAAATATTTCACCTCAATCAGGACTGAAAAGGGCTAGAGAGAACATAGAGGAGAAAAGGAGGGAAGTTGCTAGGTCATAATTAGCAATCAGAGGAGAAACTCACATCTACGTATGTTTACCTCCTCTGTGCTGAGAGGAAAATTGCTTAAGAATCCAGATCATTGGGTAGAAATTCCAAGGGGTGGAACCATGACTTTCTCAACCATTACCCGCATAAAACATGCACCTGCTTCATAAGTCACTGAGGAAACTAACACCATGCTTAGAAGGAACTGGACAGGGGCATGAGTTAGGATATAGTTGCATGACTTCAAGAGGTCAGATCAGATGACTGTGAGGCCTCTTCCAGCTTAAAATAGTCAATGCTTCTAGTCTGTGGTCTACTCCGCCATAATCCTTGTGACTCCAATAAAGGTACCTTCTATGTGCGCCAAACTTGAAATCTTTCAAAGTCCTTTTACTCCTATTCTGCCCCAGACTACAGTGGATACCCATTCAAAACAGTGACAGAGATTTCTTAAAGTGGATCCAGTGGCTACGGGGAGAACTGACAGCTGACAGTGAGGGAGAAGAGAGCAGGAAACATAAGTAGAAAAGCATAACAGCCACATTCTATATAACATAATTGGTTCTGAAGCCATCCTGGCAGGATGCACAGTGTAGTGATTGATGTGGATAATCACTCTGAGTCATCAAGGGGGCTAAATCACAAATATGTCACTGGGAGCTGGTCACACAACTCATTTACAAAATATCTGTTGGACACCCAGTATGCACCAGACTGTGTCTGGATCCTGGGGATAGAAAGATGGATAAGGCATGGTCCCTGCCCTCAAAACGCTCTCTGAGCTTCAGTTTCTCCCATTATAAGAAGAGGAAGCCAAAGGACATGATTCCTAAGAGTCCTTGCTAGAAGTTCTGAATGCTTTATGCATTAGGGCTTGAACTGCAATGATCGTGGGTGATGATAATCCAGATAATAAAATCCTGTTTTGCAAATGAGCAAACTGAGGCACAGAGGGATTAGCATCTGGTTCAATGTCACACGGTCAATGAGGAGCAGAGACAGGACACTGAGCACATGGACAAATTACATAGGAATGGAAAGTTCATCTTACTCCCACCTGTGCTCTTTCCACACTATCTTCCTTCCCCAAGAAAGCACAATAAGAATAGATAGAGAACAGCTCATGCATTTGACAACTGCATGGATTTACAGGTCTGGAACACAAAATTCACCAGCTACAAAACCAAAATTATGTGAAATTGGACAGTAATAAACACCCATAAGATGAAGTGCAGCAAAATGGCACCAAAGGATCTGCCAAAATCCACAGTAAGGTAAGTCCAAAAAGTTAGTAATGATGAATTTTAGGGACACAGGCTGAAAAACTAAAATATCTTTGAGAGAAAATGTGATCGAAGGAAAAATGTAGCTTTGGAGCACAATGTCTCTCTCTCTGTCTCTCTCTCTCTCTCTCTCTCTCTTTCTCTACACACACACACACACACACATATCAATATCACTGCTGGGAGAGGCGGTCCAGGCACAGAGAAAAGGAGGATGTGTCAGTGCACCTTACTTTCTTCCCTCATGGCTAGTGCAAGGCACCTGTCAACCCTGCTGTTACTGATAACACAGAGATCTGTGGTGGGAAAAAGGTGCCACGTCTTCCTACAGAACAGTGTACAAATGGAGAAGGAAGGAGCAGAAGGGCCACTGGGTCAGGATAAATGGTTTATAATGCCTAGCAGAGATGATCACTGGCATGCTGTTCCACATCAAGATAGCAAAAGTCAAATTAGCCAGGTGTGGTGGCGTGTGCCTATGGTCCCAGCTGAAGTGGGAGGATCACTTGAGCCTGGGAGGCAGAGGTTGCAGTGACCTGAGATCTCACTTCAACCTGGGTGACAGAGTGAGAACCTGTCCTCCTGCCCCCAAAAAATAAAATAGCAAGAGTCATGGGCCTAGGAATGAATATTTATTGAACATCTATTCTTCTAGATGCTCTGCTAGATATTTTATAAACACTAGCTGATATGATTTGGCTCTGGTCCCTACCCAAATCTCATGTGAATTGTAATCCCCAGTGTTGGGGGAAGACCTGGTGGGAGGTGATTGGGTCATGGGGGCAGATTTCCTCCTTGCTATTCTCATGAGAGTGAGTGAGTTCTCATGAGATCTGGTTGTTTAAAAGTGTGTAGCACATCCCCCTTGGCTCTCTCTTCCTCTTGCTAGCCATGTGAGACTTGCCTGCTTCCCCTTCACCCTTCTGCCATGAGTGTAAGTTTCTGGAGGCCTCCTAGCCATGCTTCCTGTACAGCCTGGGAAACTGTGAGTCAATTAAACCTCTTTTCTTCCATTGCCCAGTCTCAGGCAGTTCTTTATAGCAGTGTAAGAATGGACTAATACACTAGCTCACCCATTCCTCACAAGTCTCTGAGATAGGGCATGGTTGCACAGGATTACATTGCTAGCAAGTGGCAGAGCAAGGATTTGAAGGCAACTTGAGTTCAGAGCTCCAGCTCTTCACTCTCCTCCACACAGCCTCCGTAGCATAGGTTCCAGCTCCAACACTTATCAGTTATGTGGCCTTAGAGGAATCATTTCATCTCTATAATCCTCAGGTTTCTGACACCTGCTTATCTCATGGGATTATTGTGCAGATCAAAGGAGAGAAAATATATGAGAGCACTTTGCTAACTGAAAAGACTTATGCAATGATGATGACATTAGTAACAATAATAATAATAATATAGGCTGGGCATGGTGGCTCACGCCTGTAATCCCAGCACCTTGGGAGGCAAAGGTGAGTGGATCATGAGGTCAGGAGATCAAGACCATCCTGGCTAACATGGTGAAACCCTGTCTCTACTAAAAAAAAACAACAACAAAAATTAGCTGGGCGTGGTGGTGTGCACCTGTAGTCCCAGCTACTCGGGAGGCTGAAGCAGGAGAATGGTGTGAACCCGGGAGGCGGAGCTTGTAGTGAGCCGAGATCACACCACTGCACTCCAGCCTGGGTGACAGAGCGAGACTCCATCTCAAAATAATAATAACAATAATATATATTGAGCACCTACTGTGTGCCAGATACTGGGCTCACTGCTTTATAGAGATTATTTCATTTAATGCTCACAGCAATCCCTGAAGTGAGTACTATTAAATCCATTTCACAGATGAAGAAACCAGGCTCGAAGAGGTGGAGTAACTTGCACCACATCACACTCTGGCAAGTGACCAGGCTGGGGTGCGAACACAGGTTCAACTACTCCAGGACCCTTGCTATGAACCGGTGCTGAACACCTAGGTCTTCCGCTACCTCCTGCAGCTTTATTACCCTCCTCCCCTGTGGCCTCAGGGCATAAAGGTGCTGGCCTAGCTTGAGTTTCTCCTTAGATGTTTGAACTGGAATCATGTGGGAAGGCCAATGCCTTCTGCAATTGAAAGACGACTGTTTTCAGTTTTTATCTGTAGCTTGTCTTTGTCCAACTGATATGGTTTGGCTGTGTCCCCACCCAAATCTCACCTTGAATTGTAATAATCCCCATGTGTCAAGGGTGGGGCCAGGTGGAGATAATTGAATCATGGGCATGATTTCCCGCATACTGTTCTTGTGGGAATGAGTAAGTCTCATGAGATATGATGGTTTTATAAATGTGAGTTCCCCTGCACAAATTTCTTGCCTGCCTCCATGTAAGACGTCCCTTACTCTTCTGCCATGATTGTGAGGCCTCCTCAGCCATGTGGAACTGCGAGTCAATTAAACCCCCTTCCTTTATAAATTACCCTGTCTCAGGTATGTCTTTATTAGCAGCGTGAGAACAGACTAATACACCAACTGACTTGAAAAATGCCACCAAGAACATGTACTGCTTGCTAGCAATGTGCCACTCCCGAGCTAGGTCCTGAGTTAGGAGACAAACATGCTCAGGGTTCCCAGGGTTCACAGCCTGATGGAGAAGCATGGATATATATAGCGTTTATACATTCAACAAGTAGTTATGAGTCAGGCTCTGTGTTAAACCCTGGGGACACAAACATGAGCAAACAGCGCAGCACATTACAGGCTCCAAGTGGGCTATGCCCAGGGGTGAACAGGGGCCCATAGCAAAGGGTCCTGACATGTGTGGTTGGCAGTAGAAAGGGCCAGAAAATCCTCTCAAAGGAAGTGGGGTTTCAGAGCTACCACACACTGATTGCATGCACTACTAAAGAATCTGCGTATTTCATCCTTAATCCTCACAGCAACAATCCTATTGGGTAGATATTATTTTATAGATGAGGCCTTAAGTAACTTTGGTAAGTGGCAGAGCCAGACTCTGATCCCAGGGGCTCTGACCCCAAAGTTGATGCTCTTTCTAATACATAAGTTTGCCTCTGAGAACACTGTGCTACAGGCTCTGATGGGGTGAGACGGCAGACCATGAATGAACAGAACAGGAATGTGGAACTGACCAGGTCGTCTGGAAGGTGTCGTGGAGGAGGTGTGACTTGAGTGAGCCTCGGTAGAATGATGTGGGCCAGGCTTTGGGGAGATTCTTTCATTATTCTAGTGAGTCTTCTGGGTCATGTGCAGGGAAGAGCACTCTACGGCAAGCTTGTCCAACCCCTGGCCTGTGGGCCACATGTGGCCCAGGATGGCTTTGAATGCAGCCCAACACAAATTGGTAAACTTTCTTAAAACATCATGAGGTTTTTTTTTGCGATTTTTTTTTTTTTTAGGTCATCAGCTATCCTTAGTGTACTTTATGTGTGGTCCAAGACAATTTTTCTTCCAATGTGACCCAGGGAAGCCAAAAGATTGAACACCCCTGACTATGGGGCCAAGGCCATTTGCCTAGCAGTCCAGCAGACAGGGGATTTTTTTGGTGGGAAGGTAAAGATGAGGAGCCGCCTTTGGGTTTTGGGAAACAGAAATCCACTCATATTAACTTATAGGCACCTTGCAGAACCCAAGAGCCAGAAGTGTGCCGTGACCTCAGGATTGATGGCTGGGGACTGGGCAGGAACACAGGCCCAGGTCAGCTGCTTCCTCCCTTCTGCCCTGGCTTCTCCCTGGGGTCCACCTCGTCCTTTCCCCTCCAGTGGGCTTTCATTGCCTCTGGGTAGCAGGGCAAAGATGCCTCCAAACACTTCCTAAGATCTAATATCTCTGACCTGCAATTCTAACTCCCCAGGAGGGAGTCTGATGTGTTCCCTTCTGGGCATACTGCTATGGCCAGGGAGTAAAGTTGTCTCATCTCAGAGAAGGGGGAATGTAAGCTGGATAGACCCCCAGAGGTCATGCAGGACTGTCCTGTGTTGGGAACAGGCCCCCAAAATCTGGCCATAAACTGGCCCCAAAACTGGCCATAAACAAAATCTCTGCAGCACTGTGACATGTTCGTGATGGCCATGACGCCCATGCTGGAAGGTTGTGGGTTTACCAAAATGAGGGCAAGGAACACCTGGCCCACCCAGGGCGGAAAACCGCTTAAAGTCCTTCTTAAACCGCAAACAATAGCATGAGTGATCTGTGCATTAAGGACATGCTCCTGCTGCAGATAACTAGCCCAACCCATCCTTTTATTTCTGCCTATCCTTTTGTTGCCCATAAGGAATACTTTTAGTTAATCTATAATCTATAGAAGCAATGCTAATCACTGGCTTGCTGTTAATAAATATGTGGGTAAATCTCTGTTTGAGGCTCTCAGCTCTGAAGGCTGTGAGACCCCTGGTTTCCCACTCCACACCTCTATATTTCTGTGTGTGTGTCTTTAATTCCTCTAGCGCTGCTGGGTTAGGGTCTCTCCAACCGAGTTGGTCTTGGCAGTCCTGGAGAGGTATGGTCAGAACCCAAGTTCTGGGGAGATGGTGCTGAGAGTTTTGCATTTTCACTTCTCACTCTGCCCTTTAAAGTAATACATAGGCTTCCACATTTATAATTCTGTGGAGTTATTAAATCCAGAAATAAAGCTTTACTCTTTTAAGCTCTGCATTGTAAAAGCAGAAGTTAAAGACCAGGCAAAGGAAAGCTCACCAGCCAGGCTGAGGGGTCCACAGGGCCTGCAGAGGCCACAGCTGCTAACAGGAGCTAAGGCCACAGGACAGACCCTACTTTCCAGCCGGAGAAATAGAAAAGTTCTCCTGGACCACAGACCACACTAAACTGCAAAGGCAGACACAGAGAGGCTGGGTGGCAGGCCCTGAAGAGACCTATCCTGAAGGCCCTGAGAAATACCAGGACAGTCTCAGCAGCTCTCAAAATGGGCATGCTTTCCTCTAAACCAGGTAGAGGAGTGGGGAGCAGTGGAAGGGGATGCCCCCAGGAGCCTTGGGGAAGGGGTGCCTGTTCAAGGAGAGATGAGAAGAGGCCCAGAAAATCTGAGACTGGAGGAGGAGGAAAAGGAGGGCTTGGTTTCTGTTTAGCTCAGAGCCCATCCCAGAGGAAACATTGACAGCTGAATCAACAACTTCTTCCTGTCCATCTCTGCCCTGTCCCTCTCCACCATCCAGGGCGCTCACAACACCGGCTCAGCTTCCTTGATTAAAATGAACAAGACAAACACTTTGGATTCGCTGGCAGGCAGATACTAAGACCAGCATTGGAGAAGAGAGGATATTGAGAACAAGGAGGGGAGCTTAGGAAGTAAAGCAGGAAACCCTGAGGCCCAGTGTGGCGGAGAGGGGAGCCCTCTCAATACTGCCTTGGGGGAGCCCTCTCAATACTGCCTTGTGATGGAGAAGCAACATCTGGACCTAAGACCTAGCAGACAGCTGCCTCCACCACAGCAGCCCCTCCTGGTTCTTGGTGCCCTTCCCACATCCCCATCCTTGGGTGTTTACTGTACCACCCAATGGCTAGGCACTGGGGCATATGTGGGACTTCTCTTTGGGCTTTTAACCCCTCTCTCCTCTACTAGGCCCTTTGCCTTCCACTGTCTTTTGTTCAACAAAATCAGAGGTCATAACCTATTTCTGCCAAGTGATGGGTTGTGGAGGGTCTGATGGGGGTCTGAGGCTACTTGTGGATGATAGGATTTAGCTACCGGTGCTGTCTCCTGGAGCAGCAGATAATTTAGTTTAATGAATTTGGACAGTTCACTGGATCTGCCCACACAGTTCTACTCACCTTCCATAATGCTTCCAAAATAGCACTAGCTGTTGCACAGGAGCCAAAAAGAAGGAAGAGAAAAGTAATAAACGACAAGGCCCCAGAGATTTCTGCCCTTTCAGAAAAGCCTGAATGAACTTTTCCACAGAAATTGTAAGCCAAAAAAAGATATGCTTTTTTTCTTTCTCATGGAGGAGGAATCAGGCAAAGATAGATGCCACAAAGACAAGCACACACATGCAACGCGGAAGAACCTGGTTACCTGATTTTCATGGAAGTAATAAGGCGTTAAGAATGTACTTCAAATACATATTCCTTGACGTCACTTATACACACGGAGTCTCAGGTTATGCTCTCATCAAGGGCATCAGAGCCGCTCCTGGTGTTTGGTGCTCTAACAAGGTAACTCCAGAGACACGGCCTGACCCTACAGCCTCCTATCACACACTCATACAGCCACACAAGCTAGCAGACAAGCTCCCCTGCCACATGCAGGCACATATACACATACACGTACACATACGCAGTCACACTAGGGAGCAGACAAGCACCTCTGCCACACACAGGCACCTCCCACCCCCAACACACACACACACACACACACACACAGTCACGCTAGGGAGCAGACAAGCTCCCCTTCCACATGGGGCACCCACAGTCCCCACACTGCTCTGCCAGCCGTGTGGCCCAGACCCCATTCTCCAGGCCTGTGCTCAGAATGCCCTTCCCCCTCAACCCCTCCCTGTGCACCACGTGTGCCGCAGCCAGCTGTTCTGTGGGCAGACCCTTCCGTGGGCTGACAGGTGGTGATTACTGTTGCCAGCCCCACATTAGGAGAGAATTCAATGGGAGAGAGCCCCTGCCCGCCCCGGTCTCCCTATAATAGCGCCTTTCTGAGGTGCTTCACTGTCTTTCTTTCCCCATCCTCATCAACCTACGTCTGGAGCAGCTCTGCCTGAGGAGAAAAGAAAAGAAGATAAAGGGAGGCTCACAGGGCCCTGACTGAGCCACCCCACCTGGGGCGGGAAGGAGGGCTGTGCTTTGGGGAGAAGGCTGTGCCCCCTTCCCGCACTTGGCTAGAGCAAATAACCAAGAGGACCCCCAGGCATGCCTGAGGTGGACTCCTCATGAAAGCAGTGGATCCTGCCCATCAGCCAGCCTTGCCCCTGCGAGCTGAGCATGCAGCAGTGAGGGTGAGGCTGGGGTGGGGGCCTGGTGCAGAAATCAGCAGATTCCTGGAGACTGGAGTCCAAAGCCTGGAGCCTTCCTCCTCCTCTCCCTTCTCCCTTCCCTCTTCCCCACATTACGCTCTGCAATCCAACGCCAGAGGCCAGGGTATGGGCCAGAGAGGGTTAAGTTTCCAGAAGTCCTGACGGGCTTCAGCCAGGTTCAGGGCTGGAGTGGGTAGGTGAGGGTGATGAGAGTGGAGAAAAGGAAAGCAAGAATAGGCTGCAGACCGTGTAAGGCCAACATCTGGGACACGGTCACTGCCCCTCCTCCCTGCACAAACCGCAGACGCCGTGGCAGCAGGAAAATCAGAGCGGTCCAGACCAAGAATGATTGTGCAACCTGGCCCTGCAGGAGCACAACGCTGGAGGTGGGAGTGGAGGTCTGGGGTGCGGGGCAGAGTCCACTTTAGAGGGGAGACTTCAGTTCTTACTAAAAACACAGGCATTCAGGGCTCTGGTTTCCACACTAGAATGCAATGCAACTAACATGCATTTTGTAGTTCAAAATCCTCTGAGAATCGGAACTGGAATCTCTGCCCTGGGCCCCAGTGTCTCACAGCCAGAGGCACGGTGCCACTGAGGTTCTAGGATGGCTGCTGTGGATTGGCTGCTGTGGATGGCGGTGGGTGTGGAAGGAGGCCTTTCGTCCAGCCTCCTAAAGTGGCGGGATTCTGCCACCTCCCCCAGGCGCCTCACAGTAAACTCTTCCTCAGCAAAGGGAGCCCCGCCCAAGTCTTTAATATGGCTCAAGGAGTGGGGATGGGTTGGGAGGGAGAAACTGGATGGTCAGGGGGAAGTTTGATCTGAGGGCTACCCCAAACAAACACAGGAGAGGAGCAGTGGATTTTCCTTTTAATGCAAAATGTTGCAATACAAAACAATGTGGAGAAAGTCCTGTTCCTCAGGACACTGAAGGGAGGAGTGAGGAAGAGAGGACAGAGCTGGACGTCTCCTCCTATTTCTCCCTCCCCAAGTCACTCTGAGGGGAAGAACACTGCTGCCTGCTCCCTGGGCCTGCCCGCATACAAGGTTAGAGCCCTGGGTCTGGGGCATCCTTAGCCTGAAATTTGTTGACATGGGGCAGGAGAGCAGGAGGGAACATTGAGGGTTTTGACTCTTCGGGCTCTAAAAGGATTACTCAGGATCTGGAGTTCCGTATGAAACAAAGGAGCTGAAAGAATTTGATTGCCATTGGCTAAAAATATAGAGGATTTGAGCCACAACTGGCCCACATTTGAAGAATGAGGAACAAGAAATTTAGTGGGGATATAATATAAATGTATGGGAGTGAGAAAGATGCAAAAAACAAGGCTAGCTCCTCAAACCTCCTCCTCTTTCTTCCTCATCTCCAGCTTATAGACAATCTGGTAGCCATCATCCCAGGCATAGAGCTGGCGTTCTCGGGGGTTATAGCGGAGGCTGGCATGGGCACCATATCTGCGGGGAAAATAAGGGAGTGCTGCCCGTTCAGGGGTCAGGGTGCCGCTGGCATCAAAGGAGCACTGGATGCGGGCCCGACTGGCAGGACGGGTGTTATAGACGACATAGAGGGTCCCACAGATGACAAAGGCAGCCTCAGCATTCTCTCTGGGACATGGTGTGTCCCACTGCTGCTCTGTGTCCAGTGTCTGTGGATCTAACTTGGCCAGACACAAGTGCCTGTCATCCTCCCGGGTGGCATAGACAGCCCAAAGACCTTCCTCATCAGCTGCCAGGTCGATGTAGGTGTCTGCTGTCAAGCCGTAGGGGGGGATCAGCCCCTCTGCTGGGAATACTGAGCTGTCCACCACTGTTCGGTTTGCCAGGTGGAATTTGATTAGCTGCAAAGTGTTCTCCATCTCACCACCTCCACCAGGTCTTCCAGGAGGCCTCCGAGCAAAATAAAGAAAGCCACCATATACCAGCTGCCCTGTGCCTACCCAGGGGAAGGGCACCCGGACTCGGGAAGCTTTCCGGGCAGCCATGGCAAGGGTGAAGTCACGCAGCCTTGGGAAGACAAAGGCTGTGTCATTCTGTGTCCCATCTAACACGTAGATCTTCTCTGTTTGCCCCAGTGGATCCTTGGTCCATAGACCAGCTGGGCCACCAAATCGCTTCAGAATCTTCATTGATCTCACTTGAGAGATTGTGTAGCCACAGTCTGATGAGAAAAGCACAGGAAAAGGAAATAGAGGCAAGAATTAGATGCCTCCAGCAGGAACTCCCCCAGGGTGGGTGATCTGGAGAATAGTGAGCATTTGCCCAGTGGTTGCCTCCAATCTTAGGGAGAATTGAGAAAGAGCGGGTACCACAGCGGCCTGGATCCCCAGAACCTCTCCTTAATAGACCTGGCATTACAGAGGTTTCCCTAAAACAGATTCCAGAAGACAGAGCCACAATGGACTGGGACAAAGCGAAAAAAAGAGTAAGAAGCAAGGAAGGAAGAATATCGGTTCTGAGAAGAGTTAGGGGCCTGCTTTCAGATTATTTACCTGTCACCATATCGTACTTCTCATTCCTTCTTCCCTTGCCTTTGGTCCCAGGGCCTCCAGTCACCTTCTCATCAAACTCTACACAGGGCAGAGCTGGGTTCTGGGTCTCCAGATAGTCTACCTCCCGCTCCAGACGATCCACTCTCCCGGAGATGGTGTCGGCCTCAGTTCTGAGTGCCTCCCGCTCCTTCTCTGCCACCTCCAGCAGTGGCAGCATCTTGTTCTTGAAGTCCCGCAGCTCAGCAGCATGCCGACTACTCTGGTCCTGGCACTGGGCCAGCCGTTCCTGAAGGGATGGGGGATCAGGAGGGAGGCTGCAGGGTTACAACTCCCAGGCAGGGAGAGGCCCAACTCGGGAGTCAGGAATGGGAAAAAAAGAGCAAACTCAGCCAGGCTTCAATATCCCCTTCCACTCCTGCAGAAAAGGAAACCAGATGTGCAGAGGTGCTAAATGTGCAAAGAGCCTAGCTGAGATTCACCTAGGCCCCTACCCCGACTCCATGTCCTCCAGCCTGTGTTCTCTGTGAGCAGTGCCACTGAGCCATCTGAGCCTCTAGGCAGGTCTAAGCGCATGAAGGTGTGAAGAGGTCTCTGCTCCCTTAGCAATTATCCTCTCGGACACTAAAATGCTACGGATCTCAACCTGTTAAAAAGACAGGAAGTTATAGATTCCCCGGGAACCTCCAACTTCAACAGAATCATCACCTTCTCTGGAGATGCAGCCCCACAATTTTGGCTCTCGTTTCCACTCTGCCCCCTTATTCTATCTAATCCCAGAGGTAAAACGCAAAAGTCGATTTGCTTTGGAATTGTTCTATGTGGGGTAAGAGGAGGGCTTGTCATTCCGAAGGTCCTCTTATTAAGAGAGAATTTTCTGTAGACTCTAACAGAGCCCTTTCTTGTTATCCCCAGATCCCTAACAAACTGGTTGAACCAATAGCCCTGGAATCCTTCTAGGCGGGGCTAGAAGAGAAAGGGGTCCCTCACCTCTAAAGCAGCTAGTCGGCGTTCCATGTACTCCACAAGGTGGTGCTGCTGTCCTTGGAGGGGTCCCGACCATGACAAAAGGAACAAGATGAGGAGAGGGGTGCTGGGCCCCATGGCAGCCTGGAGAGTGGTGCCAGAGTAGAAGGAACGTACAGTCAGCCTCTTCCCCTCAAGCCCGAGGGTTAGCTTTGGAGGCGGGGTGGGGGCGGTGCCTTCTCTCCTGATCTCTGGGTCTCTCTCACTACTCTGGAATGCTTTCAGTTCTCTTTACAACCCCCACCCCCTCCTTTCCGCCAGGATTGATCAAACACAGATGGCCCCATTGCACAGCAGCCAGAAGCCTTAACCACCTCCCGCCTAGGCTGTAGGGTCCTCTGGAGGGGAAAGAGATGGAAACCCGAAAGCAGAGGCCTTCTAGGCAGTCAAGCAGGGAAGCTAGCTGCAGAAAGCAGAGACCCCAGAGAAAACTCAGCAAACGCCATTCCTGTTTTAGGAAAGTTTCACCAGTGCTGACTTAAGAAACTGACATTTTTCATTAATCTTTCCCTTTCCCTGCAATAGAGTGGGTTTTCAGCCTTGTTCAGTAGAAGCTGGGAGCTGGGGAGGTGAGGCTTGAAGGGAGGAAGCAGGAAAACAATGGCCCAAGTGGTCAAGCCCAACTTATTCTAAAGCTCATTGGCGCCACCTTGTGCTAAGCAGCTGGTGTCATCTCTCATGATAATACAGAAACTAAGGCTTAGACTTCACCCCATGAGGAAAATTTTCCACAAAAGCCAAATATATTGAATTTACAGGGGTTTTCACCACTGAAATGCATATTTCCCCCAAGACTATCCAATTACTACTTTGGGGGCTATGCAAATATCTGATTTAGCCCAAGGAAGAAAATATAACTGAGATTAAAAAAAAAAAAAAAACAGGTCACTGAGAAGTTAGTAAATTAACTCGATCGTCTGGAAGTTAAGGCTGACAGCAGCGCTGTTTTACATGGCTTTCCTTTGCTTGAAAGAGGCCAGATATAGTCTCTCACCAAAACTGAGGAGTGTTCAGTGAGTTCACACTAATTTACTATACATTCATGTATTGCGGGGGGGCGGAATCTGATATATATATATATGTTGTTGCAGTCTAGATCAATGTATTCTGACTTCCTTACCACTGGGAGAAAAGACTATTGGTTATTTCTCTTGGTTGTGGTCCAAAAGGGTATTTCTGAGTGTTTCTCATTTCTATATCCCAACTAAGGCTGCAGGAGCCCAAAATGAATTAATGGCCACCATAAGGTAGACTTGGGCCATAAGGTAGACACACGGGCCGAAAAAAAAAATCAAATAGAGCATTTACTCAGAGACCTGCAGTCATTAATCGAAACAAACCCCTATTTCTTTATCGGGAGAAATTCTATTCACTTTAGAATCAACAGAATCTGATGAGAGGTTCCTTCTGTAAAAAGGACCATGACTCTAACAGTACAGTTTGAAAGGAGGGGAAAAATAGCAGCTTCCTGTGGTTACTCATCTTTTCATTCTGCTACTGCTATCTGGCAAAACATATGAGGAAACAAAGCTTAATTAGCCGGTCTCAGAAGTCTTCTACCTCTTTCAAAGGGTCAGATCCAGATGATGTGAAGTAAGGACCCTGGACACTGCATTCTTGGGAAGTATTCCCTGCCAAACCCTATTCATTTCCAGTATGGAGATTTGTGTGAAGAATGAAATTGTCTCTAGTACTCTACTGATGTTCAAATACAATATGCTTAGCCACTTTCAAAGATGTCATTTATTGATCCCCTTTATATCCTATAACAGAAGTCAAAAACAGCCACATAAGTCAGAAAATTTACCCATTTTATTGATGCATTGCAATTGCTCTACATTTTACCATATTATGTAGAAAATACTGAAAATACAAGCTACTTTGTAAAACCAAAGACAAACATTGAATCCAAAGATAAACTATGTTTTACACAATGGACCCTTTTCCCATAGTTAGTATTAAATTTTAAATATCTATTTCTTTTGTTAAAATGATTATTTTACATACTCCCTAAGTACATCTGCATTACAAACATAGCTCAGTAATTCTCAGAAACTATCTGTTTCTAGAGGCTTGTTGTAAAAGAAAGCGCACAACCAAAAAAAGGGAGAAAGCAAAAAAAGTTTAAATCGCACACAATAACTAGCATATCAAATACATTTAATAAAGTAGGAATTCCATTGCAATATCAAGGATTCAAAGCAGAAATACTAACATTACATATAATGTACATATAATGTACTGCTACATGTAGTGAGATTATTTTTCAAGCTGAATTGAAACCACACATTATATAAAGTTTAGCAACAAACAACCATGTAGACATGCTGCACCATCTATCAGTTAAAAAAAAAAAAAATCAAAATAGGAAGCAGGCTCGGGCCACTCCTGTCACTGAGAGGCAATTTCATTTCCTATCCTAAAACAAACCATCTCAACTAGTGAATTTTTGCATAATAATGCTGAACAAAACACACATTACTGTGCTTGCCTGGCTAAGGGCAGTCAAGCTTAGCCCCTCTAGTGGAGGACAATGGATGAGCAATCACAAAAGCAGGCTCAGAATGGCCAGAACTGTTTGAAATGGAGTTCTTATTCCTGGGGTTGGTATTTCAGCTGAGCACTGAAAATAATATCACCTCCTGGGAGCTATTAAAAACTCTGGAGTGACCAAGTGTCCCTATGAGCCCAGAGTGGCTACACTGAACCCTTCTCCGCTTCTTCTCTCACCCGGAAAGGAAGAAGTTGGAAATGCCAAGTTCTGAGAGAGGACTTAAAGCCTTAAGCTGGTTTGAGGTCAGGTCACTGTGACCCAGGCCAGCTGCTCACTAAATTCACCAGGCTTCCTCCCTTCCTGTCAGGGCCAACAGGGCTAACCCCAGGGACAGAATCTAAAGCCACAGTGAGCACATACATACACATTCAGCAGACACAGGTGGATTTTTATGCTGGAAAATCGGAAATGCCAGTTTGCAGACTAAGACTGAAAAATCTCTAGTTTTTAAAGCCACACACTGCTAGGCAAGTGACTAAGGTAACAATACAAGCTCTTGGTATTATCCTTTTCTGTGGAGTTTAGACTCCTATCTTAAGTGGTATCTGCTTATTGGACTGGGGTGCAGGAATGGGATTTGGTTTTCTTTCCTGCATCTCATTTCTTACAAAAACAACAAATCTTGTCCCTTACAGAAAAAAGACAAGGAACAAAAAATTTGTCCTTTAGAAACTAGACCTGTGTTCCAACAAGAAAATCAGAATGTGCTTGGCAAAAAGGAGACACAAAGATCACACATGTTGACCAGAAAACTGTATGACACTAGTGACAGAAATTATACAAACTGCTTGGCTATCTTGACCAATATAGTGCTGAAAACACAACTCAATATAATGATTTTAAAAAATAAAGAAAACACAACATGTTCCTGGTAGGCTGTACGGACTACCTGCCCCATCTTGGAAGCCCTTACTCCTTACAATGAAGAAACTCCAAATACTTTGACAGCTCCTCGGTGTTCAACCTGGTACAGAGCTGGCTGACCAGGCTCCATGAAATCTCCCATCTCCATCCTGCACCTCCTTGACACCATCTCTATCTACACAGAACCAGTCCTAAAATTATATCTCAAATATATCATTTTCAATTCAGATGGAACACACCTGTATTTTAGGATTAATCTTCTTTCCCCAAATCCTTTATGGGCAGGAATGTCCCCATCCCCAGTACCTTCTACTTGACCCAGATCCATGCAGGAGCTGAGAGTACAAGGACAATTTCACAGCTTGAAGGGCCCCAAGACTATACAAGCTGTTAAAAAAGAAACCTCAAAAGCCTCAATGACTCAACAGGCTTTGGTTCCTTCTCTATATTCTTCACCAGCTAAGAAACCTTTCTGTGAGTTCCTTGTCACCAGCGGCACCACAAAACTTCTCCTCATAGTATGGGGACATGGTAAGCAATACAACAGGCTCTTTGGTATAAACACATCTGTTAACATGTTTTTTTCAACAAGCAAATATTTTACTAGGAATGTCAACTATGTGCAGGAAGGACTGCCACATGGGAAAAGGAAAAAAAAATTCATTCTAAAAGTGATTGCACATACTTTAAAAGAATGCATATTTAATATTGGCTTGACTCCTCTCACCTGCTTCCTGAATTCTCACAGAAGCAAGGTAGCAACGCACAGTGAGAGAGCCACATGGGGAAAATGCTTCTGTGAGAACTCAGCCGAGAATCCAAAATGGAAAGGGGTAGAGGTGGTGGTAAAGGAGAAAAGCTGCTGTTTTTATTTTTCAATGTTGGCAGGGAAACTGAGAACAATGCATTACACAATACAGCTACTAATCCTGTTCTGATAAATCCCGGTGAACAACTTAGGGTCCACGGGGGCTTGCTGGTCCATCCTAAGGCAAGCTCACTGTAAACTCTATTAACCACTACATTATCATATAAGGCACTACAATAAGGGAAGGAGGAAGAAAGGGAAGGAAGAGACACACACTGAAAAACTCCTCACCAGACACACCTGTGCAAAACAATTCCAAGGGTCTCCTCTCCTTGCAGGCAATGCCCCTGCTCATTCAGCACTACAGTAATATGCTCTAATATAATTGCAATTAGTTCACATACATTCCAACAAGTATCAGTTCATTTTGGTTTAAATACAATGGAGACATCAATCCATCTCCGGGATAACACTGGAGGATCACATACACACTAAGTACACAATTCAAGTGTAATCACTACACATTTGATTACAAATAACATTTTGGGTTAGCAGGAAAAATTGCT
The DNA here is from genome assembly GCF_000001405.40 of Homo sapiens. Taxonomy (NCBI): domain Eukaryota; kingdom Metazoa; phylum Chordata; class Mammalia; order Primates; family Hominidae; genus Homo; species Homo sapiens. The sequence continues at coordinate 113,974,802 of NC_000001.11, read as the reverse complement.
TGTTATATTTTTCTAATCAATATGTACATATTTAATTATGTAAAATATTAAAACACCACCATTACAAAACTTCTAAAATATTTTTAAATTCAGTAATAAATTTTTAAAATATTTTTTGCAATTCCTACATGCACTTATTATATAAGTCTTAATAAGAGAGCATTCAATTTGCTGCTGGCATACAAAGGAAGCTACTTTGAAGTATAAAAGCTATACACAAGAAATGTTCTTATCTGGTTTCAGGTTTTTTTAGCTTTCTCCCCAAACAAATCACATAAAACAGAAGGGAGAGATGAGCAAAACAGAGGTGTATTACTGAAAATTCATACTAATCTTTAGGCAAAGCTCATCAATGCCAGTATCTCATAATAGACAGAGATTTTGCATATAATAAAACCACCACCACCATGTAATAATAACCACCTTAATGGCTTTTTCGATAAAAAAATTTAAGCTGAATCAGAGAGAGAAAGACTTTTAAAAAATAATTTAAAAAAGAATTCATGGTGCTTCATTTAAAAAGAATACTTGGTGTTTTCACGCAGATATGGATTCTCTCACATTAAGTTACCAGCAAATGGTGAGCTGCCTTTTAAACACTACTTTATAACAAACACAGGAGCAATTGAGAGAATCTCAATAGTAACACAGAGTAATACGTAACCAGTTTTGCAAAAATAACAATTGCCCATTAAGTATAATATGACATTAAAACAAAACTGAAACTCTGTAAGTTTAAATGTCCAATAAACAAAAGGGAGATTGTGTAAGCCGCTTTTAAAATAAAATAGGCAAGTCTGAGTTTATAAACAAACAAAAAGTAATTTTTCTTTTTTTGTCATCAGATTTCAACTCCTTCTATCAGCATTTTTCCTGACCAGCAATCACAATAACACAAAATGAAATAAAGAGGGGCTTCACTTGTTTTTAAAAGCATTTATAGAAATCAAGTCAGAGAGACAAAATATTTTTCAGAGGGTAACTTCAGAACAATCTCTCTTCCTTGGTAACTGCAGAAGATGGGCATCTGAACTCTTCCAAGTACCAAAATTACTGTCACAAAAATAATGAATTTAAAAATAGGGCAAACTTTGGGAAGACTACAACAATGCAGTCAACACTGAGACAGGTTCCCCCAGAGAAAAACCTTCTGCTTCAGTGGGCCCCTGCAGAACAAGTTGCTGGCTAAGAAATTTCAAGAGGGTAAAGGAGGATCTCTCCATAGCCCAATATTAAGAACGCAGGGCCAGGAGAAGGTAGCCATGATTCCTCCTCCCTCATGCTCACCAACTATAAGTAGGAATACTGGCTGATCTTGGTAGGACTCAGCGGGTATCCAGTGTAAATTGTTGAGCCTCGGGAAGACCCAATGTAGGATTGGGTGGCAAACTGGTGTTGGTACTGAGCAGGGGCCACGCTGGCAGAAGTGAGGAGGCTGGGCCCAACACTGACAGGGACCTGGTGCACCAAAGTGCTAGGGTGAGTGGTATAGGCTGCAGCATGCCTTGAGGAACCCTGTGGGGAGAAAAGATGAGCAATGGAGCTGGTTGAGCCCAGTGCAGCAGCAGAAGTCGGGGCAGCATACGTATACAGATGAGCCTGGCTTGGCAGGTGAGCAGGGGCCGGGGCAAGGTGTGGGTGCCCTGTCGAGTGTAGCGGGCTGCCATGCTGGAAGGTGTAGGGGGCTTGGGAGAGAGGGGCCACAAACGCCTGCTGCCTGCGGGGGGCTGGGTTGCTGCTTCTCTCCTGTGAGGTTGGAGCCGCCGATGACTGCTGGTTCTGGAAGAAAGAAGGAAGAAGTGAGGAATCCTGAGGTCACTCCAGCTCAGGGCACCAAAGGCCAAGTTAAGAGCTCAGGTTCTGACTTGTACTGTTTTCGAATGGGTATAGCACATAATCTCCCACACTGGCATTGAATGCTGTCAGAAATCAGCCACCCCTCCTTCTGCCTCTTAGCAAGATAGATCCTAATCTGGCTCAGGTAACAGCATTTTGCTTGTAAGTATGACAGGAAGAGGGAGAATCAAGAGATCATAGGGTTCCCCACTCCTGCAAGTTAATAACTGGTGACTCAACTCACCCTATTCTGGCGTCAGTAAATTTGAATTTTTCCTAGCCTTTATTTCTTACCATTGCTTTCTTTTGTTTTCGTCCTCTAAGTTCTTCATACCCCTCTTGAAATGTGGAAACTAAAATACATGCACTAACTCAAACTTACATTTTCACTTGCATGTGCTCTCTCTCACATACCCTCATACTGACACTTTCTCACTACTGGTGGACATCATACAAGCACTCGAATTTTAGCTTCTAAGAGTGAACACAAATAGAATAAAGTAATGAGAGAAGCAGAAGGGTAGGTTGGGGCTGGGGGTGTTCGGAGAGTGGGGAAGTCCCAAATCGCAGACTCCAGCAACAAGTAGGACCTAGAACCAGTTGAATTTGGTGGCCAATGAGCTTTTCACAATCTCTTGACTCAAGTAAACAATGTAAGGATCAGCTTACTTATGGCCTGGGGGATAAAGAGAATCTGGTCTCAAAGCATATGCCTATCACAGACATGGTTAAAGCACCCCAGGCTCTTTCTAAATCCCAGACGTTTCTCTAACCTTCCAGGGTAGACTTAGGGAGGTCTGATGGAAAACCTAGAATGTACATCCTGAACACACTTACAGAGTGAATGAAGAGACACAGCATATGCGGTACGACGTAAGCCATAGAACACAAAATTGTTTGACACAAAAGGGGCTTCATTTGGCTTTATTCAGCATCCAGCCAGAAGCAGGGTTCTCCAGAAAGTAACAACAGTGCAGGGCCCAAACAGAAGGCAGTAGCCCATAGCACTTACCTGGCTAAGATTGAGTGGTTGTGCTGCACTGGTCCCCCCGCGTTGAGCTCGATACCCTGTGGGGGTGATACAGCATCCAGATGACTGCCCACTCACTGAAGCGACTGGCTTAGTCTTATTGCTCAGGAGACCTAAAAAAGCACCAGGCTTAATAGTTATGAGTAGACATCACTGAGCTAACCTCAGATGGCATCATATTAATTAGTCCACATCTGTATGTAGTTTGCAAGCATTAAGGTCTCAATTCTATTTACATCAGAAGAAAATAACCTGTTATCACCCATTTCTTTTCTGTCTTGGCACAAATCTCCACATAGGATCCTCAAAATGTTCACTTAAATAAATATTATAAATATTTTAACTATAATCTCTTGTTATATACAAGGAACGACTGGAAATACAAATATGCTAAGACACCATCCCTCTCTCCAAGAGTTTATAGTTTTATGTAGGAAGGGATTAAACAAGCACAGAAATGATAATGTGAAGCTGAGAAAGCTATTGGTAATTCTTAGGATATTAAAGTGGCAAGAGGGTTTAAAAGAAGGCAAAATTCTATCTTGTTGGACACTTACTGTCTTCAAATTCTTAGAAATTACAGGACAGCTGAATGTGAAATTTTGCTTGCTTCTGTGTTCCCATTAGGAAAACCAGAGCATTTATTCAGTGTCTCATGTGATAGCCTATATTCTCTGGACCCAAGAGCACACGGAGGTACTAATAATTCTATTCAGTAGCCTGGCATCAGGAAGCTCTCTCTCTTGTCTGCAATGGGACAACTGTCTACTTCTGAAAAGAATCACACAGAGGCATAACACAATACCCTCAAATTACAACCCTGTTTATGTCTATGGCAGTAAGATAATACATAATAAAACATAATTTATACAAGTATGGCCCAGGTTTATGTTGACACCTAAACTTCACCAACCCCTTCCTTGGTATGAAGTTGTCACTGAAAAGCAGCTGCCTTAACAAGACTACATTGCCTGGGCTCACTTGCATCTAGGTGGGGCCATGTGAGAAGCATTCACTATTTCCACTTATTTCCAGCCTAAAGAGGTTAAGACATGTGTGTGCCTCCTTCACACTTTCTTTCTCCTTCTGACTGGATGCTCAGGAATCAAACACTTGTACCAAGAAATTATATGAGAGAGAAGTAAAATTCTACTATGTTATGCTACAAAAATCTAGGATTTGTTACTGCAACTGCTATTACCCAACTAACACAATAACTAAACCAGGGAGCTTAAGTCCAGTATCTAACAGGGCAAAGATGATGGAAGTAATTGGGTTGGTAATAAAACCATCAAAAGCATCACTGCTATGACACTGGGTGAGAAAAAAATCTAAAGAATATAACTGTTTTCCAAAACACTTTTGCAGTCATTTTCAATATTATCAAGTCCTGTCTACATCTCAATTGCCAAATTCAAATCATCTGTGGCAAACCTAATTGCCTGCTAATTCTTCTTGCAATATCACACGTCTTGTCTGCTTTCTCCCATCAGCACTGAATGTGTTTCTGAGACTACAATCTCATTTGTATATTAATCCAAGCAAAATAAACACAGGAAGATAAAGTGATGGCCAAAAATAATTTCACATTGTGCAGGGAACTGATTTCTGAATTAAGGTCTCTTTAAGAATGTCTACACCACTGGTCTCTACCACTGATATAAGTGGATTATGGCAAAATATTTAAGCATTCACACATCAAAGGAGAATTCAACTCAAGCTGTGAAGATAACACTGACCTGAGGCCTGGGTTGCTACAGTGCAGTCACCAAGCTGAGTTTTCAGTGGAGGCACAATGATAGTGCGGGTGCCAGTGCCATCTGCCACAACTCTGCCAGGCCCCTCCAAAACGGATCCACTATTGCCTCGGAGAGCACTCAGGGTATCAGTGGAATAAGGGCTGCTCAAAGAAGAGTCAGAGTCTGGAGAATCATTGACAGTGACATAACTGATGACATTAGACCTTGGCTTCAGTCCAGAGCTGAGGAAAAGAAAAATACATGAAAATTGAATTGTTCTTTTTTGTGTGTGTGACAGCGTCTTGTTCTGTCACCCAGGCTGGAGTGCAGTGGAGTGATCACAGCTCGCTGCGACCTCAACCTCCTGGGCTCAAGCTATCCTCCCATCTTAGCCTCCCGAGTAGCTGGGACTACAGGTGTGTACCACCATGCCCAACTGTTTTTATCTTTTGTAGTGATGAGATGTCACTATGTTTCGCAGGCTGGTCTCAAATTCCTGGGCTCAAGTGATCTTCCTGCTTTGGCCTCCCAAAGTGCTAGGATTGCAGGCATGAGCCACCATGCCGAGCTTCAACCACCCTTTTAAGCAATGTTTCTTAGATGATCTGTCTCTGGTTCTCCCATGATAACAATGATGATAAAGATGGTAATAATAATAGTAATATTAGCAGCAGTAAACTTCTGGGTACTTATGTATCAGGCACTACTCTCATGCTCCACATACATCTCACTGAATCCTTACAACAATCCTATGAAGTAGGTACTATAAACCCCATTTTGCAGATGAGGAAACTAAGGAATAGGGAGATGAGGAACTTGCCCAGGGTCACACAAGAAGTGATGAGTGGTGAAGACAGGATTCAGACCCAGGACAGAATGACTTCAGAGTCCACACCTCTAACACCTCCTGTATGTTGCCTCTACCATCTTACAATTGGTCCTTTTGAACTAACAGGCTCTAAATTCATTCTAAATTTTCTCTTCCAAGTTCACTTAAACTTCATTTCTGCATGACTCTGTAAAGTCTCCTAAGTTACTTTCATGTGTGAATCCTACCTTCTCAGGTAAAAGCAAGAGGTCATTCCCTCTTCCGTATGCCCAACACCAAAAGCCCCATCGAAGGCTATGCTTCCAAAACACCTTTTTCTTCGGCCCTTTTTTTTGGGTGGGGGCGGGAGGGGATGCAGTCTTGCTCTGTCACTCAGGCTGGAGTACAGTGGCACGATCTCAGCTCACTGTAACCTCCGCCTCCTGGGTTCAAGTGATTCTCCTGCCTCAGCCTCCCGAGTAGCTGGGATACAAACATGTGCCACCACGCCCTGCTAATTTTTGTATTTTTAGTAGAGACAGGGTTGTGCCATGTTGGCCAGGCTGGTCTTGAACTCCTCACCTCAGGTGATCTGCTGGCCTCAACCTCCCAAAGTGCTGGGATTACAGGCGTGAGCCACCATGCCCCACCGGTCCTTTCTTTCACAGGCCAAACTGGGCCCACTTGCCTGAGGCCAACAGTCTAAAACCAATAGAGCCAGGAACCATTCACTTATCTTACCTACTGGGCTTGTATTTGTTGTCCTCTTCCTCATCAGTGTCACTTCGGATAGTGATGACACTCACAGGAGGGCTGGGAGTATCTGGAATGATGATGGGCTGATGCTGATCTTGGACAGGGACCAAGGAATTATAAGAAGATGTGGTGCGGAGGGGACTGCTCCCAACCAGAGAATAGACTTGGGAAGGCAGAACATCTAGAGAGGACCTGTAGGAAAAGTTCACATGGAAAGATGATTCAGTCCTTGGCCTTCCAAATTGTGTATCTTTTCCCCAGACTGCTTTCCAATTTACTCATTGATTCCTTTTTACATAATCATTAAGCAAATACATTTAACTATATAAGTTCCAGTGAAAATAAGCACCATGCTGGCAAGAGTTTCCAGGGACAAGAACACCAAAATACAAAAGACATTTTACTTTTATAAGCCCTTTATCCCAGGATTAAATTTCACTCTGTAAAGTAAAATAAAAACATCATAAAATGCCCTAGATTCAAAGTGGCAGCAGAGACAAAGGACCATCATAAAACCAGGACACACCTGGTGTACATGCCCAGATGAAATGATTTGCTCTTCCTCAATTTGGCAGCTACTTGCTGCTTCATATCTATATTATATGTCTATACAATATTCCAAATGCAAGGCAACATATCTCTCAAACTGGCACAGTTTTAACTATCAGCTGTAACACAGACTCACTTGGAAGAGACTGGAGCTGACTGCTTATTCTTCTTCGAAGGGAGGGAACTGGATTGTTGTTGTCTGACAACATGGGCAACACCAACATTCAGAGGCTGAGCAGTGGCCAATGTCACATGGTTAGTCAGCAAGGATGGCTGCTGCATGATAGTGCTGTACTGGTTGCCATGAGAGTGGGCATTCCTGTACCAACAGAAAGAAAGAGAAGAGTGAATTCCAAAACCACTGAAGAATCAGGACCAAACAGACATCAAAAGCAATTAGCCAAAATGCAGCTGCATTTTATTTTTTTAAAGTTGAGCACCTACCATCTGATAAGGGATTAATAACCAGAATACGTAAGCAGCTCAAACAACTCTATGGAAAAAAATCTAATAATACGATCAAAAAATGGGCAAAAGAATTGAATAGACATTTTCCAAAAGATGACTTACAAATGACAAACAGGCATATGAAAAGGTGCTCAACATCTCTGATCATTAGAGAAATGCAGATCAAAACTGCAATGAGATATTATCTCACCCCAGTTAAAATGGCTTATATCCAAAAGACAAGCAATAATAAACACTGCCAAGGATATGGAAAAAAGGGAACAATTGTACACTGTTGGTAGGAATGTAAGTTAGTACAACTATTATGGAGAACAGTTTGGAGGTTCCTGTAAAAACTAAAAATTGAGCTACCATATGATCCAGCAATCCCACTGCTGGGTATATACCCAAAAGAAAGGAAATCAGTATATCAAAGAGATACCTGCACTCCTATGTTGCAGCACTGTTCACAGTAAGATTTGGAAGCAGCCTAAGTGTCCATCAACAGATGAATGGATAAAGAAAATATGGTACATATACACAATGGAGTACTACTCAGCCACAAAAAGTACACGTTGTCATTTGCAACAACATGGATGGAACTCAAGATCATCATGTTAAGTGAAATAAGCCAGACACAGAAAGACAAACCACATGTTCTCACTTATTTATGGGATCTAAAAATCAAAACAATTTAATTCATGGACATAGAGAGTAGGATGGTTACCAGAGGCTGGTAAGAGTAGTGGAGGGCTAGTGGGGAGGTAGGGATGGTTAATGGGTACAAAAAAAAAAAAAAAAGAATAAGAACTACTATTTGATAGCGCAATAGGTGATTATAGTCAGTAATAACTTAATTGTACATTTTTAAATGACTTAAAGAGTGTAATTGGATTATTTGTAACTCAAAGGATAAATGCTTGAGGGGATGGACACCCCCTTTTCCATGATGTGCTTATTTCACATTACATGCCTGTGTCAAAACATCTCATGTACCCCATAAATATATATACCTAGTATGTAATCACAAAAATTAAACATTAGAAAAAAAGAATTTTCATTATAAAAGATAAAGTTGGGGACCTAGATTACAAGGCTTTAGGATCTCACTGTATGGTTTCTAATCACTTAAGACTCTCTTTAAAAAATCTAGAAGAAATGATTCCTGACCTTCAGAACCTACTGCTTTCCTATATTCAAAGTTTTCTTATAACACCATCTCCTAGCCTGATATGGGTTCTTAAAGGATTCCAACAGTGTCAAATTTTCCTTTATTTTCTTACTAGTCTCTCTCCTTATTACCAAGTGCTCCCACCCTATGGGATCGGCCCTTACAAATCTCCCAGAGTAACACAGGACACTTGCCTCCAGTCAGCTAGCTGCTGTCCACTCCCCATGGCCTCTGGAATCATTGCTGTGGGCTGGACAGAGTTGTGTAGAGCTACCCCAGGCAACTGTTGCCAAGTTGAAGGCAGGAGAATTTGCTGAGTCCCTCCAGGCCACGCCTGCTGTAAGGAAACACACATAAAAAACATCCAGACTTGATTCATTCTTGGCTTTTTCTTCTGTTTTTTTAAAGAAAGAAAAATTCATATCTTAAAAGAAGTTGCTTGTAGATTGTTAACTTGCAGAGATTAAAAAAGAAAGGTCAGAGGGGCTCAAGCTACAAGTCTTATGAATGGGGAAAGAAAACATACTGCTTTCTCTTGCTCACCCCCATAACCTGACCACCCGGGTATTAAAGAAAAGAAGATCCCTGCGGTTAAGAGCTTCTATTATACTGTAGAGAAAAGGAGTCTGAGAGTTCAGAGATAAGAGCTGGTTAAATGCTGGAGTTTCATTTTTGCAACAATTCTAAAATAAATCCCTAGAAAGAGTTAAGAGGACTCCCTGGAGATTAAAATTTTTTAATCTGACTGCCAATCAGATAAGGTATCAGATCAATTCAACCCATAAAACAAAAGGCAGAACTGTTCCCTTTTTTAAAAGGGTAGTATTTGGAAAATGGAGCCAGATGTGGATGACCAAAGGCCTAATCCTTTTGGGGAAAAAATCTTATGCCAGCAAGAAAAAGCTAACTTCATCATTTATAGCCACATAATGGAATTTCAAAATAAGGCAAAAAGTAAGATGTTTTAGAAGCAGAAAGCATCATACTTTGTTTCTAATAGTTACCTAAAATATGTTTTTATGTATCATTTGCAGGAATATTTCCACATAAAAACTAATCACTACAAGAAAATACATGATTTCTAGTTTTAAAAAAGCCATGTCACTTGCAATAAACTGAGCAACAAATGTTTTCTGTACTTCTTCCTCACAGAAATTCTGGCATTTTTTGAAAAAAAAAATGGGAACGGATTTGGAAGTTTCCTTTTTAAACTTGAATTCTGCAGTACAATTACCTACAATGCTTGGGTACATATGGTTCTGTTTCTTGAATTTCAAATTGCAAGGCCATCAACACACTGTTTTAAAAATATTTCTGCAAGTAACAGATCTACTTGTTACAAATACTGGTTCCAAACAAGAAGCCTTCAAAGCAGAGAAACTGCAAACACGTCTGCTACCATAAGCAGAATTTAAAACAAAATAAAACAAAACAAAAAATAAAAGAAGTATGTTAAGTCACACCATGCGTCTTTCCATAAGCCAACACCTGCACAAGACAAAGCATGTAGTTTAATACAAAGCAAGAAATAACATTCCAATGTGAGGCAGAAATCTGGCGTTCCAAGCGACGAACTGTTTTGACAGAGGAAGAACAAAAATATGCAAAGCTTAGCAAATGGCTAGTGCAAACTTAAGAGAAGCAGCAAAGGAGAAGTGTCAACTAACATTCCAACCTCGAAACTACAGATGAGTGAGTTAAAACCATTGGCTTGGATCAATCAAGTTGGAAATATATCTGACTCCCTCACACTCAGGTTTTCTGCTTACAAGAAAATTAATCTGGAAGTGACAAAGACTTTTAAAATGAAAACCAAATTCCAACCAAAGTATGTTTCTGGAAGTGTTTTCACTCACATGAATACTTAAGAAACAACAAAAGAAATTTAAAGCAACTTTGAAAACAGAGAAATAACAGGATTCAATAGTGCCTTTCAGGTTTTTGGATGCTTACCTAATTTTAAATTTCAAATGAGAAAATGCTGGATATCCAATAAACAATTCTAACTCCCCATATAAACCAAAACACATCCAAAAAATCACTCTTAAGGTTACAAATCCTGAAACACACCTCAAAGTCTTGGTTGTTTTTTCTATCTCTAAGCCCAGTACTACAATTGCAGCTACATTAAGTAACTATTCCCCATGACTTTTAATAACAAAGATATTGTATTTGCATAGTTTGTTGGCCATACTTTCAACCTTTGTATAAAGACCTATTTGTAAAATAATTAATTCCTCCCAAAACTCCTAAAAATGTGTCCACTTTTAATTTCAACCAACAATATGACCTACAATATGATCTACATTCTAAAGGGAATATCTTTAAATGTAAGATATAAGCTGCCACTGATCATGAGTGGCAAAAAGAGCTATCTTCATGTGTCCATAGAAGGATGGTTAGTATCAACTGAGAAAGCAATAAATTAAGAGCATCTTAAGCATTTCCACATGCAGAAAAGTTTTAGAACCTTAAAACAGCAAAAAAAGGAGAAAGCTATCTTGCCAACGAGCTCAATTTTGGCCATCCGGGTACCTGTAGCTGAGCCAAATTAAAGGCCATTTCCTTCATTCTCAAGGATCAGAGGGTAAAAGGCAGAAAACAAGTAACAGTGTTGAAGCTCTTCTGAGGCTACATCGAGAGCTTTTATCACACTAGGCTGGCAAAGAAGAATCAAGGGATCTGGCTCCTTACAGAGCCACATAACCATCAGTCAGACAGTGCTACAGCAAATGTTGGGGAGGAAAACAATGAGACATTAAAAGATGTAGCAAGAACACAGCCACAAGATGGCACATGCTTCCATGCCCTCTGCAAAGACTAAGCTAAAAAATTTTTTTGAAAAATAAACCAGAAAAAAACAGAACAAAAACAAACAGGAAAAAACAAAAAAGAAAGAAACCAAAGAAACTCCGTTAGTAACACAATCAAGTGAGGGGAATTACCAGTACAGCGGCAGTCTGTTCAACCAGCGCCGGCCGGCCGGCTGCGCAGCTCAGAGTAAAGGGCACCGCATACTGCGGTGTGATGGTGGCTACTTGAGGGTGGAGAGTTGCTACCATTAGTGGTGTACAGCTTCCCTGAAACGTAGATTAGGCAGGTGAGTGAAACAAACACGGAGGCAGGATATCTGGATTCAGAAGGGTTCTCATTCCCCCCAAGTTATTACTGACAATGAACAGTAATTTGATAGCATCTAAAATGCATATACCAAACACAACTTTCCCCCTTCAACTTTGTATGGCATTGGCCCACAAAGTCAAATGCCAATGGCCTAAAACAAAGAAGTATAGGAATCCTCCTTGGGCTAGATTCAGGGGATCAGTTCTATGAAACAGAGACATTTATTAAGAATTCTTCCTCCTGTTCACAAAATAGAGTTTTTGGATTTGAGAATTTCCTATGTGTCATAGGCCACAAACATTTATATATAAAATATAAAATATACTGTTTGTTGCTATTTAAATACTTTACAATTTTCTCTATCATCTTAGTCGAATGTTCCATAGCAAGTATAAAGTTTTAAAGCTTTCTACAATCTGGTTAAACACACGGAATGAAGGAATGTAATATGTGAAGAGGCATCCTGATGTGATCCAGCCTCTCAACTGTGATGAAATTCTAAAAGAGTGAGCAAAAGGGACACAAAGGGTGCAAAAGTGGAAGCTTATATTTTAGAATCAAAATGCTACATATATACTTATCTTTATATGAGCTCCAACATTTAAAAAACAAACAACAACAAAAAAAAACGCTTCACCCCGCAAAATTAGAGTAAACTTACTCAGAAGACCATTTCTCAAGAATGTCTGGATATTTTTTCCCTGCAAGTCTAAGGAAGACAATGGCAGAGTTGCAATAGTGTTAGGAATTAGTATATTGTTCCATAGAGATGTTTCATTTTAAGTCCACTGAATCATGACCAAGAAAGATCTTATAGTCAAAGGAAATACCATTTTCTAGGACAAAATATCTGAATCTCAATAGTGTTTAGCAATACTGAGTATCCACATTGCTCTAGCTTTTACCTGCGTGAGAACTCCTGACTGAATCTGTAGTGGCTGAGCAGCTGGTGCCTGGGGTACAATCGGTACAGCATTATCCATCCTCACAGGGAATCCAGAATGCTTTGTTGTTGCTTGTAGTCCAGCTATTGAAAACAGCATCACAGTTAAATAGTTTTGCAAGGTCTGGGAGTACTGTTTTAAGATTATTTTGTTTTCAGCTTCTCTGTTCAAATAATCCACTGTTCAGGTTTTAATCCTAGACACTTAAGACAAAGAAGTTTCATTCATAGAAGTCTTGGAAGTTAAGAAAAGGGAGACTTCCCCTCAGGTTAGGTTAATGGAAAGATGTTTGATATAGTGAGGGATGGTTTAAAAGAATTCTAAATTTTTTTTATGCTACAAAATTTAAAACACAATATTCATCCCATCTCCATTAAGAGTACAGGCAAAAACAAAAAAATCTTCACTTAGTAAATTAAATTCACTTTCATTTTTTTTTTTTTTTTTTTTTTTTTTTGAGATGGAGTCTCGCTCTGTCACCCAGGCTGGAGTGCAGTGATGCTATCTGGGCTCACTGCAAACTCTGCTCCCAAGTTCAAGCGATTCTTCTGCCACAGCCTCCCAAGTAGCTGCGACTACAGGAGTGCGCCACCACGCCCGTCTAATTTTTATATTTTCAGTAGAGACGGGGTTTCACCATGTTGGCCAGGCTGGTCTCGAACTCCTGACCTCATGATCTGCCCATCTTGGCCTCCCAAAGTGCCGGGATTACAGGTGTGAGCCACTGTGCCCAGCATTATTCACTTTTTAATCCACTAGGTGGAAAAAAAACTTGTTTTTAAAATTCTAATCTTTAAAAGCAAAGGCTTAAGTATAACTTTTAGTGAATTAGATAAGAAAGATTACGAAAAGCTCAATAATTTATAATCTAAGTTACCTTCTTATTTAGAATGCTTTTCCCCATTCCTCAAAAAATATAACCTAGTCCATAAATCAGTCATATATTTTATCCTTAACCAGGCATGAACTGAAAAAAATTATGCCTAGGATAAGAATATTTTAAAAGCAGACATTCTGGTTTATAGAAACTTGCTTCAACTTATTTTAGAAATCTACTCTTGTCATTGACATCTAATAGGGCTCTTTTGTAGTTAATGGACAGCTAGGAAAATCAAGAATTCTTCTTTGTAACAGTGCCTTTATAACAATAACCATGTCTTCTTTATCTTTTTATTCATTATGCTCTTAGAACAAATGTTGAATAAATCTTTCCTACAAATAGACCTCCTGGGGAAAAGCACAACTAAAGACAATTCTTTTTGTCAAGACTTGAGAGCCTTCAGTTGCTTCTGTACTTTATCGAAACTTGCAACATAAAGAATTTAAGTTGCTATTATATTTCCAATTCACTAATGTCTGCAATTTTGTTAAGTGAGGATATAAAGATTTTAATTAAAGACTACTTAGGTGACATTTTCTCAACTATCACCAACTAATTTCTCTTAATATTACTATGGAGGTATCAAATGAGCATAACTCATAGACCTAACACTGCTGTTTTCAGCAAGTCAGTCTTCTAATTTTCCACTTCAGTAATTTATGAGTAATTTAATAACAAGTTGTCATGAAGAAAAATACAATCCAGCAACGTACAAAATAAGAGGGCATAGTAAAATCAGAATTAAAACACTAACAATATCTTTTTTTATATAAAAATAAAAAGTAACAAATTCATATATCAAGATTAAAAAGTTGCCAGCCATGCTTCCGTAGGCAATGTTATCCAATAAGAAGGCTAAGCCACACAAAATTTTTGCCTATAGTAGGACATGGATACATGCCTAACTACAAGACATTGGTATTGTATAATAATAGCCTCCTACAAATTGGTAAAATTTAGGAGGAAATGTTCACTTCAGAAGCTCATCTATAGCCCCCAGGGTGATAAAGCGAAAGGTGACAAAATTACAGAATAATAGTTACCACTAAGCAAAATGTGTTATCTATTTTGGCCAACCAGGACAGTATGGAAAGTAGTATTTATAGTACTGACCTACAAATGTGACTCTAATGTATTAGATTGCTATTGTACTTTAGGCTGAGCCCAAAAGTGGAAAAAAAGAATTAACAAAAGGCAACACTGTTGGAAGGTTCTCCCCGGTTCCTGACCTAAGAGGGATTATAGTTTCATTTTTTGTTATTATTTTGTTTTATTGAACATAGTCCTTTAAATAAAGAATCAGGTAAGTATGGAAAGAATAAATTGCCTAACTGATGAGGATCTATCCTCCTGTAAGTATAGTCATCTTGTAAAAGAACAGATAGTCCAAGAAAAGTGGGCAACCTGGAATAAGACCATTGTTGCACAGAAATGAGCAACTAGTGATGGCTGGCAACTGAAGGGCAATAAGGATAATACCTCAAAATACAGAAGCTATGAATTCCCCTGCCTGGGTTCAAATCATGGTTCTGCAATAATTAGTTATAGGACTTTGGGCATATGAAGGAACCATGCTCAAAATTCTCATCTATAAATTGGGGATAATGACATTACCCTACCTCCTAGAATTGTTAGTGAAGATAAATTAATACATGTAAAAGCACTTGGAACATTATCTGGCATATAGTAATACATATCAGGCATCATCATCATCACCTTAATTTTAAAACTCCTTTTTCATTTGGAAAATTTTAAGTATGCTCTAATAACTCCTCAGGTTATTTATACTTCCTAGATAGGAAAAATTTCAAAGCTTACCTAATTATACTAAAAAGGGTTATCCCACTTTTCCCCTCTAACTTCATTAGTTTACATTTTGTTTTGTTAAAGGAACTCAAAAGTTCTTCTGCTTCATCTTGTATCATCTGAGAAGCAGCAGAAAACTTCAGGGTCCCACATCTGAAAACTGTTCCAATGAAACTCTTCGGAAAAAGTGGTGAAAAAAGTGGCTAATCTGCTAAGCTCTGTGGAAGAATCACTCAACATACGACAATCCCAACTACAGAATTTACTATTATGAAGCATATGCAGAAAATAATTTGGTAAGTTAGGCTAAACGTGCATTTACGGATTTTGAATCTGTCCCTCTGCTCTCCCTGTGGTTTCTCCCTGGTTTATATCGCTATTGCTCTCCTGTCCTCCTGGTAATCTCTCTGACCCCCCTAGCCCCTCTTTTCCTTCTGCTTGCTCCGACTCTATCAGAAACCAAACAAACAAGAGAGTCACGGTCAATAAGTAATTGATGTAAAAAGGCAAAAATGCTACCTGCTTCTATGTAAAGTGTTATATGAAATACCTGAATCCTGGTTTATTCTCACAGGGTACTGACACTGACCTTCTCTTGGGAAAGTCAAATGTGTCATTAGATTTTAGCCTTAAAGTAACATTCTTCTAAATGGCTTACCAAATGATTAAACACACATTTCCCATATACAGAAAAAAGAAACTGGACAGACTAGATTACAGAACAACAATGTGAAAATTAAGAAGGATGGGAATGTGAAAATTAAAATCTTATTGCAACACAGGGACTCCGCCTCCTCCTTCAGCTATTCTGTTCCTCTGTTGACAGGAGTTTGCAGGAACTATATGATTCATAAGCTGAAGAAGATAATCTTAATGCCTGCCCCACACAAGCACCTCAGCCTGTAGGATTTTTTAGTTCAATAAATAATGATTTTTCTTTCCTTAAGTAATTTAAGATGTTTCCACATTCTTAAACATGATTTTTACATTTTAGAATAAAATCACTTTTTATTGGGAACATAATTTTTATAATAGAATGATATAGGCAATAAGATCCAATATTTAGCAATTCTGCTTACAACAAATTTTTTCAAGTTGTATAGATTTTGCATATTGACAGATACATGCTTATACAAGACGTACGACATTGACACAAGGACTCAATGGGCAAGAAAACTGGTATCAGGCAATTCAATTAAGGAAACATAAAGTGAGCTCTTACAATGCATCAGATAGCATCATAATTAGATAAATAGCCTATGTAAAAAGAGAAAATCCATTTTGTGATATTACCCAATTTTAGTTACCTTCTTCATCAGAGACAGAGTTTAAACTTGTAAAGATCAGAACTAAACAACTAGAGCTGCCTAAAGCAGGTAGGTCTGATACAATACCATATGATACAGGAGTTTCCCCACTTACTTTGAAACGCAGGTGGACATACTATAAATGTCTGTTGGAATGGATCTGTCTGAGTGCAAATCTGGGTGGTTCCAGGCTGCAAGGAAACACCCTGCTGGGCAACTCCAGGAACTGGTGCAGCAGATGATGGGTACAAAGCTGACTGGTAGTTTAGTAGTGAGACATCTGAATTAGCCAGAGAAAGAGTAGCAGCTGCTGCAGTAGAACTGGAAGCTAGAACACTGGCCTAAAAACAAAAGGATTATATTTGTACACTTGTATTAAGTAGAGACACACAATAATTTTATATATACAGAATTTATCCAGAAAAACGTAGAATAATGTTTTAAAATGTAATGTTAACTGCCTCTGAAATAACTCTCTGCTTAAGAAACTTCCCTAGTCCCTAAATTGAAGGCATATTATATGGTCAAATAAGCAAATAAAAAAAAAAAAACGAATGGTCCTATGTTGGCTGTGGCTACACAAACCCCAACTACTTCTGCACAAAAAATTACTGGATGGAAGATCCCACCAAATCTCATAGGCTCTTCCATTAAAAAAGTAGACCCAGCCAAGAAACTGGGAAGCTTACATCTTCAGAAATAAACCTAAATGCAAATATCACTGGCTAGCAAACAAATGCAAAACCACCCTTAAAGTTAATGACTGGAAACCTTTCAATACAGTAACAAGAGATATAAAATCCTTCTCCTAACAGGGAGAAAGTCATTTGGCTAAAGTCAGTAAAACTAACAGCAGTAAGTAGCATAATAGTCAGACCCCATTTATTTGACGATGCTGAACATATGAGGGCATGGATTAGGCCTTTATATTTAACTTTAGTTAGCCTGTGCCTGGTAAGTATTATCAGTCTACCCTGTTTTCCATCAACTTTTGTCAAGTGGAGAATTTCTAAGAAGCAACAAGACCACCAAAACAAAAATTGGTTCTTTACCTTGCCCTGTATTCTTACTAGTTTCTATCCCACTTAAGCTTGAGTTTCCAAAATTATTTATTGAATACCTGATTGTGCACTGTATTGAGCTGATTGCTGAAGCTCATGGTTAGATTTGTGCTTGTATTTGGGGCAACATGTGTAGTGAAGGGACTCTTGATCTGACTCACTGTATCATACATGTGAACCCTCCGCTTGCAGATCTCCATGTTCTGAAAACAAGACTTAACACTGAAAAGGAGATTAAAGATTCATTAAATGAATGCTGAGATTTAAACAGACAGCAAATAACTCAAGATGAACATGGATCAAAGCTTTTTTTCCCAATCACTTTCAGATAAAATAAATCAAGAATTTGTATAATCATAGGGAAGAAAAATACACATCTAATTTTTATCTTATGATGTTTCAATGAGAAAGAAAAGCACTGCTGAGCCAGATTTATAAGCACCAAAGTGGCGGGCTCATTTGATAGTGCCATTGATAAGGCGGTAACTCAACAAAGAACCACATGGCAAAAGCCCCAGAATATTCCATACTCACTGATTGCTATGTGGAAAATCCAAAAGGTGAGTCATTGTCACAAACTGATGGTTAAGAGTTTTTAGAGGGGTAATTCTCTTATCTGCATCAATTGTGAGCATTTTCTTTAACAGATCAATGTATTCTCTTCGGTCTGCCTTCTCTGCCAACATGTCTGTTCCCTCCAGGTCTGTAGACATATTCACCTTCCAAAGAAAATTCAGAATTATACTTCTTCACTTAACCTTTGGCACTGACACTACATAGCTGCTTTCCCTCCAAACTATGTGTGTGTGTATATATGTAATCAAAAGAGAAACCTGGGGAAATTCTTTTTATGAAAATCTAATCATTTTCAGAGGAGGAAGCTCTTTTTATGCTGTTTAATTAAAATCTTCATCTAAATTGAGTGGTAGAAGAAAGCTAAACAATTTCTTGTCATTAAAAATTTGGGGGCTGGGCGCGGTGGCTCATGCCTGTAATCCCAGCATTTTGGGAAGCCAAGGCAGGTGGATCACCTGAGGTCAGGAGTTTGAGACCCAGCCTGGCCAACATGGCAAAACCCCGTCTCTACTAAAAAAAATACAAAAATTAGCCGGGCATGGTGGCACGTGCCTGTAATCCCAGCTACTTGGGAGGCTGAGGCAGGAGAATCGCTTGAACCCGGGAGGCAGAGGTTGCAGTGAGCTGAGATTACGCCACTGCACTCCAGCCTGGGCAATAGAGTGAGACTCTGTCTCAAAAAAAAAAAAAAAAAAAAAAAAATGGAACAAGTAGCTAAGCAATAGTGATTGTTACTACCTAAATATAAAAGCTTCTACTGTTGAAAAAATTAAATGACATAAGTGTGAAGTGTTCAGAGTTCGTAACATAATAGGCGCTCAATAAATATAATTCTTAAGTATTTAATAGAGAAAATGGGACAAGAAACTTTCATAAGTAATATTTTAAAACACTGCTATGTAACAAGACAAGTAAAGCAAGAGAGAAATATGTAATTCTAAAAATATACTTGGTTAGGATTTAAATGTTCCTTTACTACATGGTGGAATATTAATGCATTTTTTATAAAAACTGAAAACAAATACTAGAAAGATAACATTAAATTTGTCTTTAGTATAATCAACAGAAGTGTCTCTGATTAAAAATAAATGTCTGACTTTCTGAAACTTTCCGTACTCACCTGAGCCATGTCATCTAAGCAATTAAAAATGTACTTCCGAGCTTCTTTTGATTTTATTCCAGTCTCCAGTTCATGTTCTTCAGGTGTCTATAAAATAAAGATTTTCCTCCTTAAATTCCATCTGTATGTTATTTTCACATTTTATTCAAAACCAAAGCCAGAATACAAGAGACAAGTGTGGTCACCTTGCCAACCATAGATGGCAAACATGAAAGTAATTCACAACCAGAAAATCTTCCAGTGGAGAGATGTGACCTTGATATCTAGCTACCCTTTCAACAGTGATAAACATGCAAGTAATGATACAGCACAGTTCCTAAAGAATGTCAGGTAAAAGGGGACACTACCATTGTTCTCTTAAAGCTACTTTCAAATAAATCGATATCTCAAATGCTAACTGTTCAACAGACTCAGACACACAGTCACAGGGTTAGTCAAATTACTCAGATATTTCTGAACCTGACAGAGTAGGCTCAGAAGTAAAAAGCAGGTATTTGTTTCAAGAAAAAATATAGAAGTCCTGAATGTGGGCAGTTAGAAAATTTGTGATTTTATCATGTTCATTGAGAATTCTCTAAAAATCAGTCATTACTATATGTCTCTAGTTCTATCGCTTAATGGTGAGCACTACCCTCCAAACTTTCTATCAGCTGTGGATTGAACATATACAAAATAACCTCAGCCAACTGAACTAGCAATTAATGTTTTGTTTTTCAACTGAGGATAAGGCCAAACAGGTACAAAGAAATAATTTTTCAAAATGCTTCCCCCTCTCCTTTCCCTTCTCTACCTGAAGAATTTAATAACTAAACTTTGAATTCAAAATTGGGGAGTGAGGGGTGGAGTACAGGAGTCGGAAGCATAGTAGGGAAGACAGACCTTAAGCCTCCACAGTGGGTACCCCAAATTAGGATCTCTGTTGAAAAACCTGGTTGTTTTTGTTCCGGCACTGAGAAGATATTCAGCTGGCAAGCCTTGTGTTTGTGAAATATAACGAATCTGAAACATCAAAACCATCAAACAACTATTTGGAGTGAAAAGGGAAATTATTAAAGGCTTTTACACTAAAACATCATTAACTTTAGGCAAAGGAAGAAATCAAATCTTTAATCAATACAACTGAAATTTATCTGTAAATACCTATATATACTAATCCATCCACAGCTACTGTATCTATTATTTACAAGGAAATCCAGTTTTGAAAATTTTGGCTATAATCTTTTTTGCTTTTCCTGTTGACTTCTAATACTTCAAATCTGTGGAATCTACTACAACTCAGATAACTTCCTTTCTAAATCCTGTAGCTGGAAACCAAAATACCATGCAGACATTGTAAATGACAAGGTAGAAGTGTATTTACGGACAAGTAAAGATATTTGACAATATAGGCCAGGCATGGTGGCTCACACCTGTAATCCCAGTACTTTGGGAGGCCAAGGTAGGAGGATAGCTTGAGCCTGGGAGTTTGAGACCACCCTAGGCTGATATAGCAAGATCCCCGACTCTACAAAAAATAAAAGAATTAGCTAGGCAAGGTGGCATGCACCTATAGTCCCATCTACCTGGGAGGCTGAGGTGGGAGGATCACTTAAGCCCAGGAGCTAGAGGTTACAGTAAGCTGTGACAGGCCTACATGCCAGCCTGGGTGACTGAGCAAGACTCTGTCTCTAAAAAAATAAAAACTTAAAAACCACAACAAAAAAACTGGTGTACTTACTGTGTACCAGACACAGTGTTAGGAGCTGAGGATACACTGGTGATGTGAAACAATCTCTACCCTCAAGGAGCTTACATCATAAAGGGCAGGAACATTTTTAAAAAATAAGAAGAAGGCCAGGCACGGTGACTCACACCTGTAATCCCAACACTTTGGGAGGCTGAGGCAGGTGGATCACCTGAAGTCAGGAGTTCGAAACCAGCCTGGCCAACATGGTGAAACCCCGTCTCTACTAAAAAATACAAAAATTAGTTGGTCATGGTGGCAGGCACCTGTAATCCCAGCTACTCAGGAGGCTGAGGCAGGAGAATCGCTTGAACCAGGGAGGCAGAGGTTGCAGTGAGCCGAGATCGCGCCACTGCACTCCAGCCTGGGTGACAGAGCAAGACTCCATCTCAAACAAATAAAAAGAAAAAAGAAAAAATAACAAGAAATGAGAATTCACAATTTACTTCCATAGTAAAACATTTTCCCTTAACGGACCAATTCCTTAGGAAATTATACCATATCTCCTAAAGTTTGTCTATTTTTAGATACAGATCATATATTACTACAACTCAGATGATTTCCTTTCTAAATCCTATCTTAGCGACCCAGTATGTCACAGCTTCTGGGACCTGAAGTGTTTCAGTCTGAAGAAAGTACTTCAGTGTGTCATGCGTAAAAGTAAATTATAATAGCTCCGAGTAAGTAGAAGTTCTCTTTTAAAATTCCAGTTCCTCATCTTTACTCTACTTTCCTAACTCACAAAGCACATAAGTTAATGAAAGTTAAGTCTCTAATAAATCATTACAGATCTAGCAAAGTATCAACCTTAATATAAAATAAAATTCTTTTTTTTATTATAGAATTGCAAACATACTTTAGCCTAAGAAGCAGGAAGAGAAAATTATACTATTCTTTAAAAAGTTCTTTAGTAGCAATTGGACTACTCTTTCCCTATTATCTAAATACTTCAGTAGTACTTAGTACTTCTCTTTCTCCAGAATCTAATTCACAAGTAACTATTTGCATTCTATTTCCATTCAAATAAACACTTTTACCTGATCATATTCTGAAGCACCAGGATAAAGAGGCCATCCCAGGAACAGCTCAGCTATCACACAGCCCAGTGACCACATATCAATAGCTTCACAAAATGGTAACCCAAGAATAATTTCAGGAGCTCTAGCAAAAACAAAAAATATCAGATTAAAAAAAAAAAAACATTATTTGGGAAAATTAACTACATGACTAAGTCCTGTTTTAGTATTAGCTAAAGGAACATTTATTCAATGAAATGGAAAAAAAATCTTTGGTATACAATCCATCATCTGAAGCTCAGGGCCAGATGTGTTTTGGAATTCAGAATATTTTGAATTTCAGAAAGGTAATGCAGAACACAAAGTACACATTATATAATAATCCCAGTGGAGTTCAGGGCAGTGCACTATAATCAAACACATTAATATTTCTGCAACAAAACATGGAACAGTCATACTAAGTTGGCTAAATAAAGACTTCAAATAGCTTAACAATGGTTCAAGTCAGGTCTTGCCAATTAAATGAATTTATACCAAACTTAAAGAAAAATTTTCATTTATGAGAGCTTTCTGAATTTTGCAATCACAGATAAGGGATAATAGATTTTTTTTATTATTATTCCTAGCACCATTTCAATCATAAAAAAAAAAAATCAATTAAAAGGCCTGGTCAACTGGGCACAGTGGCTCATGCCTGTAATCCCAGCACTTTGGGAAGCCGAAGCGGGTGGATCACCTGAGGTCAGAAGTTCAAGACCAGCTTGGCCAATATGGTGAAACCCCAAATCTACTAAAAATACAAAAATGAGTCAGGTGTGGTGGTGGGCGCCTGTAATCCCAGCTACTCAGGAGGTTGAGACAAAAGAATCGCTTGAACCCAGGAGGTAGAGGTTGCAGTAAGCCAAGATCACACCACTACACTCCAGCCTAGGAGACCCAAGACAGTCCAAAAAAAAAAAAAAAAAGCCCTGGTCAATAAATAACCCTTCATGACAGAAATGCCTTCTGGAAAAAAAAAAAAGAAAAAGAAATGCCTTCTGAAGAGACATGGTGTTGACAGCACACTCTCTAGAGCCAGCCTGTCAGGGTCTGAATCCTAGTTCCATCATTTAATAGCTGCAGGTATATTACTTGATCTCTCTGTGCCTCAGGTTCCTCATCTATAAAATGGAGACAGTAAGAGTTCCCACCACATAGAGTTGTTGTGAAGCTTAAATAAATATATGAAAGCTTTTAGACCAGTGCATGGCACATGGTAAATACTAGTAGGTGTTAGATATAATAACAGTATTATGTTACCATTATTTTAAAACTTTGAACTCTTAGTGTGCTTTTTAGAAATATTCATTAACAGTCCAAGTGAGAAATAAAATGCTAGGGAACTTTAAAGAGATGACTAAGGTAATCCATAACTCAGACGTTTATATATACGAACACATCTAAAATAGAATTATTATCCCCATTACAGAAGAAGAAACTGAGAAAAAGAAAGATTAAGTTATTGGCCTAGAGTCACAGTCAAATAAGTGGCAGAGCTAGGATTTGAATCCCTGCAATCTGGCTCCAGAATTGAGTATATTATATATTACACTGTTTCTCAATAAGTAAAAGTACATACTCATCTATGTAAATTTATATTTGACATGGTGGAATACAAGGGCAATTGTCAAACTATGACTAATTAGGCAATAAGTGGGTTCAAAAAGAAAATAATAGGTAACACTAATAGCAATAATAATAAATGACACATAAATATTGCCTACTATGTGCCATGCACTGTTCTAAGTTCTTTATAAATGTTGAGTCACTTAATCCTTACAACAATCCTATCAAAGTATTATTATGATGTCATCAATTCTAAGATACACATCTTTTTACATGTTAGCACCTCTGAAATTAAGAAGATTCTTACAAATGATGGTATATTTTAGTTTAATGGCAGCGCTTTTCCTTTTTTAAGTGGTACAAAAATAATGTATCTTATAATCAATGGCATGTTAGATTCTATGCAATAAAAGTATTACCTCCATTTTACAGATGAAGAAACTGGCACTAAGAGGTTAAAGTAACTTGCCCAAGGCTACATAACTACTAAAAGATGGTGCCCTTGGCCAGCGCAGTGGCTCACACCTGTAATCCCAGCACTTTGGGAAGCCAAGGTGAGTGGATTGCTTGAGGTCACGAGTTCGAGAACAGCCTGGTCAACACGGTGAAACTCCATCTCTACTAAAAATACAAAAATTAGCTGGGCATGGTGGCGGGCAGCTGTAATCCCAACTACTCAGAGGCTGAGGCAAGAGAATTACTTAAACTTGGGAGGCATAAGTTGCAATGAGTTGAGATCTGCCACTGCACTCCAGCCTGGGCGACAGAGCGAGACTCCATCTCAACAAAAGAAAAAGGATGGTACCCAAGCTATTTGGATCCAAGATTTCAGCTCTTAGGCACTGGATCATCTTCTCCAAATAATTTCCTTTCTTTCTTACAAGTCATGGAATTATAATCTATAAGGACACTCCAGATCCAGATCCAGATCCAGATTCAGATTCCTCATGTTACAGGAGTTAAATGGAAAACAGATCTTTCCGTGAAGAACCATCTAACTGGCCGTGTCTCCTCACAGAATACCCAGGTTTCTCAAACTACTTTCAAGTGATATGTGCTTATTGTTGTTTTGTGTATATGTGCAGGGGGTTGAGGGAAGGCAAGGATTAAGCAAGGAGAATATAATTTCCCTAAATAAGAATATCCCTCCCCATCTAAGCAAACTAGGCATAGAAGAAAAAAAAAATCCTCCCCTAGTATTTATACATAAATAGTGGCCCTTAGAAAACAGTAAATCTGGGGACTCCACAGGGCCTGAAAGCTTTTCTGATCCTTAAATACAAATAGCAGTCGACCCAGGCCTCTTCGGGCTTACACTTTTTAACAGCTATGGGTGGAACCACCAATATCATCAGTTTTTGTAGTATTTAATTTGAACTGTGGTTTTGTTTACCAAAGAAATAACTGGCCGGGTGCGGTGGCTCATGCCTGTAATACAAGCACTTTGGGAGGCCGAGGAGGCTGGATCACCTGAAGTCAGGAGTTTGAGACCAGCCTGGCCAACATGGTGAAACCCCATCTCTACTAAAAATATAAAAAATCAGCCAGGTGTGGTGGCGGGCACCTGTAATCCCAGCTACTCAGGAGGCTGAGGCAGGAGAATTGCTTGAACCCAGGAGACGGAGGTTGCAGTGAGCTGACACAGTGCCACTGCACTCCAGCCTGGGTGACAGAGTAAGACTCTGTCTCAAAAAAAAAAAAAAAAGAAAAGAAAAGAAGTAACCCTCAAAAGTGATATTCCTGTTGCAGGTGGCTAGAGGCACATATTACTGATGGAATTTCAGAGTTCAGTGAAATCTCAACCATAATGGCATGTTTTCAACACTGCACAAGTTTGACAGGCGCATTAATAAGCTAGTAAGACTACCCAGAAACAACATAAAAGCTTTTCTAAAATTGAAAAGGAACAAAATTTTCTACTCCTAGTGAGCAGAATCATTAATTTCCAAGTTCATGACAATGCCAAAAATAGCTGGCAGGGGGAGCACAACTGGCAATGAGCCAAAATAAAAACTGGGTTTAGAACATTCCAAAGCATCAATTGGAGGGCAGCATATTGATTTTGCTATTCCTACCATACTAGAAAGACATTTTAAAGTCCAAAAGGTAGGTCACAGAGAATGGCCAGGCCACTCTATAACTTTCTTCTTTAAAAGGTAGCGATAACAGGCCAGGCGCGGTGGCTCACGCCTATAATCCTAGCACTGTGGGTGGCCAAGGCACGTGGATGGCCTGAGGTCAGGAGTTCAAGTCCAGCCTGGCCAACATGATGAAACCCAGTCTCTACTAAAAATACAAAAATTAGCTGGGCATGGTGGCAGGCGCCTGTAATCCCAACTACTCCAGAGGCTGAGGCAGGAGAATCGCTTGAACCCGGGGGGCAGAGGTTGCAGTGAGCCAAGATTACGTCAATTCACTCCAGACTGGGCGTAAGAGCGAAACTCCGTCTCAGAAAAAAATAAAAAAGGTAGCAATAATATATGATAACTGTCTCGAGCTTAAAGTTTTCTGGGAAATTAAGGAAAATATCACTTCCACAGCCCCCAAGTCCCATTTAATTAAAAAAAAAAACTGAAGATTAGCTGAAAGTTTTTTCATTTGGTCTCACCCTGCTTTTGGAGTGACAAAAGCAGCTAAGGACTTCCAGCAAAAGCTCAGTCAAAACAGCAACTCTACCGTATCTACCTTATAAAAAGGCAAATAGCAAAAGGAAAAACAAAAAAAGGAAAGCAGTTTAAAAAAAAAAAAAATACGGCCAGAAACGGCGGTTCACACCTATAATCCCAGCACTTTGGGAAGCCAAGGCAGGAGGATCACTTGAGCAGGAGTTTGAGACCAGCCTAGGCAACACAGCAAGACCCAATCTCTACCAAAAAAATTTAAAAAATTAGCCAGGTATGGTGGTGCATGCCTGCAGTTCTAGCTACTCAGGAAGCTGAGGTGGAAGGATCACTTGAGCCCAGGAGGTCAAGGCTGCAGTGAGCCATGATTGCGCCACTGCACTCCAGCCTGAGACCCTGTCTCAAAAACAAACAAAAAAGCAGTAAGGCTGCTTAGTTCACTGAGGGTTTTGTATTATTTGGGCCTATAAATGTTAGACTTACCCAAACTCTACGAAGCAAAAAGACAAGTTATTTTCTACTTTACTGAACAGTAAGGCATCACTAGAGCAGGTTTATCTCTAAGGACTGAATACTTTAAACTGTGAATCCAGATTATAATTATTAGAATTATTTTCATTACATCTTTCCTCTTGGCCTCCTTATTTCTTAATCCCTCAATATAAACTCTACAGACACGTAAAACTCTGGTTCTACCTCATTTGTGTAATAAGGAAACAGAGTTAGATAATTACTCTTCTAGGTCCCTTTCCAGCTGTAACATTCCAACAACTGGGCAGTAAAAAAGGTTATCTACAGAAGCACAGGAAAGTGAAAGAAACTGTTAAAAACTGGCAGTGTTCACTTCAGTAGGAAAATGGCATTAATTGTGCTTTGAACATGGCAAGTCTCCTCTTTGAAGACACATCCCATCCTTAAAAAACAAATACTAAACAGGCTCTGGTTATTACAGCTAAGTGATAGAAACAACAATCCCTGCCTTTTGATTCCCCAACTTCAAACTTCTTTAAGTTGAAAAATTCTTCCAACCAACATTGTTGAGGTTAATTTCACTGGCACCCAGAGCAAGCTAAGGTTAGGATCACTTAACACAAATCACTCTGATTATTTTCATGAACATTTTCGTTTCTTTCTTCCTATCTCAGAGACATCAAACCTACTTACTTACCAATTAGAGAGGTTACATAAAACCTAACTTCCTGCATCAGTGGCTTAGGTGAAACTATATTTTGACTGCCAGAGGAAATTAGATTATTTGTTTGTCTAGGATAAATGGAAGATACGTTTTCCTTCTCTAGACCTTTTCCTTCCGTAAGTAACAAAGTGATTCAGCTTGAAATAAAGGCTGGCTAGTTTGTTCAGTAGGGAAAAACATTCAGCCTGTAAGCATGGCAAACCTTTGTCTCTAAAACTCAAGCCCGAAAGACAGGAGCTTTGCTTGGAGTCTGTGCACATTTACAGTGAGCCAGAGAGTAAAGTATATTATTTCCACTGCCTGAATCATTTAGCCATGCCCAGGGCCAATGGACACAGCAAGTTGGCAAATTTATGTGAGCTGATAATACTGGCATATTATCAGAAAGACAAAGCAAGGTAAACTAAAAAGGTGGGTAAGAGAAGGACTAGCTTTGGAGTCAAAATGCTTCACCAGCCAAACAGATTTCACAGAGGTTTTTTGAAAGACAGAAGGGTGAGGACTTAATGGACTCTAATATGGCAACAAAGCAACATCAAAGAAGCTTAAGAGGACCACTGCGGGTAAAACTAGTGATAAAGAAGGAATGCCTGAGCTGCTGTTCCATCTGCCTTAGGCTCATTATCAAGTATTACTGTGACACAACAGAACACTCATGTTAAATCCTAAACACTGTCAAGCCCTGGGCACTGAACTTCAGTATACAGAGTAATTACTCAGTAATACACAGAATGAACTCCTGTTTTTAAGAGGCAAACTTAGCTCCACTTAAAATTATAGTCAACAACTATATTGCAGTGAATTTAAAGAAAGCTTTGTCGAAGGGTAACTTTGAAGATTTGAAAACCTTAGTTTCTATAAAAAACAAAACCAAAATGAATCAATTGACAGCTTAAATTAAAAGGATAAAAAATACAAAGATCAGCAACCTAACACTGAAAATTATTCAAATGAATTACACATTACAGAAAGCTAAGCAGCCAAATAATTCATTTTATTTTGTATTAACATGCCCCAATTATAACAAAGCCAAATAATTTTTATCTCCTATTGCTCTCCCTTTTTCAATTTAAAAACTACTCTGTTATCACAAGAGAATGCACTTTGTCTTTGACAGGGCAAACAAATAGTTAAAGAACACCTGCAGGCACAGAGTCAAGACAGAAAGGAAGAGCTGATCAGCCCTCTTCCTTCAGCTGTGGTCTGCCTAGTCCCTCCTGAGGACTCAAAATGGGATGCTGCGCTGAATTCTTCAGTGCACCTGTAGAGTATGTTATATATATGTTATGTTGGTGTGGCTGGTGGTGAGACTGCTCAAAGGAGAGCATTAAAAAGCAAATGTAGTTGGAACCTAAATCTCCCAAGGCATAAATAAATAAATGGAGATGACATTCTTAAAGTTAGCCAAGGTTGCCTAGGGCAGCATAAAACCAGAAAACAAAGGCTCTAAGAGTTTATTTACCTTACCTCAAGTAAAAAATACCAGTTTTATAAAACTGTGAAAAGATATAAAGAAATAAGGATGGACTGACTTACTATTAAGCTGTCAATACTACCCAAAGTCATCTACAGATTCATCGCTATCCTTAATAAAAAGCAATTATGGTTTTTGTATAAAATAGAAAAACCCATCCTAAAATTTATATGGACCCTCAAAGACCCCAAATAGCCAAAACAATCTTGAAAAAGAACAAAGTTGGAGGTCTCACACTTCCTGATTTCAAACTTACTACAAAGCTACAATAATCAAAACAATGTGGTACTGGCATAAAGACATATATAGATTAATGGAATAGAGAGCCCAACATTGAAAATGGGAAAGCAATAGAAGATAAGAATTATTTGTATATATGTTCAAATGATTCCAACAAGGGTGCCCAAACCACCCAATGCAGAAAGGACAATCTTCTTAGCAAATGGTGTTTGAAGAACTGAATAGTCACATGCCAAAGAATTACACTGGATTTGTACCTTGGACCATAGACAAAAATCAACAAAGAATCAAAGACCAAAATATAAGAGCTAAAACTATAAAACTCTTAGCAGAAAACATAGGGGAAAATCTGTATGATTTCGACTTAACAGTGACTTCTTGGATATGTCACCAAAAGCACAAGCAACCAAAGAAAAAGTAGACAAACTGCACTTCACCAAAGTTAAAAACTTTTCTGTGTCAAACACTATCAACAGGTAAAAAGGCAACCCAAGGAATAGATGAAAATTAAGTATATAGAGTATACAACTCAACAACAAAAAGCCCAATTCAAGAAATGAGGAAAGGACTTAAATAGACATTTCTCCAAAGAAGATATACAGATGTCGGGCACATAAAAAAATGCCAGGCTGGGCATGGTGGCTCATGTCTGTAATCCCAGCACTTTGGGTTGCCGAGGCGGGCATATCACTTGAGCCTATGAGTTTGAGACCAGCCTGGGCAACACAGTGAAACCCCGTCTCTACTAAAAATACAAAACACTAGTCAGGTGTGGGGGTGCATGCCCGTAGTCTCAGGTACCCGAAAGGCTAAGGTGGGAGGACTGCTTGAGCCTGAGAGGTCATGGCTGCAGTAAGCCATGATTGCACAACTGCACCCCAGCCTGGGTGACAAAGTGGGACTCTGTCTCAAAACAAAACAAAATAAAACAAATGCTCAACATCATTAATCATTAGGGAAATACAAATCAAAACCACAATGAGATACCACTTCACACCCATAAGAATGGCTATTATTGACCGGGCCCGGTGGCTCATGCCTGTAATCCCAGCACTTCATCACGAGGTCAAGAGATCGAGACCATCCCGGCCAACATGGTGAAACCCTGTCTCTACTAAAAATACAAAAATTAGCTGGGCATGGTGGCACCTGTATTCCCAGCTACTCAGGAGGCCAAGCTAGGAGAACTGCTTGAACCTGTGAGGTGGAGGTTGCAGTGAACCGAGATTGTGCCACTGCACTCCAGCCTGGCAACAGAGCAAGACTCCATCTCAAAAAAAAAACAAAAAAAAAACAAAAAAAAACTATTATTGGCCAGGCATAGTGGCTCATGCCTGTAATCCCAGCACTTTGGGAGGCCAAGGTGGGCAGATCACCTGAGGTCAGGAGTTCGAGACCAGCCTGGCCAACATGGTAAAACCCCATCTCTACTAAAAATACAAAAATTAGCTGGGTGTGGTGGCAGGCACCTGTAATCCCAGCTACTCGGGAGGCTGAGGCAGGAGAATCCTGGGAGGCAGAGGCTGCAGTGAGCCGAGATCGCACCACTGCACTCCAGCCTAGGCAACAAGAGTGAAACTCCATCTCAAAAAAAAAAAAAAAAAAAAAAAAAAAAACCCATGGCTATTA
Source organism: Homo sapiens (assembly GCF_000001405.40). Classification (NCBI taxonomy): domain Eukaryota; kingdom Metazoa; phylum Chordata; class Mammalia; order Primates; family Hominidae; genus Homo; species Homo sapiens. The sequence goes on along the minus strand of NC_000001.11, from coordinate 113,944,146 downwards.
TTTAAAAAACAAAACAAGGCCAGGAGTGGTAGTTCACACCTGTAATCCCAGAACTTTGGGAGACTGAGGCAGGAGGATGGCTTGAGGCCAGTAGTTTGAGACCAGATTGGGCAACAAAATGAGACCCTCAAAACACTGTCGCCACAAAAAATAAAATAATAGTAATTAGCCAGGTATGGTGGAGTGTGACTGCAGTCCTAGCTACTTGGGAGGCTGAAGTGGGAGGACTGCTCAAGTCCAGGAGTTGGAGGCTACAGTGAACTATGATCGTGCCACTGTACTCCAGCATGAGCAATAGAGGCAGCCCCTGTCTCTGTAAAAATAAACAAACAATATTTTTAAATAAAAAAAATAACAAATGTTAGAGAAAATGTGGAGAAATTTGGAATGCACATCCACTGCTGGTAGGAATGTAAAATAGTGCAGCCTCTGTGGAAAATAATTTGGTAATTCTGCAAAAAGTTAAACATAGAATTATCATGTGACCCAGCAATTCCACTCCTAGCTATATCCCCAAAAGAACTGAAAATAGGGACTAGGATACTTGTACACCAATGTTCATAGCAGCATTATTCACAACAGCCTAAAGGTAGCAACAACCCAAATATCTACCAACAGATGAATGCATAAACAAAATGTGGTATATACAAACAATGGAATATTATACAGCCATAAAAGGAATGAAGTTCTGATACATGTTACAGCATGGATTAGCCTCAAAAGCATTACACTAAGTGAAATAAACTAGACACAAAAAGACAAATATTGTATGATTCCACTTACATGCAGTATCTAGAATAGGCAAATTCATAGAGACAGAAAGTCAAATCAAGATTACCAGTGGTAGGAAGAAGAGAGAATAGGGAGTTATTGCTTAATGGTTAGAATTTCTGTTTTGGGTGATGAAAACATTTGGAAATAGTGGTGATGGTTACACAACATTGTGAATATACTTAACAGACAGCAGTGATGGTTACACAACACTATGAATGTACTTAACACAATGAGTGGTACCAAATGGTTAAAATTGTAAATTTCCTATTATAAACATCTTACCACAATGTTTTTAAAAAAGGAAACATGCAGATGACATTTTTTCTGAGTCCTTGTATGGGTTAAAATATCCTCACATTATTTTCACACATAATATAAAATTCTTAATTCAGAATTTCTATTTCCTCAAATTTTATTACAGGCATCTGGCATGTATAGCTCCTTATAAACATATTTTATAGGTTATCTATGTTTTTATTATTTCACTTCTTGATTGGATGCTTACATGATTTGTATTTAATGTATGGCCATTAAAACTAAATATTAGATTCCTTAAAATTAATAACTAGGCAAGTAAGTAAATGGGTGCTGATAAAAAGCACATTTTAAAAGCCTTGGTTATGGTACAGACAAAATTGTATATATCAGCATTTACATACTGTCCCAATAATTATTATATATTAAAATGGTAGCTACATTAAAAGTATCAATCTAGAAATATATATCATTAAAGTATAAGGTACTTGGGTCAAGGCCATTCTAGGATAACCCATTAAGTTCAAAGTATTTAGAGAAAGTTAAAACAGGAAGAGATTGTAGCAACCATGTAATTCAATTCATGCTACTACAGAAGAAAATGTAAAAGAATAAAATGTTACTAGAGTTAAACCTAGAGTTATTCCCACGTTATTTTACCTGCCAAGATAAGAGGTTCGAAAAAACAGCAACATATGCTCAGATTCATTACAAATAAGTAAATATCTTTGTGTATTTCAAGACTCTTCAAAATGGGAAAATGGCTGGGCATGGTGGCTCACGCCTCTAATCACTTTGGGAGGCTGAGGCGGGTGGATCACCTGAGGTCAGGAGTTCAAAACCAGCCCGGTCAACATGGTGAAACCCCATCTCTATTAAAAACAAAAAAATTAGCCGGGCGTGGTAGCAGGTGCCTGTAGTCCCAGCTACTCAGGACAGGAGTAGCAGGAGAAATCACTTGACCCCAGGAGGTGGAGGCTGCCGTGAGTCAATGTCACACCACTGCACTCTAGCCTGGGTGGCAAGTGAAACTCCATCTTAAAAAAATAAATAAATAGGCTGGGCACGGTGGCTCACGCCTGTAATCCCAGCGCTTTGGGAGGCCGAGACGGGTGGATCACGAGGTCAGGATATCGAGACCATCCTGGCTAACACGGTGAAACCCCGTCTCTACTAAAAATACAAAAAAAATTAGCCGGGCGTGATGGCGGGTGCCTGTGGTCCCAGCTACTCAGGAGGCTGAGGCAGGAGAATGGCGTGAACCCAGGAGGTGGGGCTTGCAGTGAGCTGATATCACGCCACTGCACTCCAGCCTGGGCGACAGAGCGAGATTCTGTCTCTAAATAAATAAATAAATAAATAAAATAAATAAAATGGGAAAATGAGGTAAAATAATACTAAAGAACCAGGTGCTAGTATAATTCAACTAGTAACAACTTTCAGAATCAGACTGAGTTAATTTTTCCAGTGCTAGATAAAATTTCAGAAATAAATGTCATATATAGGAATGCCACACACATAGAATGAGCTAAAACATATCCTATTTCTATCTCAGAATCTATAAACAAATTCATTGCTATATGTAGCCTACGGGGTATATGTTAAATATAAGGACAGAACTCTAGCCTAAGATACGATTTTCAGCATTTGCCACTTGCCTGTAGTAACGTGACTGTAAGTAGGTTGAGCACACAGCTTTGGAAACGTGACTAGCAGAACCAAAGTCAATGACCTTCACTCGGTAGGGCTGGCGAACTGGATCAACCAGCATGATGTTTTCAGGCTTAAGGTCAGCGTGGATCAGACCAAGACTCTTGAGCTTCATCAAGGCTGTGGCCACCTGCTGCAAGATTGGTCTGATGTACTTGAGTGGCAGTGGGCTAAATTTGTTTTGCTTTAGAAAATCATATAAGTTCTGCTCCAACATTTCAAAAACAAGGCAGGTGTGATTCTTATGCTGAAAGCACTCGTATGAACGGACAAAATTATACTCATCAGCATTTTCACTGCTTAGGCGGGAAAGGATGCTCACTTCAATCTGTCCTTGTCTGGCATAGGAGGGGTGGTTCTTCAAGATTTTAATAGCCACAATTTCCTTGGTGCTCCTCTTCCAGCACTTAGCCACCTGTCCAAATGTCCCCCGGCCTAGGAACTCCAAGACTTCATAGCTATTGGTCATAGAGCAAAGGATCTCATGCTGGACCAGCTGGTAATCCCCTTCTCCGCTGGAACTGCTACTCTTTGTGGTCACAGTGGTGGTTGTGGCAGCAGCACCCACCACAGTCCTGTTTTGCAGCATGAGAGGGGGATGTTCTTCTATGATCTGCACACTACCGTTGCTGTCAACTTCCTCACTTTTTCGTTTCAATCCACATTTTTGATATGGCTCAAGCAAAGAAACGTTGCTTCTGTGAGTCAGGGTCTGGCTGCTTTGGAAGGTTGATGTAGCAGCACTGCCCGAGCTATCAGCGGCTGTTACAACAATATGCTCCACTGCAGGAGCTGGGAGGAGGAGGCCCTGGTCGTAAGCAGGGATGTTGAAATTTGCTACCTGGTGAGAGGAGTTGGCTTGCCCTTGTGTGGCTGGGAGGGTTTTGCTGTGGGTATAATATTTGTCGTTGCTACTCTGTCCTGAAACATCCCAGCCAGAGGGCTCTATTTTCAGTTTCTTCGCACTGCAGAAGGCACTCGACGACACTGATGGGGGCGAAAACACTTGCAGCTGTGATGCCATACCTATATTGAGAGAAAGGAAGAATTAGACCACAAGGATAAAAGATACAAGGCTTAGATTTAAAACACACAAACACACACACACACTTTTACTTGATAAAAGAAACATGATGTAATAATGTTCTCCTCTTCTCAAAAACTAATTCAATCTTGACCTATATTCATAGAAACAGTGTACAGAACGTGCTGGACAAAGTGAAGATTATCCACTCTGCTCAGGTCATACATAAAATGCATTCAATTGTCTACCACATTTTAAGATAAAAAAGTAACCAGTATGGGCCAGGCACAGTGGCTCAAGCCTTTAATTCCAGCACTTTGGGAGGCCAAGGCAGGAAGATCTCCTGAGCTGAGGAGTTCGAGACCAGCCTAGGCAATGTAGTGAGACCCTGTCTCTAAAAATACTAAAATTGAAAAAAAAAAAAAAAAAAGTAACCAGGATGATGAGAAAGCTAGAGTATATTCTGAAGAACCGAGGAAAGTTAGCAGAAAAATATGAGGAAAGGATGTAAGAACAGTCCAGCTTTCTGTCCCTGAATATCCCACAGACACTTCCAGCTCAATAAGCCCACAGATTAAACTGAAAGCTATTTTTTCAGAATAAAGTCCAAACATCTGACATAGCACACAAGCCATTTCATATTTATCTTCTCCATTTTCAACCATCCGATCTCATATGCCTTGGGGCTCTATAGTAATCCCTCTTTCCTTGCTCTACCCTTTGCCCCTTTTTAATAATTACTCCTCAAAATTAGTCATCTTCAAAAGACTAAAATCTCTATCTCTAACCCAGGATTCTCTCGCTTTGAACTCCAAACCCTATATCCAAATGACTACTTAACCCTGCAACTTGGACATTTCACAAACACCTCATATTCAATACATTCAGAATTAAACTTACGAGCCTCCACCCCACCTTCAGTTTTCTATCTTAATTATGAGATGCCATCACACATCCAACGCCTCAAGCCAGAAATCAGGGAGCTCCAGCCTGGGCAACATGGTGAAACCGTCTCTAAAACAAACAAACAACAACAACAACAAAAAAAAAAAAAAACAGAAAAAAAAGTTAGCCAGGCATGGTGGCACATGCCTGTAGTCCTAGCTACTCAGAAGGCAGAAGTGATCACCTGAGCCCAGAGGTAGAGGCTGCAGTGAGCTGTGATCGTGCCACTGCACTCCAGCCAGGGTGAAAGAATGACACCCTGTCTCAAAAAAAAGAAAAAAAATTAGGGATGTCTGTTTCCTCAGCTACATAATGGTGATAGCAATACCTACCTCATGGGGTTGTTCTGAGAATTAAATAATTTAATACATGTAAAATGATAGTGTCTACCACATATTTAATACTATTATCCTGGCTCATTCCTCTCCCTTATTCCTCCACATCTAATCTCTATCTTATCCATTCCATCTCCTAAGTGTGTGTGTGTGTGTGTGTGTGTGTGTGTGTGTATTTTTTTTTTTTTTTTTTTGAGACAGAGTCTCACTCTGTAGCCCAAGCTGGAGTGCAATGGTGCAATCTTGGCTCGCTGCAACCTTCACCTCTGGGGCTCAAGCAATTCTCCTGCCTCAGCCTCCCAAGTAGCTGAGAGTAGAGGCGTGCACGACCACACCCAGTTAATTTTTTTGTATTTTTAGTAGAGATGGGTTTTCACCATGTTGCCTGGGTGGTCTCAAACTCCTGAGCTCAAGTGATCCACCCCCCTCACCCTCCCAAAGTGCTGGGATTACAGGCGTGAGCCACTGCCCCTGGCCTCCTAAGTATATTTCAAATCAGCCCTTTTTCCCTACCCTTATTGGCACCATTCTAGTTCAAACTGCCAGTAGCTTCCAAACTAATCTCCTTAAATCCACTCAGTAGATCTTTGCTTTTAAACAATGCAAATCAGATAACTGCTCTCTCTTCTTAACCATCTTGCTTCCCCTTCTCCCGGGGTTTCTCATTGCTTTGGAGATAATGTCCAAGATTCTCAACTTGGCTGGCCATGGTCGCTCAAGCCTGTAATTCCCGCACTTTGGGAGGCCCAGGCAGGAGGATCACTTGAGCTCAGGAGTTCAAGATCAGCCTGGGAAGCATTAACAAAAAAAAAAAAGAAAAGAAAAGAAAAATTAGGCCAGATGTGGTGGCTCACGCCTGTAATCCTGGCACTTTAGGAACCCAAGGTGGAAGGATCACTTGAGTCCACGAGTTCAAGACCAGCCAGAGCAACATGGGGAGACTCCATCTCTACCGGGAAAAAAAAAAAAAAAAAGCCAAGTGTAAGTGGCACATGCCTGTGGTCCCAGCTACTCAGGAGGCTGAAGCAGGAAAATCATCTGAGTCTGGGACATTGAGGCTACAGTGAGTTGTGATTACTCCATTGCACTCTAGCCTGGGCAACAGAGCTAGATCCTATCTCAAAAAAAAAACCTGTCTCAACCTGCCTTAAAATGCACTCCAAAATCTGCTTGCTGCCTTCCAACATCTCCCCACTTTGATTCCTCCCCTAACCCCCACTCTAGCCACACTGCCTTTCTTTCTTTAGTTCTTGGAAGGCCACTCACCTCCAGGCCCTCTAAATATGTTGAAGACTTTCTGCTGCGAAAACTGCCCTGACACCTCTGTCACATGCAGAAACGCTCCCTACGATCACCCCCTGCCCCCACCATGCATTCCCACAGCAACCTGTTAACTTGAAAGTATTTATTTAATGCTACATTCCCAGCTACAGTATAAGCTCCGGCACATGTACCATCTCTGTCTTGCTCTTCTATCACCAAAGCCTTATACAGACTGACAATATATACATACTCAATTATCTGTTGGATGAATTATTTGACCCCTGCCTACCAATCTCATATCTATTAAATACAACTCCCTACCACTCACATTCAACTGTAGTATTTTCAAATGCTCGATCCTTGATTTTTTTTTTTTAATGTCTTCCCTCCTTTTTATCTGTGTGGTCCTTGAGTCATGGGGGAAGTCTCTACTCCAATCCATACAGTATAACATTACTAATCATAAAAGAATAAACACAACAAGAAAGGAAGGAAACATGACAAAGGATGTTACAGAACATCAAAAGGCAGTAAGTACATTTCTTTGTGCCTGAATACAACTAGAAACCACCTGCACTGGACTAGTCAGCTGGAAAGAACAAATCCTCTGCCTTCAATTTCTAAAACTCAGTTGAGATTTACTTTAAGAGTTTCCATAATTTATATAAACTTTGAAGAGAAAAAAAAGTACAAATTAAAAGCTAAGGTCAGTACAATTTAACTGTGAGGCTGAATTTACAAATCATCTTGTTCTACCTACTTCACTGAAATACCAAATATAATAAAAGAAAAATCTGAAACCAAGTACCTCCTTTACAAAATGCACCTATTAAAATATATGTGTAAGTATTTATCATAAAATTAAGCCAACCTGTTGAACAACAAAAGGAAGCAAATTTTCTAAATTTGTTTTCCATTAACAATGTTAATATTGTTCACCTAATTTTAACAATCTATCAAAAAACATAAACACAACTTTTATGTAACTTGAAGTATTTAGTGAAAGAATCTAAATAGAAAATTTGCAGTTTGTAGCAACTGTCTAGGAATAGGGGGGTCATAAAGTAATACTGAAAAGAATTCATGAAATACCAAATTTTTAAAAATGTATTCATTTTGGGAGGCCAAGGCAGGCAGATCATGAGGTCAGGAGTTCGAGACCAACCTGACCAACATGGTAAAACGCCATCTCTACTAAAGATACAAAAATTAGCTGGGCGTGGTGACACGCACTTGTAATCCCAGCTACTCAGGAGGCTGAGGCAGGAGAATCACTTGAATCCGGGAGGCAGAGGTTGTAGTGAGCTGAGATCATGCCATTGCATTCCAGCCTGGGCGACAGAGTGAGACTCCATCTCAAAAAAAAAAAGGATTCGTAACTAGATACTCTATAAAATTTTGCATTTGGCAGAGTAACATTATTGCCAACTTTTTACCCAAAAAACATAATAAAAGATTACTTATGATTTCAGATCTTCACACTGGGCACTGAAAAAAGTACAAGTTCTAGGATATTTTTCAGAATGTTTTAATATTAAATGATTATAGTTCTTATCCATAAAGACAAATTTAGTTCACCCAAGGGGAAAGGACAACTCAGAATTCTTTCACTGGTCTTCCCCACAGCAAGGGTGTGATGTACAAAAAGTCAGTATCAGACCACCGGGGTTCTTACAGTGTGGCTGAGACTCATTCTGACCTCAATTAACACAAGGTGAGAAGAAAATACAGAATCACAATGGCCTAGAAAAACCAACAGACTCTTATTTATATTCTACTCTGAAACTCAGCTAAAACAGCAATTTCTAGACACAGGATAAAGATATTATGTTCTATTAAACTTGCCTTTGCAAGTGGGGAGGCAATTCTCTTCCTAGGTGGAGAGCTTTCAAACAACAACAACAACAAAAACAGAATTAACATCTGTGGAAAACTTACTATATATCAGAATCTGTGAGGCAAATTACAGATATTTTCAATTCAATGTGAATAGCAACTCAATAAATTAAAAAGCTATTTTTGACACACTTGCAGTCAACAAGCATATGAAAAATTGCTCAACATCACTAATCATTAGAGAAATGCAAATCAAAACTAAAATGAGATACCATCTCACACCAGTCAGAATGAATATTATTAAGAAGTCAAAAAATAACAGATGCTGGCAAGGTTGTGAAGAAAAGGGAACACTTATACTGCTGATGGGAGTATAAATTAGTTCACCCATTGTGAAAAGCAATGTGGCAATTCCTCAAAGAATTTAAAACAGAATTACCATTAGATCCAGCAATCCCATCACTGGGTAAATACCCAAAGGAATATAAATCATTCTACCACAAAGACACAAGCATATGTTCACTGCAGCACTATTCACAATAGGAAAGACATGAAATTCAACCTAAATGCCCATCAATGGTAGACTAAAGAAAATGTGATACATATACACCATGGAATACTATGCAGCCATAAAAAAGAACAAGACCATGTCCTTTGCAGCAACAGGCAACATGGATGAAGCTGGAGGGCCACTATCCTAAACAAACACAGAACAGAAAACCAAGTACTGCATGTTCTCACTTAAAAGTGGGAGCTAAAGAACGAGAACACATGGACACAAAGAGGCCAACCACAGACACTGGGGCCTACTTCAGGGTGGAGGGTGGGAGAAGGGAGAGGATCAGAAAAAATAAATGTCAGGCACTATGCTTATTACCTGGACGACAAAATATCTGTACACCAAACCCCTGTGACATATAGATTACCTATATAACAAACCAGCACATGTACCCCTGAACCTAAAATAAAGGTTTAAAAAAAAAAAACAGCTGATTCTTTTTTTTTTTTTTTTTTTGAGACAGGTTCTCACCACTGTCAGTGAGGCTGAAATGCAGTGGTGTGATCACAGCTCACTGTATCCTCGAAATCCTGGGCTCAAGCAATCCTCTGCTTCAGCCATCCAAGTAGCTAGGACTACAGGCACACACCAGGACGCTTGGCTAATTTCTACAGGCACATGCCACAGTTGGCTAATTTTTTTTTTTTTTTTTTTTTTTTTTCAGAGATGAGGTCTTACTATGTCACCCAGGCTGGTGTCAAACTCCTGCTCTAAAGCAATCCTCCTCCTGCCTTGGCCTCCCACGATATTGAGATTACAGGCATGAGCCACCGTACCTGGCATAAAAAGTTATTTTTGACTTCCTGAAAATGCTGCGCCTCTTGACTCCAGCAATAAATGAAGTCTTTACATTTCAAATCTGACTTTCCAAGGACTTAACCATCTCAATATAATGACAAATTTGCCCAGTTCATTAATACCAAAGTAGCAATGATGGGCAAAAGATCATTGGTACTTGTACTTATTGCTAAAAGATAATAGCTAGAATCCAAGGCTTTCAAAAACAGATTAACAACTTTCCCACTCCCTGGCATGGTCACATCCATTTAACATTATTTACTGGGTGCTCCACACTATAAGCACTATAGGCAAATAATCTTATTAAAAGGATCCAAATATTATAACCCTGAATGGAACAGTTGGATAAGACAACCCAGGTAATCATTTTCCATTGATTTGTCCTTACCCCTCAGTAACCTTTTTCCTGACACACCAGTAATAAATTCCTGTTGCTTTTGCTCAATGTTATCTTTGCCTCTTTCATACAATTTAACAGCTGGTTAGCCAAATGACCTAAAAACTGTACTATATATTGATTTCTTGCTCCAGCACTTATCCTCAGATGACATGAACACAGGTATACATATTGTCTATCACATACTCTGATACATATTTTTTACAGATGATAAGAGTACATCTTCTGTAAAAACAAAGTGAGACAAGTTTGGGAAGAAAATTCTTCCCAACAGAACACCTAAATCTCTCTCTACTCTCCTAAGTTTTCTCCACCCCTACTGCACAATCCCATACTTAAACAGCTTAACTGGTTTCCTCCAAATTGTACTCTCAACTTCCCCCCTTTATTTGAGACTCTGTCACCCAGACCGGAGTGCAGTACACGATCATGGTTCGTTCACTGCAGCCTGGACCTCCAGGGCTCAATCCACCCTCCTACCTCAGCCTCCCGAGTAACTGGGACTACCAGTACATGCCACCACGCCCAGCTAATTTTTTTGTATTTTTTGTAGAGACAGGGTTTCACCATGTTGCTCAGGCTGGTCTCAGACTCCTAAAGTGATCCACCTACCTCAGCCTCCAAAAGTGCTGGGATTACAGGTGTGAGCCACGATGCTGGCCTCAAGCCCCTTTTCTAAGCTCCCCTCTCCCAATTCATTATTCACCTCTCAACTGAAGCTTTTAAAAATGCACATCTGAAAAAAAAAAAGTGTACCTATCCCCCACTTAAAACCTTAGGACAAACACCAAAATTCCTAATTTGGATTACCAGGCCTTGCAAGATCTGGACCACGATTACTTGCACAGCCTTGTTTCATCTGCGCTTTTCCCCAGGCACTTTCTCTTCCAATACTACCAAGTCTCTCTGGGTTCCCACAATAGACCTTGCCTTCTCTGGCCCTAGTTCCTTCAACATGTTTCCTCTCTGAACTTCATTTTCCCCCTTAGGCTTTTCTTTTCCTAACTTTTACTTACCCTTCTAGTCTCTGCTTAAAGCTCACTTCTTCAGTGTGGCAGAGGCTGTTGCTTTGTATCAAAATCAATAGTTCACTTAGATTTATTTGGAATGACTACGGCAACAGAACAAAAGAAAAGTAAGTGCTTTGTGTTTAGTAAAAAGGTACTACATTTTAGTACCTGCACATAACAGTCTATAGGTCTATAAAGCTTAGAATTAAGAAAACTATACCTTGAGGAGTTTCCAGGATAAGAAAAAGTTAAAATTAACAAAGCAGAGATCAATATGAAACATAAACAATATGCCAGCAAAGGCTGAAGGAAAACGGGACTTAAGTAAGGCAACAGCAGTTTGGAGAATGGAAGATGGAGGAGGCTCTTTCAGAAGAATGAGATGACTTTTGCTATGCTAGTATGCCAAAGGATGTGGAAAAATAAAAAACCGTGTAGAGTAAGGAGATATATTTAACTGGAGCAGAAGACACTAGCAAAAAAGTACTGGAACTCTTACAGATAAAAGGGACCTTAAAGATTCTAAAACCCCCTAATTCCGAGATGAGAAAAAGGCGATCCAGGCCAGGCATGGTGGCTCACGCCTGTAATCTCAGCACTTTGGGAGGCCGAGGCAGGTGGATCACTTGAGGTCAGGAGTCTGAGACCAGCCTGGCCAACATGGCAAAACCCTATCTCTACTAAAAATACAAATATTAGCCAGGCATGGTGGTGCGTGCCTGTAGTGCCTGTAGTCCTAGCTACTTAGGAGGCAGAGGTATGAGAATCACTTGAACCCACCACTGCACTCCAGCCTGAACCCACCACGGCACTCCGACCTGGGCGACAGGGCGAGATCTTGTCTCAAATAAAAAAAAAAAAAAAAAAAAACAGATCCAAAAAGGCCAAACGAGTTTTACCCAGCGCTAATGAGTAGCAATGCTGGCAAAGGTCTTCTCATTCTTTTTCCTTAAGCACTCTGGGAAAGCACTGTACCAGGTACCCTTAAAGAATCTAAAAGAAATGTAAGTTTCCTTACCTTCAAAAAACTTAAAATGTTGCTGAAATGATATAACACATGAAAAAGAAAGAAAAATATGAAAACAGGATGTAAATTTTTCAAGTGCCAAATTATGCACTACAGGAATATATTAGGCATTTAGGAGCTGGGTTCCAACAACTAAAGGGAAGATCAGGAACAAAAACAAAAGGAACCAAAAGACAAACCAGTGATTGTTGAAGTGGTACTTAAAGGAAAATAATCTTGATGACTTGTGTTCAGAATGGCACAAAGGGAGAGGAAGGGAAGATAACGGGAGGAATAATAGTAAATTTTTTTTAAAAAGACCTAAAAAATACAGACTGCTGTTATACACTCATGCAGGTGGCAGATCAAGCAGCTCATGTTTGCAAAATTACTTCAAATTACAAGACCAGTTACAATATATAACTAACAAGCTGCACAAGTTCCAAGTGTAAGAACTTTACAAGGCCGGTATGACTCACTGATTTGTACCAACAAATCATTGATGGAGCTGTGCTTATAAAAACAAAAGCACAGAATGAAAGAAGTTTATTTTCCAAAGAATTGTGAACTTTGAGATTATCTCTTCTTTTTTTTTCTTTTAGAAGGAAGTTCTGGTTTGGTTTGAAGTCTCAAGTTACCAACGAACTTGCTCAAAAAACCACAAAACTACAGTGTCGAGAGATAAACTATTCATGAAGGTATCACCAGCAAAAGTTCTACTTGCCAACCAGAGCCAGTATATTTATAAGATCTCATTCACCATTTTATTCTAAGATACTTTACTGGCTTGGCTGCCTCCAGTTCCAACCGCAAGTACTTTACTAAAATATCTTTCAAGCCAGGAACAGTATCTTAAAGTCAATGCCACCCTTCATCATAACAGTATTATAACACAGAACCCTGAGATAATTACATGTAAAGATCCAAAATCACCAGCTGAATAATGAAAATTAGGTCAAATGATTTGTTAGATTTTAAAATGTTTTATAGAAAGCTTTAGGCTTCCATATGAAAAAAGCTAGTAATAGTTTGCATTCTCTATAATCTTACAAAAAAAAAAAAAAAACCCACAGACCAGAGATCAAAAATAGCTTTACACAAACAAAAGGAAAATTGTAGGTTTGCTGAGGGCATCAGCCACTTAATTTAACCCTATTTCATCAAGAGCGGGAAGCCACACTGCTGTTTTCACCAGTTACTAAGAAACAAGATAAAGGACAGATTGGGACAGAGAGTCTATAGCTGAAAGTATTATGTTGATGCAATTACTGAGAATTCCCAAAGTGTCACTAATAGACAAGAAAGAGCATCTAGGACTGCCTCTAAATGAGTCTACCTACAACAGAATCAGTGATTAAGTAAAGAAAAGACTTACTGGAGCTTGGGGGTTTTCCCCCCCTCTTCCCTACCCGCATCCTCCCATCCTGAACCCCCCTCCCCAAGTAGGAAAGAAAGCTCGCCCAGCATAAACACAGGCCATTGCTCACAGCTCGTCACCACAACAAACTGGAGGTTAGACCAACGCTCCTGGAGACGGAACTCCACGTCTTGGTTGCTAAGCACAAAAAGGGGACTCTTCCCCACAGACCTGTGAACAGTGTGGGCCTTACCAGAATTTTGGTTGTTTCTCCACCTTCCCCCTCCCTTTTGTTTTTTTAACGAAAGCTTTGAAAGTGGTGGCAGCAAAAGTTTCCCTTTGGGCCAGACCTCTAGATCTCCCTTGTACAGATATACATTAGGTGGGCTGGTCTCACGTAGTCTCCACCGTCATTACGAATTACAAGCCTAACGACTACAGAACATCAGCGGAGACGACAGAAAAGCTTCCACACCCACCCCACTGTCGTCCTCTCCAGGCACGGCTTCCTGGTCCCAAACAGCACAAATAACCCAAAACCATGGTGATAAGCGGAGCTGTGAAGTACACACGCACAAGCCACACACTGGGAACCTGCCACGACAGCCGGGGAAAAAACCGGCCGAGTGAGGAGACGCAAGGCGGTCCCCTGTCACTTAAGGACAACACGCCCAGGCGAGAAGTGGCAGGAGGCAGGGGGAGTTGCCCCGAAAACCAGCCCGGAGCCTCCCCACCTTCCTGGGAAGGCAATCCCCTCAGCGGCAGTGAGCGGCCGGGCCGCAAGACGCGGCGCCCGGTCCCAGGCAGGGGCCCTTTGAGGAAGGCGCCCCCGGCAGGCTGGGCGCTCCAGGAGAGCCGGCGGCCGGCCCGGCCCCGCCTCAGGGAGCTGAGGGGAAGTCGCTCCCCGCCGAGGACCCCTCCTGCCCGTCCCCACTCACCGCCGGTGTGTCTGGTTCTCAGCCGCGAGCTGGGGCTGCCGTGAGGAGGCGGCGGAGGAGACGAGATCTGGGGCCCCGCAGCCGGGTCATCATACCCCCCGCGCGAGCCGGCCCGGGCCCCGGCCCCCGCCCCCCGGAGCCGTCCCCGCGCCCGTCCCGCAGGGGGAGCCTCCTCAGCCTCCCTCCCGCTCCACCACCCAGCCCCTTCCCGCCGCCGCCGCCGCCGCCTCAGCCCCGCGCGCTCCCGCCTCGGCCTCCTGCTGCCGTCCGGGGCTACCGCCGGGCCCCTTGCTCCGCAGCCGCCGTTGTCGCCAGACCCGACGAACGGAATGCCGAGCGGCCGTCCCTCAACCCGGCCGGCCCCGCCTCGCCGGAACTATTCACCCGCCCCGCGCCATGACACCTACTGAGGCGGAAGTGCAGCTGAATGGACTCTCTAGGACGATCGCATAGTACTGATTGCAGTAGGAGTCGGTGGGCCTCGAGTAGGTGGGCCTCCGTAGGGAGCCAGCGTGGATCGAGTGCGGGGCCTGGACTTCCCGCCCCCTCCGCACTGCAGACTCTGCGGTGATTTAAAGGTGCCTGGCGGTGGTACGGGATCCAACTGTAAAATGTCATCCCAGCTAGTGTGACATCACCACAGTTTAGTGTGACACCCCCAGAGCTTGGGCAGTGTACGGGACGACAGTGCCTAGCAGAGGAGCTTCACTGCCGGTGAGGGATTACCTCAGGTTAGGCTTTAATGTTTCGTTGCCGTCTAGAGACGTTCTAGCAATGTGACATCTGTGTACCATATCTGGAAGTCTCCCTGTACGTCAAGAGCCCCTTAGGGGAGTCTCCCATTGCCGCCGTGGGAACCTGTGTTTACATTACGAGGAGAGAGAATAGCTGTACTCTGAACTCAAACGCTCAAAACATGCAGTGAGCGAATGCTAGCATAATTTTCTTGCCTCTACCAGAAGGAAGGCTGGGTATTTAGGAAACAGAACGCGTTGGGCACAACATTCTGAGAAAATGGACACAGAAAATTAGGTTATCCTAATAGAAAAGCAGTTGCATCTCCCAAAGTCAAGAGATTCTGTAGGACTTCCGATGTATCTCCTGCTGTGTAAAATATTCAGGTTCCTGAAGTGGGGGACATTTTTAGGGCAACTGTAATTTCTTCATTTTTTCCATCCCACAAGTGCTGGAGGCAGCAGTGATCTGAGCTCTAGAAAGTGACTGTCCGTCACCATCGGTATTTGCATATACTCTGTGAGGAGAAGGGCAGTTGTGGCTAAGACAAAATTCTACTATCAAGTTTTGTTTCTCAAATCTCACTCATTAACATCTTTGATTTCCTTGGATCCCCATAACACACACAGAAAACTATGATTTGTGTAAAATGCGCTGAAGTACCTTTTAAGGGAAGTCATTTGGCTTTCTCTCTGGCTTAACAACACGGGGAGCAGTTCCATTTTATCTGGAACAGGGAAGTTTATTTCCCTAGAGAACTAGGGTTACCAAAAATGTTCGATCCCACAAGGCAGTTTTGTTTGCATATTTTCACAGAAACTTCCTTCTACTACTTAAAGTCCTCACATTGGGCTGACCTGGGAAACATGAAGATAAAAAGAGTGGGTAAACATGCCTGCTTGATGAGCCAGAAAAAAAGGCAGAAACCTGTGGTCTGGGTAGAACAGATCCTGCTCAGAATGTAAGCTTCAAACATGTTTATCATGCCTTGGTTCAACCTAACTCTCTGACATGTTCCTAAACTCCTGCTCTCTCAAGTTATGTCCCTTTCCTCTTTTCAAATATCTCTCAGAATTCACCCTTTCGGGAACCTTTGCTGATTGACTCCTATTTTATTTGAATTCTGCATCATCATCTGATTACTTAAATTAACCTGTACCTTCTTTATTTATACTTGTTAACTTCTATTTTCATTGCTCTTAGGTCCTCAGTCTTTCTCACTATACGGAGAGCTTCTTAAAGTCTGTATTTTCTCCTCTTTAGTATCATTCACTCATTCATCCAGCAAACTGCTTGTGTGCCTGCTCTGTGCTATACACTCTTCTAGACACTGGGTCAGGTATGAATGAGACAGGTGAATAAAGCATGGTCTTTTCCCTCAGGGACCTTACAGTCTAATGAGGAAAAAACGTGTGCAGACATATATAAGATAAGTGAGAGAGTCGGAGAAGAACATCAGAAGTGATATTTGAGCATAGTAAGGTCAAAGAAGTTTCAAAGTTTAGTCATTTGTCCATTCAGTAACTATTTATAGAGCATCTTCTGTGTGCTAGGCACTATATAAGAAATTAAGGGGCTGGGTGTGGTGGCTCATGCCTGTAATCCCAGCACTTCGGGAGGCTGAGGCAGGTGAATCACCTGAGGTCAGGAGTTCGAGACCAGCCTGGCCAACATGGTGAAACCCCGTCTCTACTAAAAATACAAACATTAGCCAAGTGTAGTGGCGCATGCCTGTAATCCCAGCTACCCTGGAGGCTTAAGCAGAAGAACCGCTGGAACCCAGGAGAAGAAGGCTACCATGAGCCGAGATTGCACCATTGCACTCCAGCCTGGGCGACAGTGAGACTCTGTCTCAAAAAAAAAAAAAAGAAAGAAAGAAAGAAATAAAAAAAAAAGAAATTAAGGATACACAGAAGAAAAGGCATGGTCTGTGCCCTGAAGGAGCTTACAGTTAAGCAGAGAAGTTGCACGATTTGGAAGTAGTAAGGTAAATTGAGTCAGATTTTGAAAGGCAATGTAGAGCTGTTAGAAGTTTATTCGCACAGGTAGCCAGGCACAGTGGCTCATGCCTGTAATCCCAGCACTTTGGGAAGCCAAGGTGGCAGATCACTGGAGGTCAGGAGTTCAAGACCAGCCTGGCCAACACAGTGAAACCCCATCTCTACTACAAATACAAAAATTAGCCAGATATGGTGGCATATGCTTGTAATCCCAGCTACTCGGGAGGCTGAGGCAGGAGAATCGCTTGAATCCGGGAGGCAGAGGTTGCAGTGAGCCGAGATCGTGCCACTGCAGTCTAGGCTGGGCAAACAGAGCCAGACTCTGTCTCAAAAAAGAAGTTTATTCAGACAGGTAATGTGAGAGAGAACTAGTGATGGTGAAGGAAGAGGGCTAGCTGGAGTGGGTAAAGACTGGAGAAAGGGATCCTAATCAGAAAACTATGATGAGGGTTTGATTACACAGGAAAGAAGGCGAGAAGGGGCAGATATGTGAAATACATCCTCCTAAACCAAGTCAGAGCAACTGGAGAGGGAGGTGGAGCAGTTAGCAATCGGAAGCATTCAAGTTTCATTCAGGGTATGACATCCTTCTAGGGCCTACAGCCTAGATTCAGTGTTGCAGGCAAGAAGTCATTTGCCCAAGAGCGGCAGTGCTTAAGGCCAAATAGGAGAAGCTGATGAGAAGGCTGTGTCTTGAGAGAAGCTGAACCAAAAAGCTAGGCAAACTATTCAAACAAATAGTGAATCCTAGGGGCTAGGAAAAAAAAGAGAATTTAAATAGAAGCCAACAGGTTGTGAAACTGGGAAAACCAGATTAGAGTGAAGGTCTGCAGTAAACGATAAAAAGCAGAAAAGTCCCTTGAGCCAACAGGAGGAGAACCTCAATGATTTTTTAAAAATCCAGACCCCAGAATACTTTTTATTTGGAAATAATGTTAAACATACAGATATGTTGCAAGAGTGACAAAAAGAGGACCCAGATTATTAACATCTTGCCCCTTTTGCTTTATCATTTGCAGTTATAGATAGATAGAGTTATATTACACACATACATGCCTTTTTTTTTTTTTTTTTTTTTTTTTTTTTTAGACAGAGTCTCACTCTGTCACCTAGGCTGGAGTGCAGTGGCATGATCTCGGCTCACTGCAACCTCCACCTCCTGGGTTTAAGCGATTCTCCTGTCTCAGCCTCCCGAGTAGCTGGGATTACAGGTGCCCGCTGTCACACCTGACTAATTTTTTTGTATTTTAGTAGAGACGGGGTTTCACCGTGTTACCCAGGCTGGTCTTGAACTCCTGAACTCAGGCAATCCACCCACCTCAGCCTCCCAAAGTGCTAAGATTATAGGTGTGAGCCACCGTGCCCAGCCCACGTACATATTTTTTTTTCCAAGCAGTTAAAAGTAAATCGCATGCATCATCCTCCTTTACCACATAATACTTGAATATCCTAATAAGTACATTCTCTTATGTAAACAAAATACATACAATTAACAACTCCAGGAAATTTAACATTGCTGTAATACTTTACCATCCATGTTCCAAATGTTGTCAGTTGATCAAATAACATCATTCTTAGCATTTTTTTTATTTTCCAGCACAAGATCCAGTTTAGGATCATATATTACATTTAATTGTCATGTCTCTTTAGTGTTCTTTAATCTGGCACAGTTCCTCAGCTTTTCTTTGTCTTTAATATTTTTGAAGAATACAGGACTTTTTCTGGTAAGGGGTAATAAAATGTTCTTCATGGCTGGGCGTGGTGGCTCACGCCTGTAATCCCAGCACTTTGGGAGGCCAAGGTGGGTAGATTGCAAGGTCAGGAGCTCAAGACCAGCCTGGCCAAGATGGTGAAACCCCATCTCTACTAAAAATACAAAAATTAGCCAGGCGCGGTGGCAGGTGCCTGTAATCCCAGCTACTTGGGAGGCTGAGGCAGAGAATTGCTTGAACCCGGGAGGCGGAGGTTTCAGTGAGCCAAGATCATGCCACTGCACTCCAGCCTGGGCAACAGAGCAAGACTCTGTCCCCCCGACCAAAAAAAAAAGATCTGAGCATTAGGCCCACAGTGATTTATTACTGAATGCTTGTATGTGAATATCAGCCCTTCAGCCTCCCTGCTCATCCCTTTCCTCAGGTTGCAAGCCTTAGGTATTACCAAGATTTTTCTCTTAAGACTCCTTTTGAGTATCCTTAGCAGAGAAAGCTTGCATAGGGAAATTT
This sequence comes from Homo sapiens, assembly GCF_000001405.40. NCBI lineage: Eukaryota > Metazoa > Chordata > Mammalia > Primates > Hominidae > Homo > Homo sapiens. The sequence continues at coordinate 113,924,982 of NC_000001.11, read as the reverse complement.
GGCAGACACTGTCCGTTGCCTATTCAAATGAATAGTTAGGTTTAGCTAACTTGTGTAGCAAACAATCCCCATACCTCAGGGGCTTATGGAAAGGTCACTGCTAGCTGGTCCATGATGGCATGTGCTTATAGTCCCAGCTTCTCAGGAGGCTGAGGCAGGAGGATTGCTTGAGCCCAGGAGTTCAAATCCAGCCTGGGCAACATATTGAGACCCCCATCTCTAAGGTAGATAGATTAGATACATGGATGGATGGATGGATGGATAGATAGATAGATAGATAGATAGATAGATAGATAGATAGATAGATATTACTGATATTGGTGAGAGCCACTACTCCCATCTCTGAGAGAGGGAGAGAGAGAGAGAGAGAGAGAGAGAGAGATAGTATTTGATCTTCGAGAGAGCGGTTTTAGTGGCATAGTTTGGGCAGAAGCTGTGTGGTTCCTATATAGGATTACTCATAGTATGAGTGGTGACTGACAATCTGGGAAGAATGGCCTGGTCCAGCTGAATGGTAGAATCTATTCTGGTCAATACCCATATTCAGCTCTCAATATCCAAGGAATCTGCTTGGGTCCACATCAGCTACATCTGAGAAGTTATGAAATGAATCATTTTGACTACATTCTCTATCACTTCTCTTCTCACAGGTATAAACCAGGAAAAGTTGTTCTGGCCCCTCATCTGGTTTCATGAAGGACAATATCTAGCATGAGAGTGACAGGGGTTAGAATAATGGACATTTTGGGGACTGGGTCCTAGCAGAAATGATGGAATAATGGAACAGGAGTTTGGATGAATGGGCATATTATGGGATTAAAGAAGATTTGAATACAAGCTTTCCTAATAAATGAAAGGGGAGGTGAAACTAGAGCATGCTGATGGCTGCACAGCATTGTGAATGCACTAAATGCACTAACTGTCCACTTTAAAATGTTTAGTAATATGTCGATTTTACCTAAATAAAAAAAAGGAAGCAACATAGTGAGTCATCGTCTCTATAACAATTTTATTCAGATGTCTTGGAGGATAAACCTTTCTTTTTTTAATTAGCCAGGCGTGGTGGCACACACCTGTAGTCCCAGCTATTCAGGAGGGTAAGGTGGGAGGATTGCTTGACCACTAGAAGTTGAGGCTGCAGTGAGCTATGATCTTGTCACTACACTCCAGCCTGGGCAACAAAGCAAGACCCTGTCTCAAAAAAAAAAAAAAAGTGGGGTGGCAGGGAGGGAGGTTTTCAGGATTTAGAGACAAGGCACAATTACCCTTAATTTTCAAGGGTCAACCCAGAGACTATTGTGGGGAAAGAACAAATGCCTTGACTCCTTATATAACCCATGTTTATGACTCCTCAGACCCTCCTTCCTCCATAATCATTTCTAATGTCACCCTTTTCTACACATAATGATCTTACTCTTTCTCACTTTTCTCATATACCAACTGTTTATGTAGCAAAAGCAAGGAATAGTGCTTTTTCTCCCTTTCCTTGGGTCAGCATTTCTCATTATTATGCTTCCTCTGTTATGTAGTTTCTAACCTTTTCTTTTTTTAAAAAATCATCCTCCCCACTCTAAGATTCTCACCTTTTCTTTGACCAACTGTTACACAGAATTTAGCATCTGCATTCCATATGTCTTTCCCTATCATCAATTTCAAGCAATATCTAAAACCAAAATAAATGGTTTGGGAAGGCACACAGAGACCCACATGAAAAGGGCAATGGAGCAGAACAGGAACTTGAAATTTAATAATTGAATATTATTTGTGCTAAGTCATTTTGTACTTCCCACAAACTCAGAAATCAAAAAGCCCCAATGAAGTGTCCCCTGCCCAGCACAATTCCTTACACATGGTTGGTGCTATAACTGTTTTCATGAGTAAATTACTGAGCGCTTATTCGCAGTGCTCAAAGCATCAGGATCAGTTAACTATAGAATAGGGGTTAAGAAACTTCAAAAGGACTGGGTACAATGGCTCCTACTTGTAATCCCAGCATTTTCGGAGGCTGAGGCAGGAGGATCGCTTGAGTCCAGGAGCTGAAGGACCAGTGTGGGCAACATAGTGAGACCTCATCTTTACAAGAAAAAATTAAAAATTAGCCAGGTGTGGTGGTGTGCACCTGCGGTCCCAGCTACTTGAGAGGGAGGCTGAGGTTGGAGGATTGCTTCAGCACAAGAGACTGAGACTTGTGCCACTGTACTCCAGCCTGAGTGACAGAGCCAGATCCTGTCTCAAAACAAACAAAAAAAAAAAGAGAGAGAGAGAGAAGAAGGGAGGGAGGAAGGATGTCAGGGAGGGAAGGAGACTTCATATTGTTCACGCCTGTAATTCCAGAACTTCAGGACTGGGAGGCCGAGGTAGGAGGATTGCTTGAAGACAGGAGTTGAAGACCAGCCTGAGCATCATAACAAGACCTCATCTCTATTTAAAAAAGAAGAAACCTCAAAATAACAATTATCGTCATTGACTGTGAATTTAATTTTTTTATTATTACTTTTGTAAACTCACTTTGATGAAACCTGTAAGCAGTCAACAGGTGGTTCTTTTCACTCAGGGTAGGATAGGGGAATGTGCTCTATGCAAACCCTAGAGGGTAAATTCGCTGATGTGAAATAGGCTTTTACCTGACCAACCTCACTGCTCCTAGGATATCCAGTATAGAAAAATAGGAGCTTCAGAGCCTGACATCCATAGGAATCCTGACTCTGGTAGGGATTAGGGTATGATGGTGGGCATCTTAACGAGAATCACTTTCCTCATACTGAAAATGAAGATGATAATACCTTTTCCTTACCTCCCTCATTCCATCCATCAGAAAATGTCTTCAGTGTTACTTCCAAAAGATACCCTGGCTGGGCGCGGTGGCTCAAGCCTGTAATCCCAGCACTTTGGGAGGCCTGAGGTCTTTTTTTTTTTGAGACAGAGTCTCACTCTGTTGCCCAGGCTGGAGTGCAGTGGCATGATCTCGGCTCACCACAATCTCCACCCCCCGGGTTCAAGCGATTCTCCTGCCTCAGCCTCCTGAGTAGCTTCCGAGTAGCTTCTGAGTAGCTTCCGAGTAGCCCGGCTAATTTTTGTATGTTTAGTAGAGACGGGGTTTCACCATCTTGGCCAAGCTGGTCTTGAACTCCTGACCTCATGATTCACTTGCCTCAGCCTCCCAAAGTGCTGGGGTTACAGGCATGAGCCACCATGCCCGGCCCTATAATAATCTTAATAATTTAAAAATAAAACGTAAGGGCGGGGCGCGATTGCTCACACCTATAATCCCAGCACTTTGGGAAGCCGAGGCAGGCAGATCACTTGAGGTCGGGAGTTCGAGACCAGCCTGACCAACGTGGAGAAACCCCGTCTCTACTAAAAATACAAAATTAGCCAGGCATGGTGGCGCATGCCTGTAATCCCAGCTGCTCGGGAGGCTGAGGCAGGAGAATCGCTTGACCCAGGAGACGGAGGTTGCGGTGAGCTGAGATCGTGCCATTGCTCTCCAGCCTGGGCAATAAGAGTGAAACTCCATCTCAAAAAATAATAATAATAAATAAAAATTAAAATTAAAAAGCATTGGGTGCGGTGGTTCACGCCTGTAATCCCAGCACTTTGGGAGGCTGAGGCAGGCGGATCACTTAAGTTCAGGAGTTTGAGACCACCCTGGCCAACGTGGTGAAACCCCATGTCTACTAAAAATACAAAAATTTGCTGAGCATGGTGGTTCATGCCTGTAGTCCCAGCTGCTCGGGAGGCTAAGGCAGGAGAATCACTTGAACGTGAGAGGCAGATGTTGCAGTGAGCTGAGGTCATGCCACTGTACTCCAGCCTGGGCGACAGAGTGAGAGAGACTCCGTCTCAAAAAATAAATAAATAAATATAAATAAATAAAAAGTAAATACTCTCTGATTAATGAAGTTTTTTTATTGAAGATTCTTAGTGTCTCAGGAAATGTAAACTCTAACCCTAAGACTTGTGTTGACTCCAAAGCAAGTAAAACATGCTATTTCTTTTAAGAAGATAGTTATAAAACATGCCTATTATAGGAAATAATGTTAAATTCATAAAATATTCCAATTATTTACTTATAAACTGGCTTACTCATTTCTTCCTGTTTTCTCATTCCCCACAAATATGTGTATTTATATACTATTTGTGTGTATACATATGGTTACAGATGCGCTTTTTCTTTGTGAAAGCTTTGGTGGAGGAAAAGATATTCTTTTTCGCTGTAGCTGCTTGTAATAAAAAGGTACTCTAAAAGATTCCTGTCTAGACACAGTGTAAATCCGGCCAGGTGTGGTGACTCATGCCTGTAATCCCAGGACTTTGGGAGGCCCAGGCGAGAGGATCATGAGGCCAGGAGTTCAAGACCAGCCTGGGCAACATAGTGAGACCACATCTCTACTTAAAAAAAAAAAATCAAATAGAATGTAAATCACCTTTCCCCAGCTCAGCTCACCAATATCTCTTATTGCTGTAAGAGCATCCTAAATGGTATCCTGTTTTCATTTTTGCCCCATTCTCTGTTGTTTTCAAAAATATTTAACAGATCATATCACTCCCCTAATTTAAAGCACTCCAATAGCTTATAAATACACTTACAATCAAATTTAAACTTCTTACTTTAAACTATTAAGTCACTTCTGATCCAACACCTGCCTCCCTCTCTGTGACCTCATCTCCTCTTCTTCTCCTTCTGACACACACTTCTTTGTTTATGTGTATATATTTCTTTTTTTCTTTATTTTTATTTTTGGAGACAGAGTCTCTCTCTGTCACCCAGGCTGGAGTGCAGTGGCACAAGCTCGGCTCACTGAAACCTCCACCTCCTAGGTTCAATTCTCCTGCCTCAGCCTCCCAAGTAGCTGGGATGACAGGCACGCACCACCACGCCCAGCTAATTTCTTGTACTTTTAGTAGAGACAGGGTTTCATCACGTTGACCAGGCTGGTCTCGAACTCCTGACCTCAGGTGATCTGCCCACCTTGGCTTCCAAAGTGCTGGGATTACAAGCATGAGCCACCGTGCCTGGCCCGTGTGTGTGTGTGTGTGTGTGTGTGTGTGTGTGTGTGTGTGAGAAATATATATATTTCAACTTTTAATTTTAGATTCAGGAGGTACACATAACAGGTTTGTTTCATAGGTATATTGCATAATACTGAGGTTTTGGGTATGATTGATTCCCATCACCCAGGTAGTAAGCATAGTACCTAATAGTTTTTCAACCCTTGTCCCCCACCCAGTTGTCCCCAGTGGCTCTTATTGCTATCTTTCTGTCTGTGACCACCCAATGTCTAGCTTCCACTTACAAATAAAAGCATGCAGTATTTGATTTTCTGTTGCCGTGTTAATTTGCTTAGGATAATGGCCTCCAGCTGCATCATTGTTGCTGCAAAGGACATGATTTCTTTCTTTGTGTGGCTGCATAGTATTCCCTGGCATATATGTACCACATATTCTTTATCCAATCCACTGGGTTATTTTATTTTTTTATTTTACACATCACAAGTTACCATTAACCAATCCACTGTTGATGGGCACCTAGGTTGCTTCCATGTCTTTGCTATTGTGAATAGTGCTGGGATGGACAGATGAGTGCAGGTGTGTTTTTAGTAGGATGATTTATTTTCCTTTGAATATATGCCCAGAATGGGATTGCTGGGTCAAATAGTAGTTCTCTTTTCCACAGTGGATGAACTAATTTACATTCCCACCAACAGTGTATAAGCGTTCCCTTTTCTCTGCAGCCTCACCAGCGTCTGTTGTTTTTTGACTTTTTTTTTTTTTTGAGACGGAGTCTTGCTCTGTTGTCCAGGCTGGAGTGCAGTGTGGCCCGATCTCAGCTCACTGCAACCTCTGCCTCCCGGATTCAAGCAATTCTCCTGCCTCACCCTCCCGAGTAGCTGGGACTACAGGTGCCCGCCGCCATGCCTGGCTATTTTTTGTATTTTTAGTAGAGACAGGGTTTCACTATTTTGGCCAGGCTGGTCTCGAACTCCTAACCTCGTGATCCTTCTGCCTTGGGCTCCCAAAGTGCTGGGATCACAGGTGTGAGCCACTGCACCTGACCATTTTGACTTCTTAATAATAGCCATTCTGACAGGTGTGAGATGGTACCACATTGTGGTTTTGATTTGCATTTCTCTACACTCACTTCTTCATGTTCCTTAGGCACAAAGCTCATTCCCATCCTATCCCAGGGGCTGATTCTGCCTGAACCCTCTACCTATTCCCTACTCTCGGCAACACAGTGAGACCTCGTCTCTACAAAAACAATTTTTAAATTAGACCTCCCCACCAGGTCTTCACCTGGCTGGCTCATCACTCAGGTCTCATTTTGTTGTCAGTCCCACAGATGCACTTGAGCAAATAAGCCAGGAGAAAAAGTTTAAAATTGAGGCTTCAGATGTAGTACAATTTCTGGTAATGACAGGGTGGTGAGGTAGAGGGAGAATAAGGTCTTTGAAGATGAGGTCAAGGAAGCTGAATGGCCAGGGTATTGAAATCATCCAGAATGATGACAGGGTTGTGAAGGAGGAGAAGGCTGTGAGTCAATGACTCAAGTCTTGATAAGTGAGGATGGGAAGGAGGGGATGGTATAGCTAGATAGTATGCACTTCATGGTAGGAGAGATGGTCACAGGAAGAAATGGCAATAATGGTTAGGAGGCAGCAAGGAGAATAAGGAGAACATCAATGTCACCTTCTTACCTTGAGGTGGGGGGAGAGAAAAAGAGCCTCTATGTGAGAAGCTGGCTGGAAAGCAGTGTGCTCAGAGGAGAGCCAGTCTTCAATTTAGGCAAGGAGGGTGATGGATACTTTCAGAAAAGATGCTGAGGACATAGAGGAATTTGCTGATCACAGAGCAGGAGACTTGAGAGCCTAGTGAAAGAGGGGAGGGAAGGCTGAGAATCCGGCCTTAAAGACTTGAACTCCTGACAGTGACTGCGGTTTAAACAGGGTATGGGGGATTCATTCTGCCACCTTTAGGGTGAGGCTGGGTGACCAGACCTGTTCTTATGGTCCAGGGAAGTTGCCCCAGGGTGTTGCAGCTTGGTATCCTTGATGCTCAAAGGTGTCTTCCTAAGGCTTCATATGTTGTAAGAGTTTGAGTCATAAAGCTTTGTCATAACCACTGATGTACATGGGAGAGGAGGTGAATCAAGGACTTAAAGAGATGAGAAGCAGCTTTGAAAATACCAGAGGCTGAAATCTGTAGTGATACCAGTTGTATGGTTCTTTTCTCCAGTGGCTCTGCCTTCCTTCTGTAGGAGTTGAAAAGGAGAATTCCAGGACTGATCCAAGGTTGTTGGTTTATACAGCTGGTGTGGCAGAAGAATCTAGAACCAGACCAAGCATAGTGTCTGGCCCTTAGTTTACCCACAATGTTTTGAAATGCACAGCCCAGACTGCTCTGCTCTGCACACCTCTTTGGATTCTCTGAGCCTCTGATTAACTACTTATTCTTCTGAGGTGTTTTGGCTTTGCCTTAGGATTTTACAGTTAAATTTACTCAGCACAGCATCTGAAGCTTATCATGATTTCACCCTACTCTTTTTCCATCTGTACAAATGCATCCTTGGATGCTTCAGGTAACTGCCCTTTTGGTTAGACTTGACTCCAGGAACCTCTCCCCCAGGAAGTACCTTCATCAGCCAATCTCTCAGATTTTTCTGGGCCTGAAAGATAGGATTAGCCAATGGCACTATCCAGGGCATGCACTGGACATGTCAGTCACTCCTCTGTAAACAGGATTTAAGGTATGTCAGGGAGTTTGAGGCCAAACATTTTTTTTTTCTGCGATAGGGTCTTGCTGTGTTGCCCATGCCGGAGTGCAGTGGTGTGATCTCGGCTCACTGCAACCTGCCTCCCTGGTTCAAGCAATTCTCCTGCCTTAGCCTCCCAAGTAGCTGGGACGACAGGCACATGCCACCACTCCCGGCTAACTTTTGTATTTTTAGTAGAGATGGGGTTTCACTATATTGGCCATGCTGGTCTTGAACTCCTGACCTCAGGTGATCTGCCCACCTTGGCCTCCCAAAGTGCTGGGATTACAGGCATGAGCCACTGCACCCAGCCAAAGGCAAAAACTTTTTCTTTTCTTTCTTTTTTTTTTTTTTAATGTATTGGATACTCTTATGAAGTGCTTTAGTTGCTTTATTCTATTTCATTCTCCTCCAAACCCTATGAGGTAGGCATTATTATTCCCACTCTACAAAAAGGAACTTTAAGCTGGAAAGCTGAGTAGCTTGCTAGAGATTATATACACAGCTAGTAAGTCACAGGATCACGATTCCAACCCAAGACATCTAACTTGAAAATCCATCTTTTCCACTATGGCCTACTATTGTGTGCACTGGGAGAATCCTGGGAGATAAGGCTGGAAGGATAGGTTGGGCCTTGTATCATGTGGACCTAAAATGTTCTGAATAGTTTGGGTTCTTGAATGTGTATGAGCAGAGAAAATGTTCTTAGTAAGAGGTGATTGAAGGATTTTTATCCCACCATTGAGAGGGAAATTAGAAAGCAGATGGTATGAGCCTGGAAGATGGGTGGGAATTTGAAGAAATTCAGCTGATCAAAGCTTTCCTTTCCTCCTGAAGACATGTTTTCTCCAAACTTTGTATCCCTGACTCCCTAAACAGCAGGCATCTGCTCTTGCTCTGGTGCTTTGTCTCCACAAAGCCTAATTAGTAGGGTGAGTGAGCTTAACCCAATTTCCTTCGCTCCTCAAAAACACACATTTCAATGAGCACATTGAGGATGGAGTAGCACAGGGGACCAATTTTTCATCCCACACTCTCCAAAGTTGTTATAAATTAACCAGAGGAGACAGGACTGGTAAGATAGCCATAATACAATAGTGTAAATAATGTAAGACACAGGCGAACCCAAGGCTAGCCAGAAATTTTGTGTGATTGAAAGATGATTCAATAAGCTATTTATCCAGAAGAACCAAGCCCAGAATCCTGGGAGCTTTTTGTGATCCAGTAGGTCAAGGCTATGTTCAAAGAAGACAAAGTTACCCAGGAATGAGACAGTCAAGATGGAAGGGTAGAGCTAAATGAAGGGTAGGCATTGTGGTCAAGATAAAGACAAGCTTAACCATTCTGAGAATCCCTCACAGGCAGCTGTTAGACTCAGATGTTTATAAGGGAGAGCAGCATCATTCTGTTCAGGTATAGGTGGGATCCCCTGGGGAAGAGAAAAGGGAAAGCACCATGAGTCTAAGACAAAACAGCTTGTGGTGGTTGGTGGTGGCTGAGGAGCATGAGGGGTGGGAGGCAGCTAATACACTGACAGGTGCTCACTGATGGTAACATCGAAAATATATGCACATGGGCTGGGCTGGGCACGGTGGCTCACACCTGTGATCCCTGCACTTTGGGAGGCCTAGGTGGGCGGATCACCTGAGGTCAGGAGTTCGAGACCAGCCTGGCCAACATGGTGAAACCCCATCTCTACTAAAAATACAAAAATTAGCCAGGTGTGGCAGTGCACGCCTGTAATCGCAGCTACTTGGGAGGCTGAGGCAAGAGAATTGAACCCAGGAGGCAGAGGTTGTGGTGAGCCAAGACAGTGCCATTGCATCCAGCCTGGGCAACAGAGTGAGACTCCTCAAAAAAAAAAAAAAAAAAAAAGAAAGGAAGAAAGAAAAAGAAAAGAGAAGAACAAGTGGAGTCACTCATCTGTTTCCTACCACAAAGGGCAATCTGGGTCAAGAGTAAGAGATGGCCTCCCAACACCAGCCAGGCAGATTTTTTTTCTGTAAGGGGACTTAAGCCATTGTCAGTCACCTTGTGGAAAAGTACAAGTTCTCCCACAGATCATCCATTAAATAACTAATGGATCTCTAGGGAACCTCCTTTTTCCCAGCACCTTCAAGCCTAATTGCAATATCTTCATACATCTATAGGATCATCTTTAGATTCTAAAAATAATTTAAATTGGCTATGTAAAGTATATGCAATGCAGCATTTTTATATGAGGGACTATTGGAAAATCAAACAACTGCTAATCTCTAGTATAAGAAGGCAGACATTTTTTCTTTTAGAATAGTATGGAATTTTCCCATTATGAAAACACAAACATGGCTGGGCACACGGGCTCATGCCTGTAATCCCAGCACTTTGGGAGGCCAAGGTAGGGGGGATCACTTGAGGCCAGGAGTTCAACACCAAGACCAGCCTGGGCAACATAGTGAAACTTCATCTCTACAAAAAAAAAAAAAAAAAAAAATTAGTTGGGCATGGTGGTGCATGCCTATAGTCCCAGGTACTCAAGAGGCTCAGGTGGGAGAATCTCTTGAGCCTGGGAGGTCGAGGCTGCAGTGAGTTATGGCTGTGCCACTGCACTCCAGCCTGAGTGACAGAGCTAAAACCTGTCTCCAAAAAAAAGCCAAACAAACAAATGCAAACATGCTACCAACAACTAAATTCCTCAAAGTCTTTTGCTTCCCCTCCCCTATCTGAATGCATATAGAACCCACTTGAAGGAACAGGTGTGACACAGCATGTGCCAAGAGTAGACGGGCTCCCTTGTTGCTAGAAGATAACGCCAATATGGGAACCCCTGTACTGAGAACTACCTTATCTCTCCCAGCCACCTTCGGCCGCCTAGAAGTCAGACAGCTAGAGGATGCTAGAGGAAGTCCAGCTAAATTTGCCCACACAGTTTAGTAGCTATTTATTAAGTTAACACATGAGATGATTTTCCATGTGTTAACATGTACCGTTCTTGTGATCTCATTTAAACTAATGAGTCTTCAAGGTATTTTAATGCTATCCTGTCTGCAGAAAAGATGGTCAGGAAACCTTTCTGGAGGGCAATTCAGCACAATTGGTATCAAGAACTTAAAACTATAATCTAACTCCAGTAATTTACTTTAAGGAAATAAAAATGCAAAATATATGCATAAGGTTGTTCATTGTAATATATGTAATTAGAAAAACAGTACACAAAATGTTGAATATGGGAATGGCTTAGTTAAGGTATACTCACATGATAGGGTATTATACAAATATTAAAAATGGCATTTTTGAACAATATCTAATAAGTGAAATGCTTAAGATATCAAGAAATTAAAATGTAGGCTATAAAATTCTATACAATATTACCTCAACTTTGAAAAACATTTACATATTTAATACATCTACATGCATAGAAAAAAAAACTAAAAGATAGCAAATCAATTAATCTACGAGGAATTAAAATTTTTTGTTTTTTTGACTTTCAAAGTTTCTTATGTTATATACAGATTAATTTCTTTCAAGAACCAGAAGCTAAAGAGAACCAAAATCTGAAAGACCCATCCTGTGGCAGTCACTGAGCTAGGAGAATTTTACCAATTATTCAATCTCCATAGTAATCATGAGAGGTAGGAATCTCAAGTCCATCTTACAGATGAGGAACTAGGCTCCACAATTTAAGTAATTGCTCAGGGTGCCACAGATTCGAGCCTAGGCAGTCCCCATGTTTCCTGCTGCACCAAATGCCTCACCTGCTGTGGCTCCTAATAGGACGTTGGGAGACTTACAACAAAGGTCATTGACAAAACAGAGCTGTGTATAGCTTTCCCAAGAGCAATTGCTTTCTAAACTCTCTATTTCTCTCTCAAAGCAGAAAACTCTTTTAAATCCCCTGGACAAGAAATGGAATCTTCTTCACTGCTAGGGCTCGAGGTTCCATCCCAAAGCAGTTTTGATCCAGACGCCCAGCTCCACAAGTCTGTGCCCTCTCAGAGCCTACTCCCTCATAGCCGTGGTATCAGCTATCCTGCTTACTAGTTTGGCATTTTGTCAGGTTATGAGCAGAAGGACAGGGCAGACTGCACACCCCCACCCCTTCCCGCCAGCTGGCTCCTTGGTCTCTTCCTTGGATACTAAAACAAACAGGCTGTGTGCACTGGCTCCCTACATAATCCAAGGGGTGAGGGGAGCAACAAATATCCCAGCTATGTGAACAATTGGAGGAATATCTGACAACACATTTGATATTTTGTAACTGTTTCAGCCAAATAGGGTCTCCAGGCTGGGGAGTCCCTTCACACCCAAAGCCTTGTTGTTCAGCTGGGCTCTAGGTACTGCCTTGGAGAGAGCTGCCCAACCCCCCAGCTGGCTCTGTTCCACATGGATCCCAGTGATACTGGGATACTGCACATCCTCATGAAGGACATAGAGGTAGAATTTTCACTACTGTTCCAAGACCTCTTCATCGCTTCCTGTTCCCTCCCAGAGGCAGAGACAGGAAAATTATTTGGATGGTCACAGCAAGTCAGTGACGTTCAGGATTGAAGCATGCAGCGCCATAGTTCATAATTTTAAAAATAGAACTCCCTAGGGATTTTGATCTGAGAAGAGGGAGAAGGGGACATGGAGAATGGCTCATGACACCACAAAACAGCAACAGCAATAACCTGGTCCTTTTTGATTCAGACTCTTTACCTCTTTCTGTACCCACATAAGATGATTGCATGTTCACAAAAGTTTGAGAAATACTGGGTTAAACAAGGTTAAACAGATTAAGTTACTGTAGGACTTCAAAGAACTTTTAATTTGCTCACGCATACTCCAAAGATTTTATAAAAAAAGTATTTCTTAAACTTAGTTATAAAAAGAAGGATTCCATAGGCACGAGGACCCCAGTGAACAAGTTTTGGGAAGTGCTGCTCCACGGTGGGCCCATAAGAGTCTTGTAAAGATAGAAAAGTAGGCCCCAAAAACAAACTCTTTCCCACCAGCCATCAGTTACTATCTTCAAAACTGCAGTGTGGGCTCAATGTTGTCATTCTGTACTCTCCTGTCTTCAGCAGGGTTTATGGTATTTTTCCACTTGCTGGTCAAATCTCCTGGAAGAATACCCTGCCTGGAAAAAGTTCACTGGAGTCAGAAGATATTTGAGTGCTAGACCCCTGAATTCAGTAGCTAGAAGAGGGGTGCCCTTGCTGCTGTGGGACAGGGGAGAACCATGGCCCATCCAGGCACTCTGATTCCCTGTGGCTTCTGGACCTCCATCATCATCTCCCATGGGTACCAAGGGGGACCCTAAACCAATTTCCTCCCTGGTTTTTTGAGAAATAAACTCCTCATCTGTAGACCTTAAGTGCACTGAAAATCCCAGTGGGGCCGTCAACATAGTCACCCTCTTTTGAGACTCACAGAAAGGCACTGCCTTGTTCCATTCTTTGCTATAGAGATCTGGGAACAACTGCTTCTTGATCCGCAAAGGATGGTGGGAAGGCTGCTTTTCAAGGTCCGCAGGCCAGGGAGAAAGTTTCTCTTTCTTGGCCTTCTTTGAGTCTCTGTCAGCTTGAGATTGATCAGCACTTTCCTCAGGGGATTCAAACACAACACCTTGGGTTCTCGGCCTCTTTAGCCTCCTTTCTAACAGCCAGAGAAGGCTTGGTTTTCTAGAGGAAGAACTCATGTATTGCTGTACAGAGTCCGGAATCAGGGGCACGGAGATCCTGGGGCTCAGACTGTCCTGAAAGCCTCCACAGGGCCGCCGACTTACAATGGGCACCACCTGGCAAGGCTTCAGTGCTGCGACAAAGGCACGAAGCTCGGAGTAAGAGGAATGGTCAGAGTAAGGGATGACGTGGATATCAGGGTGGGAGCTGTGGATTTTTCGGCTTGTGGGAAGGATAGCAATCGTAGGGTGGGTCTGGTTCCAACGCAGCATGTTGGAATGGCAGATCTCCATATGGTCTACTGCATGGATGCGGCCAGCCTTCTCCTCCACTGTGAACACATCTGCCAGGCCCAGTAGCTGTACCAACTCCAGGCGCCGAGGACTCAATACCACCCAGGTCTGAAACTCCAGGGCCAGCTGCTCCAGCAGTGATTCCTTTCCCAGGCTGTAGAGTCCTAAATAATGTTCAATGTATTGGGGAAAGTAAGAGAAGGAAGAAAATTAAGCTATTGGAAAATCCTAATAAATCAACAAAATGTTTAACAAAAATAGATACAATTCATGGAGAAATCCAGGGAGAATATCAAGGAAGAGGTGGCATTTGAGCTAAGACATATGAAAGGGAATGACACAGAATCCACTCATTCATTTAGTTCAACAAAAGAGAGCATCTAGCAAGTTTCAGGCACCATGAAAACTAATAAAGAAAACTGTCAGTCCTCAAGAAGTACTATCTACAAGGAGACCCAGAAAAACCACAATTAAGAGCAACGTTAAAGATATGTGTACAGGCCGGGCACTGTGGCTCACACCTGTAAGCCTACAATTTTAGGAGGCTGAGGCAGGAGGATTGCTTGAGCCCAGGAGTTCAAGACCAACCTGGGCAACCTGGCAAGACCCTGTCTCTACAAAAATAAACAAATAAGCATGTTGGTGCACGCCTATAGTTCCTGGTACACAGGAAGCTGACGCGGGAGGATCACTTGAGTCCGGGAGGTCCAGGCTGCAGTGAGCTGTGATCATGCCACTACCCTCCAGCCTGGGCAACAGAGTGAGACCCTGTCTCTTAAAAAAAAACAAAAAAAGTATACAGTATTGTATCTAACAGGTGATGGAGTTAGGGAACGTTAGGCTAAATCTTAAAGGATGGGCAAGGTTAACCTGGCAAGGAAAGGGTAGAAAGGGTATAGTGGAAAACATTTTAAGAGGGGTCAGTTTGCTGTTACTAAAGTAAAAAAGGAATTGATAAGAAATGATACCAGAGAGGCAAGCAAGGGCCATATAATAGAGCGTCTTATATGTACCGCTAAGAAGCTTGGACTTCATTGTGTAAGTGAAGGGGAGCCACTGAGTGTGAAGCAGGAAAATGGCTAATTCTAATCATAAGAATAATATGCTCAGAGCAGGGCTTTAAAAAGAAAAATATGGTAATAATATTATTTGACTGCCAGGATGAGAAGAAGCTGGAGTGGAAGTTTCAATTGAAGGGCCCAAATAGTACTTACAGAGAAAGAAATGGAGACATTAATTTGGGAAATGGTTATGGTAACAGATATGGGAGATGTTGTTTAATAGCTGTTCTCAGACTTTTTCTGAAGAAGTTTCAAATCCACAACCAGATTGTGAACGCCATAAAAAGAAGTATATATTATTTATATCCACTTTATTCCTGATTATGGTTCAAAATCTCACTCCTTGGGCACAAATGGAGCGGATTTTTCTTCTCTCTATATATATTCCCACTTCCACCTCCCCACAGGTCCTTCCCTACCAGACTGTGAGCCCTCCAAGTCAGAGACTATATTTTATTCATCTTTATATCCCCACTGCCTATTGGATACTTGGTACTTAGTGGGTAGAGGCTTATTACATATTTGCAAAATTAATTAAGGCTTACTATAGCATCCTCCTAGCCAGCTTTGCTTTTTTGAGAAAATTCTGCATTAAAATATTAAGAATGGTTAGGTCTTTATAAGTAGCTAAGCAATCCTGAGAGTAGAGGATATTTCTCAATCGATTTGGTAGTCACCCTGGAAGTTATATAATTTTTTCAATGCCTTTGTTTAGTCTCATTTTGAAACTCCTTTCAGAGTTGAGACATGTCCTTTTCAAATATTTATAATGGTGGCAAGTCTTTGTCCTTTTGTAGACTCACAAATTTGGAAACAACCAAAAAAGTAATTTAGAACCAAATCTATTACATTTATTTATTTTATAAAACAAAAATGTATTTTCATAAACTATTCCAAATGGCAACTCCAAGAAAGAGTCCTCAACAATGTTTTATACTATTTATAATCAGTACAACAAGCACAAACCTGTTTTTTCAGTATACTTAATTTAAAGCACAACGCTCACTTAAATATCTATGTTCTGATAAATTTCATTCATTCATATTGAATGCTTCTGTGTCAGGCATTAGTGTAGGCATTTGTGATACACCCATAATAAAACAGAGACTGCCATAGTGGAATTCACATTCTAGCAGGGGGAATCAGACAATAAAAAGTCCAATAAATACATAAATTATAGAATATATTGCAAGGTGATGAGTGCATATTGTCCCTCTTCTACTTAAAATCCTTCAATAGCTCTTGGTTGGGTTTAGGATCAAGTCCAAAATGGCTTAACAGCACTTCAGCCCCTCTTGCCTTTTCAGCCTCCTTGCCCACTGTGTGCCTGTCATACTGACTGCTGCTTCTCTGTTCCACAAACACACAAAGTCTCTTCCCATTTCCAGTGATGCTCTTAAGGAGTTTATGCTTGTGTGTGTGTGTGTGTGCACGCGTATGTGCATGGGCCAGAGGAAGTGCATGATAGACAACAAGTAAGCAATAGCATATTTAAAAATATATATAGTATATGAGTGCTATAAAAAAATGAAAAAAATGAATTGGTATGGATGATCAGGAGTTGGGAATGGGGATGGTGGGCAGGTTGCAGTTTTACTTATTTCATTCATTCATTCATTTATTGAGACAGGGTCTTGCTCTGTCATCCAGGCTGGAGTGCAATGGCACTTACATGGCTCACTGCAACCTTGACCTCCTACTGGACCCAGGCAATCCTCCTGTCTCAGTCCCCTGTGTAGCTGGGACCACAGGCACGCACCATCGTGCCCAACTGATTTTTAAATTTTTTGTAGAGACAGGGTCTTGCCATGTTGCCCAAGCTGGTCTCAAACGCCTGGGCTCAAATGACCCTCCCATCTTGGCCTCCCAAAGTGCTGGGATTATAGGCATGAACCACCACACCTAGCCAGGTTGCAATTTTAAATAAGGTGGTCAGTGTAGGAGAAAGTGAGAACTGCACAAAGATCTGAAAGATGTGAGAATCCTTAAAGAATCTAGTTCACTATCTACAGGTGACAGGAAACTGAAAGGAAACAACTCACCAATCTTTATGTTATGTTGTGGGTGTTTTCGAATGAGCTGGACAATCTGGTGGGCAGCTTCTTGTCGGGAAGGAAGAACCAGGGCTGGATTGCAATTGGTGTTGTCTAGGTATAAAGTATGGATCTGTTTCCCCAGTGTCAGGGCTGGCTCCTTTAGCATGGATGGTGTGTATCGAAAATCACCTGGAGGAATATGTACATGGGGGCAGAAGGTCAGAGACAAAAGAATAGAAGACAAGCCTCTCCTACCTCCAACAATAGACAGGCGTTTGCTTACTAGTCTGTGAAAAAACTATTATGTAGCCTGGCACTGAACTAGGCAGTATAGCTGCATGGTTTCTTTGTTGTAATGTCTCCATCCTACTCCTATTTTTCAATTACTCTTCACAAGGTTCGGACCCTTAAAGAGTGGGAAATCGGCCAGGCGCAGTGGCTCACACCTGTAATCCCAGCACTTTGGGGGGCCGAGCCAGGTGGATCACCTGAGGTCAGGAGTTCGAGACCAGCCTGGCCAACATGGTGAAACCCCGTCTCTACTAATAGTAAATACGAAAATTAGCTGGGCGTGGTGGCAGGCGCCTGTCATCCCAGCTACTTGGGAGGCTGAGGCAAGAGAATCACTTGAACCCAGAAGGCGGAGGTTGCAGTGAGCCACAATCACGCCACTGCACTCCAGCCTGGGTGACAAGAGTGAAACTCCGTCTCAAAAAGAAGAAGGAAAAAAAAACAGTGGGAAATCAGTTGAGATGGGGTCACTATGCTCATATGTGATGAAGTTAGAAGGCCTCCAGCGCCTCCAGACTTCTATTGAGTTAAGGCTGCTCAAGAAAAGTCTGCCAGGTGTGGTGGCTTGTGCCAATAATCCTAGCTACTGTGGAGGCTGAAGCGGGAGGATTGCTTGAGGTCAGGAGTTTGAGACCAGCCTCGGCAACACTGCGAGGCCCCAGTCTATACATTAAAAAAAAAAAAAAAAAAAAAAAAAAAAAACATCTAGTCTGGAGAAGTCACTGGGATTCCTTGAGAGGCCCACCTGTGTAGAGGATGGTTCCAAAATATCCTTCAAAGAGAAACATGACAGAACCAGGACAGTGATTGGCATCGAGGAGGGTTACGGTCATGGTCTCTTGTCCAATTTCATCTAGGGGTAATACATGGCTCTCACCAACCTCCAGGGCTTGGATCCATTGCTTAGATACCTGAGAAAACAGTTAGTCATCCCAGTGACCACTGACTCCTCTCCGTTACCTCCCCGGGTCAGGGACTATCCCTTACATGAATCAGGAAAGCTGACCAAATCCTGAGCCACCGGGAGCAGAAGCTGTAATGGGGATTCCCAAGCAATCTGCCCTTCCTCCTTCCACTTCCCATCCCACCCTTTGTACAATTTAAGAGTTCAGCTGGCCGGGCGTGGTGGCTCACGCCTGTAATCCCAGCACTTTGGGAGGCTGAGGCGGGTGGATCACGAGGTCAGGAGATCGAGACCATCCTGGCTAACACGGTGAAACCCCGTCTCTACTAAAAAATACAAAAAAAATTAGCCAGGCGTGGTGGCGGGCGCCTGTAGTCCCAGCTACTCGGGAGGCTGAGGCAGGAGAATGGCGTGAACCCGGGAGGCGGAGCTTGCAGTGAGCCGAGTTTGCGCCACTGCACTCCAGCCTGGGCGACAGAGCGAGACTCCATCTCAAAAAAAAAAAAAGAGTTCAGCAAACAGTCTAGTCAGCAATTCCCAAACTTACTCCTGATCTTAATCTCTTGGAGACTTAAGGGTGGGGTGGGGAGAGAGCTGGAGAACCACCCAGCACATTAGGTGGATTCTTAAGATGAGGCAAGTTTAGGCGGGGCGTGGTGGCTCACGCTTGTAATCCCAGCACTTGGGGAGGCTGAGGCGGGCGGATCACTTAAGGTCAGGAGTTAGAGAACAGCCTGGCCAACATGGTGAAACCCCGTCTCCACAAAAAATACAAAAAATTAGCTGGGCGTGGTGGCGTGCGCCTGTAATCTCAGCTACTCAGGAGGCCGAGACAGGAGAATCGCTTGAACCCGGGAGGCGGAGGCTGCAGTGAGCCGAGATTGCGCCACTGCACTCCAGCCTGGGCAACAGAGCGAGACTCCGTCTCAAAAAAAAAAAAAAAAAAAAAAAAAAAAGGCAAGTTTGGGAAACATCGGCCTAGCTTACTTATAAAGGTAGGAATAGTTTCCTTGGCTGGATTAAAATATCTCCTCAACTTATGGCTAACTATCTCAAGTTGGTCACTTCGAAAACACGTTCCTATTCTGGGTTAAAGATGCATTTTTGGGTTCAAACAACTTCCAAATCAGTTTTCGTGGCCCCCATTCTATGACTCCAAGAATGACAGGTTGAAGTCCCAACCCAGATGCCTGGACCAGCTCTCGGAGACCGACTCCAGCCCCATACCTGTAGGTGACGATGCAAGAGGTGGGCTGTAATTGGGGAGCAGTAGAGGGGCCGGGCCCAGGTGCTAGACAGGCCCACGGTGTGGTCCGAGTGCATGTGAGACAAGAAGAAGAGACGTGCGGTGCCAGCCCGGCGCAGGCTCCAGAAGTCCACTGCGATGGGCGTATGGGGGATCAGGACCCCATTCATGGTGGTAGGGTTGGAGTCACCAGTGGGATCTTCTCCACGGGGGCAGGGCTCCTGCGTGAGGCTTCCACAACGGCGTCCCGATAAAAGTCATGCTGGGGCAAGAACAGGGCCAGAGACCCTAAGGGAAAGAGCCCAGCAGAGCAATAAGTTACCAGAGTGGGCAGAAAAAGGAAGTCACCCTGCCCGCTGGAGCCCAAATCGCGGAGGGCGCTGGACACTCCCAACCGCGCGGGAGCGGAGGCCGAGCCGGGCACTCAAAGCGCGCGCTGCAGGGAGGAGACAGGCCAAAGTAGCCGATTTCCGATTGCCCGCCGCAGCTCCACCAGAGGGAGCCGCGCAGCTGCGCCTGGAGAGTGAGAGGTTGGGGGAAGGGCATCCTAAGGTCGGAGTCGGGACTACGCTTAGCGCTCGCTCGCGGGGAGACCGGCAGCGGTCTTCTGTTTGGTCTCTTGACAAGGGGGCGGGACTTCCGCAGAAAGCAAGATTGGGCCTATCCGCGATGAGAACGGCGTGGAGGGGGAATTAAGGCTGGAACTGGAGAGGGAGGGGTCTGCGGTCAGTCGGACGCGGCGCTGGAAATCCGGCGGAGGACCTAGAAGTAGCGGGAGCGATCTGTGGGCGGGGCGAACGGCCTGCCGGCCGACGGTAGGGCCTGAAGAGCCTAGGGTGGGGCTCGCGGTGTCGCGGAGGGCGTGGAAGTGTGTCAGGGCCAGCGTGCCGGCCCTACGGAAGCCGAGCCTGAGGCGAGATCTCGCCTTTTGTATTTTCACTGACTCATATTTCCTTTACTCAGGCTCCCACATCAGGACGAGAAGGAGCCCTCGAGTTACCGTGGGAGCTGTGGGAGCTGCCCTGTGACTCTTAGGAAGATGCCGTACCTTGGCTCCGAGGACGTGGTGAAGGAGCTGAAGAAGGCTCTGTGCAATCCTCACATTCAAGCTGATAGGCTGCGCTACCGGAATGTCATCCAGCGAGTGATTAGGTATCACCTACCTCCCTTCGCGTGCTAACTGCTCCCTTTGCAATCCCCATCAGGGCTCACTAGCCCCAGTCTCTCTGAAAGGGTGAATTAGCTTTCACACGTGGCAGTTATATGGTTCGGTCTTCGTCCTGCTGCTTTGGAGTACCATGTCAGTCTCCCCTCTGCAGCATCTTTTACTCAGCTGGGTAGTTTCCTCCATATCACGGGCTTGAGCAATTACTGGTGACTCTTGGATCTATAATATAGCTAGTACAGACTTCCTTTTTTAGCTTCAGACCCACGTATCCCACTGCCTGCTTGGCATTTCCACGTGCGTGGTTTATCAAAAGTATGTCCGAAATAGCCCGGACATTCTTCCGTCTTCCTCAAACCTGTTCAGCTTACATTTGTGTTGATGAATGCCACCAGCAGCCGACTATGCGTGGGAGCCAACCTTGAGGACACCTGATCTCTCACTTCTTATGTCAGATGGTTTGAATTCATAATTCTAAATATCCATCCTCTCTTGTTTATTAGCATTGTTGTTCTGGTCCAGGCCTTCATCAATAAAGCAATTGCAGCAGCTTACTAGTAGGCCACTTTGCCTCATTTGAGACAGAATTTTTCCATTATACATACCTGAACACATAACTCTTGCCTACAGCTATGGTTCACAAACTTTACTATGCATAAAAATCCCTTGGGGTGCTTTTTGTCATCCAGTCCAGGGACTGATTCTGATTTCAGTAGGGTGGGAGGGAACCCAGGAATCTGTATTTTTAATAAACATTTCAGTTGGTTCCAGTAGGAGACCAGTCTGAGAAACAATAAAGTCCAAACTTATCACAGCACCCAAGGAACAAGCTGTTAATTCAACTACCTACAGACTCTTAAAAAAATGTGTGCTGCTCCTGCTCATGTCTACTTACCTCATAGCATGTATCTTTACCTTGCTATTACATCTGCCTAGTGAGCTCCTGCTCATTCAGCTAAAGTATTACTTCCTCTGTGAAGAAACATTTTCTGACTTCCTGCCAGTGTCAGACCTCTGAATCCCCTCTACACCTTGTACAATACTTCTGTTTAAGTACTTATCTATCATACTGTAATTAACGGTATTCTCATCTGGCTCATTAATAGATTTGAAGTTCCTAGAGGTTTGAGACCACACCTTCTTCAAGATTATGTCCCAAGAGCATGTCCCTGGATGTAAAAGTTGAATTTCACCAAAGTACTAGGGATTCAATAAGTGTTTGTTGAGGCTGGGTGCGGTGGCTCACGCTGGTAATCCCAGCACTTTGGGAGGCCAAGGCGGGTGGATCACCTGCAGTCAGGAGTTCGAGACCAGCCTGGCCAACATGGAGAAACCCCGTCTCTACTAAAAATACAAAAATTAGCTGGGCGTGGTGGCACGCACCTGTAGTCCCAGCTACTCGGGAGGCTGAGGCAGGAGAATCGCTTGAACCTGGGAAGCGGAGCTTATAATGAGCCGAGATTGTGCCACTGCACTCTAGCCTGGGTAACAGAGCAAGACTCTGTCTCAAAAATAATAATAAGTGTTTGTTGAATGAATAGAAGAATAATGTTTATTGTAGGCCTATGGTATGAAGTACTGTGTGATATAATAGACAAGGTAATCCTGGCTGCTACCCTCTAAGAGATCACAATCTAGTTGGGTAATCAGGAGATATGTAAGTAAAACTCCCTCCATTGTAAGTTGGGGATTTTGCATTTTACTTCCTTCTGTCATGTGCGTTGTTCAGGTACATGACTCAAGGCTTGGACATGTCTGGTGTTTTTATGGAAATGGTGAAGGCCAGTGCCACTGTAGATATTGTCCAGAAGAAGTTGGTTTATCTGTACATGTGCACATATGCTCCCCTGAAACCAGATCTGGCTCTCCTGGCCATCAATACGCTGTGCAAAGACTGCTCAGACCCCAATCCAATGGTGCGAGGGCTGGCGTTACGGAGCATGTGTAGCCTCAGGTGAGTACCCTCTTCTCTGTCTGGTCCTAAATGGCTGATGAATTCAAGTGATCACAGGGTAGGTTTTTAAAGAGGATAATTTATTTGAGCTCCTTAATACTGGGGAAAACATTATTGTACCCTGAACTCAGATTTTCAGCCACTGCTTTGGCTTAATAACCTGTATCATATAATTTTATTAGAGGGAGTTTTTGATTCTCACTCTAAGTAAAATAGTCCTCAGTTTTGGTTAAATATCTCTAAACAATTATGTGTATATCTTTTTTTGCTGCCTGTGCATCATTATTCCAAATGAAAAGTCAAATTAGGCTGGGCACAGTGGCTCATGCCTGTAGACCCAGCACTTTGGGAGGCTTAGACAGGAAGATTGCTTGAGCCCAGGAATTTGAGACCAGCTGGGCAAGATGGTGAGAGCCTATATCTACAAAAAATTAAATGGGCATGGTGACACGCACCTGTAGTCTCAGCTACTAGGAAGGCTGAGGCAGGAGGATGGCTTGGGCCCGGGAATTCAAGGCAGCAGTGAGCTATGATCGGGCCACTGGGTGACAAAGTGAGACCCCATCTTGAAAAAAACAAGAAAAAAACAGAAAAGTCAAATTATGGCTTTTTAAGCTTGATAGAGGCTTTCTGCAATTCTTCATGATCTGATGGGTGCAGCATCTACTAAACCATCTGTTAGGTGAACAGGGGCTGAGGTATGTCAAAATTAGTATTTCAGAATCTGGCTAACTCCAGGATGTGTTGCTTAGGATGCCTGGTGTGCAGGAGTATATACAACAGCCTATTCTCAATGGTCTGCGGGATAAGGCTTCATATGTCAGGAGAGTGGCAGTCCTTGGATGTGCCAAGATGCATAATCTTCATGGAGACTCTGAAGTAGGTAAGTTCAGTGTAATCCATCATGGTCAATGTGCCTCCATTATGTATAACTTTAAAAAAGATTGTGTGGCTTTGGTAGAAAATAATAATGTGGCCCCAGTTCTGTACATATCTCTTTAAGTAGGATGCAGGGCTTGGTATCTTCTGGAGATGAGAAGTCCTTTCTCTGGGGCCCCAATGAGATCCTTTGTATTAGCTGCTTAGAACAGTCTGGACATGGCAGTTTTTTTTTTGCCTTGCACTTTAGTGTGGCCTTTGTCATTTTTGTAGCAGAGAAGTTCAACTTTGTCTACCTGGAGCTATTACTCTGGCTACATCCTTGTTACTCTGAAGCTTTCCTTCTTTATCTAAGAACTTTGTTCTTTTTTATAGATGGTGCCCTGGTAAATGAATTATACAGTTTGCTGCGTGACCAGGATCCAATTGTAGTTGTGAACTGCTTGAGGTCTCTAGAGGAAATTCTGAAACAGGAAGGAGGCGTTGTCATCAATAAGCCCATTGCTCACCATCTCTTAAATCGGTTTGGATGCCTCAGCACTCTTTTTATTATGAGATCTGCTACCTTGTGGGATCTTGTTGATGTATTAAAGTATTGAACAACTTATGTGGGGTAGAAAAGAAAGTTAACCATTATTATTATTATTATTTGAGACGGAGTTTTGCTCTTGTTGTCTAAGCTGGAGTGCAATGGCGCTATCTCGGCTTACCGCAACCTCCGCCTCCTGGGTTCAAGCAATTCTCCTGCCTCAGCCTCCCGAGTAGCTGGGATTATAGGCATGCGCCACCATGCCCGGCTAATTTTGTATTTTTAGTAGAGACAGGGTTTCACCATGTTGGTCAGGCTGGTCCCAAACTTCTGACCTCAGGTGATCCGCCCGCCTCAGCCTCCCAAAGTGCTGGGATTACAGACGTGAGCCACTGCGCCCGGCCAGTTAACCACTATTAACTCCCTCACATTCCACTGAGAGAATTTCTTTTATTTGCCTTACTTTCCCTTATTGATATAGGGAAATAGAAATATACTGTGGGAATAGGTTCTACCCTTCTCTAGTCATGTCCCCCAAACTAAGCCATTTATAGTGTCTTAAAATGTAAGGAACCTGGACCCAGTGTATGCTGATCATGTCTTTGGTCTTAGAGGAGTGTGCATTTGTATTAACAACTCATCTTGGAATTTTAAGCCTTTTTTGTGTAAACTTTAAATAGTACATGAAAAGTGACTTAATTATGGCACAGCCTATTTTTAAGAATTCTCCCTTTGCTATGATGAACAACCACCTGGTCATATGGCAGTGGCATGGAAATGGTCCTAATTTTGTTGCTAAAATAGCTCTTTTGTTTTGTTTTTTGGATAGAATGTCAAAACTGGACCAATGGGGCCAGGCTGAAGTATTGAACTTTCTGCTACGCTACCAACCCCGCAGTGAGGAAGAACTATTTGACATTCTCAATCTGTTGGATAGTTTCCTCAAGAGCAGTAGCCCAGGTGTGGTGATGGGAGCTACCAAACTTTTTCTGATCTTGGCAAAAATGTTTCCCCACGTACAAACTGATGTCCTTGTGCGGGTCAAGGGACCTTTGCTAGCTGCCTGTTCTTCAGAGAGCCGTGAGCTCTGTTTTGTTGCTCTTTGTCATGTACGCCAGATCTTGCATAGTTTACCAGGTCACTTTAGCAGCCACTACAAAAAGTTTTTTTGCTCCTACTCGGAGCCCCACTACATCAAACTACAGAAAGTGGAGGTGCTGTGTGAACTGGTGAACGATGAGAATGTGCAGCAGGTGCTAGAGGAGCTTCGAGGGTACTGCACGGATGTGTCTGCGGACTTTGCACAGGCTGCCATCTTTGCCATAGGTAGGTGTCTGCTCCTTTTCCTTCTTGAGAACCTAGACCAGCCAGCAAGAAAACTGTGGTTAGAGGAACCATAGAGAGCAAAGGGCATGAATCTTGCTTCAGAAGCAAAGTACTATGCACTAAATAATTGGGTCAGTGACTACAAACACGGGGGAAGAGAGTTTTTTTTTGTTTTTTGTTTTTTTTTGGTCAAGATTGGTGTTGCTGTATCTTCCAGGATGGAGAATACAGGTAACACAAACTACAATACTTAAAATTGTTGTTGTCTTCTATCCAAAATGCTTTCCTATACATCATCTTACCACAGTATCGTGAGACAGTCAGGAAAAGTAGACAAATGTCATTAACTTCATTTTAAAGATGAAGAAACTCAGGCACAAAAACAGTTATCAAATTGCCAAAAGGGCACATAGTTTTAGAAATGGGACTGAAATCCAGCTTTCCTGACTCAAAGTCCTATGTTAATCCACCAGTCATTTATTGAGCTTCTGCTATGGGCTATGTATTGTGCTGAATGTAGACCAACACAGAATAATTCCTAAATCTTACAGACTTTTTCATAGTACCCTGTCTGGAATTTGAAAGGCTGGAGTGACTCAAAAACTGAAAACAGCTGTTGAGCCAAGTTTTGAAGGATTTCAAGTACAGGAGGAGGAGCAACCCTCATATTTGGAATAAAGCATGGTTATTTTAGGGGCAGAGAAGAGGGAGCAAAGAGGAGACAAGAAATCCTTAGGAGACTGCTGTCAAGTGTCCCCCACAAAAATACTCCATTGCAGGTGTGCTGCAACAAAAAGGGTACCTCATATCTGGCTGCCATGTAAATACCTTTGTTACTATAAGTTTTCAACCTTGTTTAATGGGGAATTGTTTTGCTATGAGCTTTCAGTTTTCTAGTAGTCAGTGAGAAAAAATGATTTTTACCAAAGTTCCCTTTATAGTAAACTTATATTCTTAGTTCATCAAGTAAGGAGTGAATTTTTTTCTTTTTTTTTTTTTTAGATAATTCTGTTTCTTTTGTCTTTCACTGGTGGGAGATGATTTTAGATTGAGGTGCTAATATTTCACTTAGCAGTTTTCTCTGCTTTCCCTTCTTTTGTAGGTGGCATTGCCAGGACTTACACAGATCAATGTGTTCAGATTTTAACAGAGTTGCTGGGTCTTCGACAAGAGCACATTACCACAGGTAATGCCTGCCTTTTTAGGATTTTTGTTTTTTTTGTCAGGTGCCTGGCCTATAGTAGTTGCTCAAAACATGTTTGTTGTTGAATGAGTAATATAGAGATTTGAACTTTTCCTTGCATCATCATCTGTTGCTGTTAGAGAAGCATAAAGTCTATAGATCTAATAGGATATTGAGTCTTCAGGCTGCCATGATCTATAAGGCTGTACTATAGATAATGAAGGCTACTAGGATGACCTTGCTTGATATTTCACCATCTTTACTTCTCTTTTTGTTTTATGGCAGTATGCCATAGGCAGTGGCTTCCAGGGTTGGGACAAGGGTAAGTCAAGCAAGATGCCTAGGATGCAAAATTTAAGAAGGCACTCACTCTTAGGTTCCTGCAAGAGCCAATCCTGCATGTCTTCTTCAATTTTGAACCCTAGGCACCTCACTTGTGTTATCATTTTCCCAGGCCTGGTGGTTCTATTTATACTGTCTTTAGTGTTTCATTCAACAGCAATACTACCCCACATTTGCATACAGCTTTATGTTTTACAAAGTGCTTTTTCATACATTAGTTCATTTATCCTCATGTCAATCTGATAAGAGCAATATGCATTCAAGAAATTATTGCTTATTTCATTACATTTCTTAGATAACCATTGACCACACCTCCAAAACCCATTTTACAGAAATCCAGCCAGAATCATGAGTCTGAATACATGACTGTTCTTAAGATTCCTGCCTACCTGGAGGCTCTAATCCTGTGCTCTTGTACCCTGGCCTGTATTGTAGTGGTGGTGCAGACTTTCCGAGACCTGGTTTGGTTGTGTCCTCAGTGTACTGAAGCTGTATGTCAGGCCCTGCCCGGCTGTGAAGAGAACATTCAAGATAGTGAGGTAGACTGTAATTCTCCTTTACTTCTAGGTAGGGGGAGAATGCTTGAAACCCTGCCCTTTGAAATGGAATCTAATTATTCTCTCTACCCTGTGTTTGAAGTGGGCACTCTTCGAATTGATTGCCACCTTAGATTCTCTTTTGGATATAGATGGCATATAAATTATAAAAACAAGATTTATCCGACGGGTTTTATTACAAAACTGTGATACCATTGTTCTCTTGAACAGTTCTGTTTTGTTTTGTTTTGCTTTGCTTGAGATAGAGTTGCCCAGGCTGGAGTGCAGTGGCGTGATCTCGGCCCACTGCAACCTCTACCTCCCAAACTCAAGTGATTCTCTTGCCTCAGCCTCCTGAGTAGAGTAGCTGTGATTACAGGTGTGCACCACCACGCCCAGCTAATTTTTGTATTTTTAGTAGAGAGGGTTTTGCTATGTTGTCTAGGCTGGTCTAGAATTCCTAGCCTCAAGTGATCACCCACCTCAGCATCCCAGAGAGCTAGGATTACAGGCATAAGCCACTGTGCCCCGCTTCTCTTGAACAGTTTTGAGTCAGAGATTTAGACCATGGAGTTTTTAGCTAGAATGAAAATTATAATCATTTGTGAAATTTTTACAAAGATTTGGACGTAATCACAGGTCTACTGACTTAAATATTCAGGGGTGTTGGACCTAGACAGATAACTTTTTTTTTTTTTTTGAAACAGAGTCTAGCTCTGTTGCCCAGGCTGGAGTGCAGTAATGCCATCTTAGCTCACTGCAACTTCCGCCTCCTGGTTTCAAGCAATTCTCCTGCCTCAGGCTCCCGAGTAGCTGGAACTACAGGTGTGCACCACCACGCCTGGCTAATTTTTGTATTTTTAATAGAGACGGGTTTCACCATATTGGCCAGGCTGGTCTCGAACTCCTGACCTCAGGTGATCCACCCTCCTCGGCCTCCCAAAGTGCTGGGATTACAGACGTAAGCCACCGTGCCCGGCTGACAGATACATTTTTAAGAAGCTTCACAGATGACTCTGATGTGCACTCTAGGTTAGTAACCATTTTTGTGAAAAATTTAGAGAAATTCTTTGAGCAGCTTCCACTGAAACACTAAAACCCAATAGGGCCAAAGGCCCCAAACCTGAGGAAACCTTATTTATTGCTTAATCCAACATAGGCTATGAAAGTTTTGAGTTTCCTCTTGTGTATTAGAATTTCATTCCTATTTGTTGTAGAGAGTATAGTACGGGGAATCAGTAAATTAAATGAAGTAAACTAAAGATTACACCTTTTCTGCTGGCACTAAGCGAAAAGCAAAACCAGTGGCTGTCTATTATCTCCTGTGTTTTAGACAGTCAAGTGTTGAGCACTTGCTCTTATTCCTTTATTCTCTAGGGGAAGCAAGCACTTATTTGGCTACTTGGTGTCCATGGGGAAAGAATTCCTAATGCTCCTTATGTGTTAGAGGACTTTGTTGAGAATGTGAAGTCGGAAACATTTCCAGCTGTTAAGATGGAGCTGCTCACTGCTTTGCTGCGCCTTTTCCTCTCCCGACCTGCTGAGTGCCAGGACATGCTAGGACGTTTGTTGTATTACTGCATAGGTGGGTTTTTCAGAAGGAAATAGTATTTGCCATGACCCATAGTAAAAATTCTTAATAGCTTTCATTGTTTGGTGAGTCACGTCTGGGACCCGAGAAGAAAATGTGAATGCTTCCTAGGTTTTCCTCTCTCCTTCATTTTTTTCTCCTATTATGGTTGGCACAAGAGTAGGAGGAAAGTGGTTTTGTTTTTAATGAAGTCAATCTGTTGTCTTACCTCAGAGGAAGAAAAAGATATGGCTGTACGGGACCGAGGTCTCTTCTATTATCGCCTCCTCTTAGTTGGCATTGATGAAGTTAAGCGGATTCTGTGTAGCCCTAAATCTGACCCTACTCTTGGACTTTTGGAGGATCCGGCAGAAAGACCTGTGAATAGCTGGGCCTCAGACTTCAACACACTGGTGCCAGTGTATGGCAAAGCCCACTGGGCAACTATCTCTAAATGCCAGGGGGCAGAGCGTTGTGACCCAGAGCTTCCTAAAACTTCATCCTTTGCCGCATCAGGTAAAAACAGTCCTTACCTTAAATCTTGTCATGATAAATCTTTACCTTTTCAATGATTGGTGGAAAGTAGAGTATCTTAGCACTAAACCTCAGACTGTTGCCTGAATTTGAAGCATTTGTGAGCAAGAAAGAGGTTCGTCACTGGTTATTTCAGCCATTTGTCCAAAAATAAAAGTCACATTGTGTACATTTGGGAATTTGGATAAAAAACTTAGCTCCTACAGATTAAGAACATCTTTCACACAAGTTTTCTGTCTCTTTTAGGACCCTTGATTCCTGAAGAGAACAAGGAGAGGGTACAAGAACTCCCTGATTCTGGAGCCCTCATGCTAGTCCCCAATCGCCAGCTTACTGCTGATTATTTTGAGAAAACTTGGCTTAGCCTTAAAGTTGCTCATCAGCAAGTGTTGCCTTGGCGGGGAGAATTCCATCCTGACACCCTCCAGATGGCTCTTCAAGTAGTGAACATCCAGACCATCGCAATGAGTAGGGCTGGGTCTCGGCCATGGAAAGCATACCTCAGTGCTCAGGATGATACTGGCTGTCTGTTCTTAACAGAACTGCTATTGGAGCCTGGAAACTCAGAAATGCAGATCTCTGTGAAACAAAATGAAGCAAGAACGGAGACGCTGAATAGTTTTATTTCTGTATTAGAAACTGTGATTGGAACAATTGAAGAAATAAAATCATAACAGAGTCTTGTTGCTTGTCTAGAGTAAGATGAATAACTATTACACTTTCTTAGTCTTTCCTATTAGAGCTGCCAGTAAGTCCAGATAATATCAGATACAAAGGAGAGTGGAAAATCTAGAAATCAGGATTCTTAAGTTTTTGGCCAAAGAACATTGATTCATTCCTTTCATTCCTATTGGCAATTGACCCCATTTTTCAGTGATGATGTTGTAGAGGTTAATGTTGGTAAGGAGATGCGTTGAGGATGGGATTTGGATTATTTCCTAATCAATTTTAGGAATTGTGTTAGTAATTAAAGATGGCTGATGTGTGGAAACTGATAGGGGTCATCATTTGTGGGGGTCATCTTTTCTTCCCTGGATTATTATAGTAAATTCCTAACTGTTCTCATATTTCCAATCATGCTTTTAGGCCAGATTCCAAAGTCCTTAATGTCATCTAAAGTACCTCTTTGGTGTCAAGTCTTGCCACTCCCAAAATGACTTCTTTTCTGGCAGAAGCAAACCATTTGCATTGCAGTTCCCTTTATACACCTGCTTCTTTCACCTCTGTGTTAACTTAAACCTGCTTTTATTTATTGCCTGGAACATTTTCTCACCCTCATATCTTCTTGAATTAACACCTCGTCTATCTTTCAGTGTTCAGCTCACTCATAAGCTCCTTCAGGAAGTTTCCTTTAACCCTCACTGCCTTCATTAGGGGCCTCCCTCAAGCTATCAAAGTAGCCAGAGCATACCTCTAGCAGTAGTATTGTAATTGTTTTCTTGTTGCTTGTCCTCAATTTTTATTCTGTTCTTATCTGACCACATTTTGTACATTGAAGCAACTTATGGCAAGAACAAATCTAATAAAATGATGGTAAAATATAAATAGCGAATCCAGAATGGGAAAAATTAAAATACCAGTTAAGACCAGCTAGGTTGGGGATGGGGAAATATACAAATGTTCAGGCTGTATGGGCCTATTAGGTGATATAGTTGAGCCTTGATTTGTCTCTATAGGTGATTTAGCAGTCAGAGTTAAGGGAAACAGTTATAATTGTCATCAGAGAGGAAGAAACATTGATTTCTAAAAGAAATGTACATGTAGTTTCACATAGGTGGTACTAAGATATGTGCAAGATCCTATGAGAAGTTAGTAATGGGTTTCACATGACTTTCTTAACAGTATTCTTCAACGAAAGCAGAGAGCATGACTTTAATACAGAGCTTAGACTGGGTGCAGTTGCTCACACCTGTAACCCAGCACTTTCGGAGGCCAGGGAGGGAGGATTGCTTGATGCCAGGAGTTCAAGATCAGCCTGGGCAGCATAGTGAGACCCTGTCTGTAAAAAAATTGACTTAGCCAGGCATGGTGGCACATGCCTGAAATCCCAGCTGCTCAAGAGGCTAAGGCAGGAGGATTGCTTGAGCCCAGGAGTTTGAGGTTACAGAGAGTAGTGATCACACCACTGCACTCCAGCCTGGGTGACAGGAGACCCTGTCAAAAAAAAAGAACATAAAAAAAGTAGGCTAGATATGGTGGCTTACGCCTTTAATCTCAGTACTTTGGGAGACCAAGGTGGGTGGATCACTTGAGGCTAGGAGTTTGAGACCAGCCTGGGCAATGTAGTGAGATCCCCATCTCTACAAAAGTAAAACATTAACCAGGTGTGGCAGCGTGTGCTTGTAGTCCCAGCTACTTGGGAGGCTGAGGTGGGAGCATTGCTTGAGCCTAGGAGGTCAAGGCTGCAATAAGCTATGCTCATGCCACCGAACTCCAGCCTGGGCTACAGAGCAAGACCCTGTCTCCATAATAATAATAATAATAATAACATGGTGCTTAATGAAGGCATTTCTTCAAGGACTTAAGATAACATGATCCAAGTATATAGCCTTTATCATCCAGCTTAATTCAAGGATTTTTACTACCTAGATATAGATAAGCACATACCTTCAGATAATTTTTCACCTATCACTTCTCTCAAATAGCCTTTTTTTTTTTTTTTTTTAAATCTGAGACGGAGTCTTGCTGTGTCACCCAGGCTGTAGTGCAGTGGTGTGATCTCAGCTCACTGCAACTTCTACATTGCAGATTCAAGCCATCCTCCTGCCTCAGCCTCCCAAGTAGCTGGGACTACAGGCATGCACCACCACGCCTGGCTAATTTTTGTATTTTTAGTAGAGATGGGATTTCGTCATGATGGCCAGGCTGGTAACTCCTGACTTCAAGTGTTACCCAGCCTCAACTAAGCTCTTAATAGGAGTAGATAACAGACAGTATTGAATTTTCTGGTAAGAGCCTGGGTTTTGTGAGTTGTTTATTGAATGGACTTCCCCATTGAACAACCTTTTTTTTTTTTTTTTTTTTTTAGGTGGAGTTTTGCTCTTGTTGCCCAGGCTGGAGTGCAATGGCGTGGTTTTGGGTCACTGCAATCTCCACCTCCCGGGTTCAAGCAGTTCTCCTGCCTCAGCCTCCCAAGTAGCTGGGATTACAGGTGCCCGCACCACACCCAGTTAATTTTTTGTATTTTTAATAGAGATGGGTTTTCACCATGTTGGTCAGGCTGGTCTCAAATTCCTGACCTCAGGTGATCCACCTGCCTCGGCCTCCCAAAGTGCTGGGATTACAGGCATGAGCTACCGTGCCTCGCCTGAACAACTTTTAAGAATGATTCTTTCTTTCCTTTTATTTCCATAGTGCCTGCCACATAGTATTACTCAGTAAATCTTTACTGAATGAATGGCTGTATATAATTAGATTCTGATGTGTTTTGGGATTGATGTTTGAAATGGGTTTTATGATATTGTATCAACTATATGGAAAATGATGGAACTTATTCTAGACCAGGATTTCTTAAAAGTGGCAATACTGACATTTGAGGCCAGATAATTCTTTGTTGTGAGGGGCTTTCCTCTGCACTGTAGAATGATTATTAGCAGTATCTCTGGCCTCTGTCTACCCACTGGATGCCAGTAGAACCCTCAGTTGTGACAACTAAAAATGTCTCTAGACATTGTCAAAGGTCCCCTGGGACAGGCGGCAAAATTGCTGTTACTTGAGAACCACTGATTTAGACCATGGATCCTCAGGGACAGGAAAGGGAGGGATTAGAACAGCTTCAGAATTGCATTTTCTGTATTTTTATGGTTCAGTTAAATGGTGAATGTTTAATTAGGTACTAAGAGAAATAAAATTGAAGTGCTGCCAATTCAAAGTGTAGCAAGGGGCCGGGCGTGGTGGCTCACGCTTGCAATCACAGCACTTTGGGAGGCTGAGGCGGGTGGATCACAAGTTGAGGAGTTTGAGACCAGCCGGCCAACATGGTGAAACCCCGTCTCCACTAAAAATACAAAGAATTAGCTGGGTGTAGTGGCGGGTACCTGTAATCCCAGCTACTCGAGAGGCTGAGGCAGGAGAATCGCTTGAACTTGGGAGGCGGAGGCTGCAGTGAGCCGAGATTGTGCCACTGCACTCCAGCCCAGGTGGCGGAGTGAGACTCCATCTCAAAAAAAAAAAAAAAAAAAAAAGGCGTAGCAAGGGAACAGGATGCAGGTGGTAGAAATTGAGTAAACTTATTGACTTTTTAAAATTAAAGACTATAACTGAAATGTTGATCTAAAGAAAATTAGGTATGACTAAGCAACTGAATAAATAATAATACTAAAGTGATCCCAACTATTGGAGCTTTTAGAAGACTATGTTCTACTTGGTTGCTTTTCTATAATGTAAGAGGAATACATAGAATATGAAATTGTTGCTTTTGGAAAATATACTTTTAAGATTATCTCAATGAAGAACTGATTTCTCCTGTAGCCTGGTTTTACTAATTTATAAGCAAAATGACTAAAGCTCAGGTATACTATGAAGTTAATTCTTTAATATTTCCCCTGCTAGGAACTCTGTATAGCTTCTGCAGACATGGGGTTTGATGATGTGATATAAGTAGATGTTTATATTTTACAATCCATGAAGGTAGTCTATACTGTGCTCTTAGAACAGCAGCCATCTAATGTCATTCTTAGTTGACAGGTAAACAGTATGTTACGTATGTAATGAGGTTCCACAAAGACAATAGTGTTTTGGAACACTGCAGAGGCAATAATTTGCATATTACCATCATTTTATAGTTATGAATCAGTGACTGTGATGTGTTTCCATTACCCCTATTTTTGAACAGGCGTTCTGTTAAAAGTATTCTATTCCTTTCTTAGATATGGGATGTTTAGGGGAGAGGGGACACATTACTTGTTTTCTTAGTTACAAGTCTCCATGTTGAGAGGAGTTACACTCAAGGATCTTCATCCACATGCACATCTGGTACAGATGACAAGATCCTGGACTTTAAGCCAATGATATGAGACAAAGCATTTTGGGGAGGGATGTAATTTGTTGTGGTCAGAGGGTGGCAAGAGAAACAAGTGACGGTGAAAAAATTCTGGCCTCGTGATTTTTCAGTAATAATTAAGAGCACAATATTACAACTGCAAGGGTGAAGGTATGTGGGCTGAGGGAAAGGGATAGTTTTGGAGGGTGCTATATTGAAGGCCCAGAAGAAGTAAACAAACTTGGAAAAAATTTACTCCACATTGCTAATGACAGCCTGTACTCTGTTTCTATAGCTTTACAACATTGATTATACAAGACAATGCAAAGGAGTTGAAATTAGATTTTTTTTTTTTTTTTTTTTTTTGAGACAGAGTCTCATTTTGTCATCCAGGCTGGAGTGCAGTGGTGTGATCATGGCTCAGTGAAGCCTTGATCTGGGCTCAAGTGATCCTCCTGCTTCAGCCTCCTGAGTAGCTGGGACTATAGGTGCGTGCTACCACCCCTGGACTCAAAATTCGATTTCAAAGATGGCATAAGCGTATTGATAGTGAAATGAGGAACGTGGTTTATTACTGTGGGAAAAGCTTGAGTTTAATGTAAGACAGACTTGGTTTAAAATTTATATTCTGCCACTTACTGATGTGTGAACTTGGGCAAGCTATTTAATACCAGCTGGATGGTCTCATAAATATTTTTATTTTTTATATATTGTTTTGGGAGTATGTCACAAATGTATTTTTTAGAATCCTTCAACTGTCAGTGGCTAGCTCTAATGTGAAAGGAGGTTAGCCTAGAATTTTCTCTGAGTGCCCGCCCTTCTGATGTTAAAAGTCTGAAGCCTACTTAGTAATAATGAGGTTTCAGCCCTTTTGCCTCTAGAGAGAATGAGCGACAGATAATGACAAATGAAAATAGCACTTTAGCTACATGGGAACATAATTTGTGTTCTTACTCCAAAAGCAATTTATGATCATTTTTAAAAATTAAGACTTTTTAAGAGCAGTTTTAGGTTCAAAGCAAAATTGAAACAAAGGTACAGAGATTTCCCATATACCCTCTGCCCCAACACAAGCATAGTCTTCTCTGTTATCAACATCCTCAATCAAAGTGGTACAATTTGTTGTAACTGATGAACTTACCTCATCAATTATTACCCAAAGTCCAATTACCACCCAAATTCCTCCTCATCTTTTCATGGCCTGATCTTTTTTTTTGAGACACAGTCTTGCTCTGTCACCCAGGTTG
Source organism: Homo sapiens (assembly GCF_000001405.40). Taxonomy (NCBI): domain Eukaryota; kingdom Metazoa; phylum Chordata; class Mammalia; order Primates; family Hominidae; genus Homo; species Homo sapiens. Next base: position 113,889,510 of record NC_000001.11, on the reverse strand, counting down.
GAGTGCCATGGTGCCCTCTCAGCTCACTGCAAACTCCGCCTCCCAGGTTCAAGCAATTCTCCTGCCTCAGCCTCCTGAGTAGCTGGAATTACAGGCGTGAGCCACCGCGCCCAGCCAGCTCATTTCTTTTTAGCACTAAATAATGTCTATTGTCTGTATGTATCACAGTTTATTTATTCATTTACCTACTGAAGGACATATTGGTTGCTTCCAAGTTTGGGCAGTTATGAATAAAGCTGCTATAAACAACCATGTGCAAGTTTTTGTGTAGATAAGTTTTCAGCTCCTTTGGGTAGATACCAAGGAGTATAATTGCTAAATCATATGGTAAGAGGATGTTTAGTTTTGTGAGAAACTGCTAAACTCTTCCAAAGTGGCTGTACCATTTTGCATTCCTACCAGCAATGAATGACAGTTCCTGACCCACATCCTCACCAGCATTTGGTTTTGCCAGTGTTCTGGATTTTGGCCATTTTAATAGGTGTGCAGTGGTTGTATGTGTTTTAGAATGGAACAGAAAACACAAGATTGGCTTTGATATTTTGCAAGATAGAAATTCCATTCTGAACAACTGACTTACTGTTTATGCTTGAATCTTTTTTTGTTTTTTTTTTTTTTGGAGACAGAGTCTTGCTCTGTCACCCAGGCTGGAGTGCAGTGGCGTAATATCGACTCATCGCAACCTCCGCCTCCCAGGTTCAAGCGATTCTCATGCCTCAGCCTCCTTAGTAGCTGGGATTACAGGCATGCACCACCACGCCCAGTTCATTTTTGTATTTTTTAGTAGAGATGGGTTTTGCCATGTTGGCCAGGCTGGTCGTGAACTCCTGACCTCCGGTTATCTGCCCGCCTCAGCCTCCCAAAAGTGCTGGGATTACAGGTATGAGCCACCATGCCCGGCCTATGCTTGACTCTTTTATTAGTTGGAGCTGTTAATATTAATAACTTCACCAGGTCAGACAGGTTGAGTGGTAAGTTTGCTGATAGGTTTGATGGCTGCTTCTGAGACCCAGACCCAAAATCTAGGTTTAGCTACGTTAAGAAGGCAACCACTACAGATAAGTGTCCAATCATGAGATCTCTTAAAACAATGATGGAGTCCAACCCTGTTAGGAAAATCCTTTTGCTAGACAGAGAATCTCAGATCTCTTTCCTCCTGGTCATTATGTCTTGGGCTAAAAGGAGGACATTTAACATTTATTGTATGCCAAACAGTGCTAGGCCATTCCGCATGTTATCTTATTTAATCCTCATAATTTATCTATGAAATATTTTCTGTTGTCCCCATTTATAATTCCAAGTTGTTTTTTTTTAACCTTCCCAGACTTTATATCTGCTACCTCTCCGCCTAGAATAGTGTTATGCCTCCTTTTTGCATAATGAATGCCTACTTATTCCTCAGAGCTCATGTCAGATGGTACTATTTTAAGGAAGCCTTCCCAGTCCCCTAGGTTTGTTTCCCTATTAAACTGATCAAAGGCTTGATTCCCTGTTACACTTCACTGATCAAAGTGCACTGATCTCAATAGCACAAATAACAATGCGATTACTCATTTAATATCTGTCATTTCTGCTGAAGTGTAAGCTTCATGAGCACAGTAACTGTGCCTGTATCATTTTTCTATGTTACTTGTAGTGCCAACTATAGTTCCTTGTTCAGTAAGTAATTATTATATGATTATGGCAAATAAATTCCATAAACAGAAGTTGAACGCTGGTCCACTGTAACTTCAAAACCTTCCTTCAAATTATACCATGTGCAGGACCTAAGAAGTCGAGGAAGTATTTCTTAATAAAATTACTCCAGAGGCTCTTCCTGAACTCTATTTCAGTTCTAGGTTGGCTACCTAACGATAAAAGTTAAGCATTAATTTTATGTGGTTAGGGTGTGGTCTGAGATAGAGAACCTAAAGTCTTTAAAGTCTCCCCAGTTCCAAGTAGGTAATCCTTCTGAGAAGTCCCACCTTTCTGAGCAGCTGTGTTTGAAGAAAGCTAGTGGGAAAAGTTCCAGGATTACATGTCAGGAAACTACAAGAGGTAGAAACATTTGTTGATTTACCAGTGTTTTTAACTTCCTGCTGGGCTGAAAACTGCTTGTTTCGTGGAAAAGCAAAACTTGACAGCAAACATCTAAAATGAAGAGCTCCCAAACTTTTGAGGAACAAACGGAATGCATTGTGAACACTCTACTCATGGACTTCTTGAGCCCAACATTGCAGGTTGCCAGCCGGAACCTATGCTGTGTAGATGAAGTAGATTCAGGTAAGGTTCCTGCCCTAGGCGGTGATTGCAGGTCAATAAGAGTATGTTTTCAGCCGGGCGCAGTGACTGATTCCCGTAATCCCAGCACTTTGGGAGGCCAAGGTGGGTGGATCACCTGAAGTCAGGGGTTTGAGATCCGCCTGGCCAACGTGGTGAAACCCCATCTCTACTAAAAGTAGAAAAATTAGCCAGGTGTGGTGGCTCATGCCTGCAGTCCCAGCTACATGGGAGACTGAGGCATGAGAATTGCTTGAACCTGGGAGGCGGAGGTTGCAGTGAGCTGAGATCACGCCACTGCACTCCAGTCTGGGCGACAGAGACTCGGTCTCAAAAAAAAAAAAACAGTATATTTTATTTATTTCCTTTAAGTTTCAAAAGGCAAACTCTAAGCTTTCAGTAACACCTAAAGCGAAAGAGGTTCTCAATGAAGGGAAACTTTCTGACTATTGGTGTTGACAGAACATTTAAGCTCTTGGGAGATCATGATATGAAAATTATTTAAAAGACAAGACAAATTTTTCTCATTGCCCAGATTCCTGGGACTTGCCATTGCTTCAAGCATTGTAACAAATGTGTTCCCTCTGTCATAGGAGAGCCTTGTTCTTTTGATGTGGCTATCATTGCTGGTCGCCTTCGGATGTTGGGTGACCAGTTCAACGGAGAATTGGAAGCTTCTGCCAAAAACGTCATTGCAGAAACCATTAAGGGACAGGTCAAGTTTCTACTTCATGCTATTGTTTGCTGCTTTTTTTTCTATTTCAAACTTCCTTTTCTTACTACTCCCATACTACAGTGACTAGGAATGTTCTATGAAAATATTTGGGTGCTTATATTTCAAGGAAGTATAGCAAGAATTCTCCAATTGCTAAAACCTAAGTGGTACAGAGATGGAAAATTTTGGGCATAGGCTGATGAACCTTCAGTTTGTCTCTACTTGGTCTTCATCACAGCTGTTGTGCTTAGTGTGCACAGAGCACATTTATAACACTTTATTCTTGGCAAAGTATAGTATCTTTTTTTTTTTTTTTTTTTTCAGACAGGGTCTTACTGTGTCACCCAGGCTCAAGTGCAGTGGTGTGATCTCAGCTCACTGCAGCCTCCACCTCCTGGGCTCAAGCGATCCTCCCACTGCAGCCTCCTGAGTAGCTGGGACTTCAGGCAAGTGCTACCATGCCCATCTATTTTTTTTATTTTTTTATTTTTAGTAAAGATGGGTTTTTGCCATGTTGCCCGGGCTGGTCTTGAATGCCTAAGCTCAGGTGATCCACTCACCTCGGCCTCCCAAAGTGCTGGGATTATAGGCGTGAGCTACCACACCCAGCCTATGCTTTTTTTTTTTGAGATGGAGTCTCACTCTGTCACACCCAGGCTGGAGTGCAGTGGCGCGATCTCGGCTCACTGCAACCTCCACCCACCGGGTTCAAGCAATTCTCCTGCCTCAGCCTCCCAAGTACCTGGGACTACAGGGGTGAGCCACCGCGCCTGGCCCATCTGGGCGGATCACCTGAGGTCAGGAGTTCCAGACCAGCATGGCCAAAATGGTGAAACCCCGTCTCTACCTAAAAATACAAAAATTAGCCGGGCGGATCACTTGATGTGAGGAGTTCAACACCAGCCTGGCCAACATGGAGAATCCCTGTCTCTACCAAAAATACAAAACTTAGCTGGGTGTGATGGCCCATGCCTGTAATCCCAGCTACTTGAGAGACTGAGGCAGGAGAATCGCTTGAACCCGGGAGGTGGAGGTTGCAGCGAGCCAAGATCACACCACTGTTCTCCAGCCTTGGCGACAGAGCAAGACTCTGTCTCAAAAAAAGAACCACCCTCTTAACCGTTATGCTTTATTCGTCCTACTATACACAGCTTGGGCAGTGTGCCTACACTATGTTCAGGCAGAGCTGGACCTGTTACTCCCAGTTGCTTGCCCTGAGGCTGTCCTAGGTAGTTGATAGCTGAGTTGACTTTTTTTCTCATTAAACATATTTTTTTTTTTGGCTGGGTGCTGTGGCTCATGCCTGTAATCCCAGCACTTTGGGAGGCCGAGAGGGGCGGACTGCTTGAGGCCAGGAGTTTGAGACCAGCCTGGCCAACATAGTGAAACCCCATCTCTACTAATAATACAAAAATTAGTTGGGCATGGTGGCACACACCTGTAATCCCAGCTACTCGGGAGGCTGAGGTAGGAGAATTGCTTGAACCCAGGAGGCAGAAGGAGGTTGCAGTGAACTGAGATCTCGCCACTGCACTCCAACCTGGGCAACAGAGCGAGACCCTCTCTCAAAATAAATAAATAAATACAAATACAAAAATTAGCCAGGCATGGTGGCACACAACTGTAATCCTAGCTACCTGGGAGGCTGAGACAGGAGAATTGCTTGACAGGGAGGGGGAGTTTGCAGTGAGCCGAGATGGTGCCATTGTACTCCAATCTGGGCGACAGAGCAAGACTCTGTCTCCAAAAAAAAAACATAAATAAATAAATAAATAATTTGACTTGAACTTGTTTTAATAAAAAAAAATATATTTTGAAACAGCCCTAAACTCAGGGAAAGGTTGCAAGGATAGTACAAATAATTTCTCTCTTGAATCATTTGACAGTAAGGAGTTGACATATTTCATCAACCCCTAATACTTTTATACTTCCCTCAAACAAGAACATTCTGTAATGTAACCACAATCTAACCATCAAAACCAGGAAATTAACATTGATTCATTATCATCTAATCCTTAGATCTCATTCAAGTTTTGCCATTTGTCCCGATAATGTAATTTATAGTAAAAAGTTGTAGGCCAGAATCACATACTGCATTTAGTTGTGATTTCTCTTTAGTTTCCTTCAATCTGGAATTTTTCCTTAGTCTTTCCTTGATTTTCATGACCTTGACACTTGAAGACTATGGTCTATCTTGTTGAATGTCCCTTAACTGGGGTTTGCTTGATGTTTCTTCTTGAATAAATTAAGGATATATACCTTTGGCAGGAATATCACAGAAGTATTGCTGTGTTCTCAGTGCATTGCATCAATTGGCACAAGATTTCATTTTATACCAGTATTGATGTTGTTAACTTTAATCACTTAAGATGGTGTCTGTAAAGCTTCTCCTCTATAAAGTTACTCTTTTCCCCTTTGTAATTAATAAGTGTTTTATGGAGAGGTACTTTGAAACTATGTAAATATCCCACATCTCATCAAAATTTCATTGCATTCATTTCTTATCAGCATTGGACCCATGAATTCCTACTTTATTCTGTGGATTATAATCTGTTAACATCATTATTAATTTAGATGCTCAAATCATCCTAGTTTTAGCTAGTGGGAGTCCTTTCACTCTAGACTGCATCTCTTTGATGTGTCTCTATTATTATTTGAGTACTTCCTTAATTTCTGACAGAATATCTTATACTTCCCTAGCCCCAAACTGAAATCAACCATTCTCCAGAGAGCTCTGGTTTCTTTTATTTTTTGAGACGGGGTCTCACTCTGTTGTCCAGGCTGGAGTGCAGTGGCACGATCTCCGCTCACTGCAACCCCTGCCTCTCGGATTCAAGCAATTCTTCTGCCTCAGCCTCCTGAGTAGCTGGGACTACAGGCACACACTGCCACGCCTGGCTAATTTTTTTTTTTTTTTTGTATTTTAGTAGAGACGGGGTTTTACCATGTTGCTCAGGCTGGTCGCGAACTCCTGAGCTCAGGCAATCCGCCCACCTTGGCCTCCCAAAGTGCTAGGATTACAGGTGTGAGCCACCGCCCGCCTTTTTTTTTTTTTGAGACGGAGTCTTGCGCTGTCGCCCAGGCAGGAGAGCAATGGCGCAATCTCGGCTCTCTTCAACCTCTGCCTCCCCGGTTCACCTGATTCTCCTGCCTCAGCCTCCTGAGTAGCTGGGATTACAGGTGCATACCACCACACCCAGCTAATTTTTTGTATTTTTAGTAGAGACGGGGTTTCACTATGTTGGCCAGACTGGTCTTGAACTCCTGACCTCGTGATCTGCCTGCTTTGGCCTCCCAAAGTACTGGGATTACAGGCCTGAGCCACTGCGCCCGGCCTCTGGTTTCTTTTAATGGAGAATGATATTTAGAAATCAAGATCTAGGTGCTCTCCCACATGGATGTCCTTTTCAGCTTGTTTGGGCTCTGATATTCAGCTCTGACCACCCTTGGCCCCCCTAAATCCCCACAGATCTTGCTTGGACCCACCTAATGGATTTTAGATTCCATTTTTGAAAAAGAAAGAGGAAAAGGAAGAGCTACTCAATTATTTTAATGAATTATTATTATTTTATTATTAATTCTAATTAACTACTATTTTTGAGACAGTCTTTCTCTGTTGCCTAGGCTGGAGTGTAGTGGCTCAATGATAGCTCACTCTAGCCTCAATCTCATAGGCTTAAGTGATCCTCCAACCTCAGCCTCATAAGTAGTTGGGACTACAGGCATGTGCTACCATGCCTAGCTACTTTTTAAAATTTTTCATAGAGACAGGGTCTCAATATGTTGCCCAGGCTAGTCTTGAACTCCTGACCTCATGTGATCCTCCCACTTTCGCCTCCCAAAGTGTTGGGATTACGGGTGTGAACCACTGCATTCGGTCTTTTTTTTATTTGAGATGGAGTCTCGCTCTGTCGCCCAGGCTGGAGTGCAGTGGCGTGATCTCGGCTCACTTCAACCTTCGCCTCCCAGGTTCAAGTGATGCTGCTGCCTCAGCCTCCTGAGTAGCTGGGATTACAGGCCTGTACCACCATGCCTGGCTAATTTTTGTATTTTTAGTAGAGACAGGGTTTCAGCATGTTGGCCAGGCTGGTCTTGAACTCCTGACCTCAGGTGATCTCCCAGTCTCAGCCTCCCAAAGTGCTGGGATTACAGGCATGAGCCACTGCCCCCGGCCTTTACTTTAGAGTCTCCCAGACATTTCCTAGTCATTCAAGCAATACCTTTACAATTTAACCAGCTGGACTATCACATACTTAATATTTTTCTTTCAAATCATTTTTCATTCATTTTGTTTAACCTAAGCAATAATACCTGAAGTCATGGGTTTGATGGACTACTTATGTATTTTCAAGTGCCCATTAAGATAACAAAATATTAAAATGAGAAAAGATTATTCATCTACTCTCTAAGATTTCCTTAGTTACCACCAGTTGCACATTTGGCACTCTAAGAAACAATTGCTTTACTGGATTCCTGCACCTGCAGCCTCCTGCACTTTTTGAGTGATACTCTGTTGATGTTTCCTTTGTCTTTCCTCAGACAGGAGCTATACTCCAGGACACTGTGGAATCTCTCAGCAAGACCTGGTGTGCTCAGGATTCCAGCTTAGCTTATGAGAGAGCTTTTCTGGCAGTGTCAGTGAAACTTCTTGAGTACATGGCTCACATTGCTCCTGAAGTAGTGGGACAGGTGGCTATCCCCATGACGGGTATGATCAATGGGAACCAAGCCATCCGGGAGTTCATCCAGGGCCAGGGAGGTTGGGTAAGTTTGTTGGGGCTCCTGGTTTTGCTAGGTATTTGCACTGTTTTTGTACTAATACCTGGGATTCCAATTCATGACCCTTTTTGTAAATTGGAAACCAACAGGAAAACAGGCTTCCCTATTTTGCTGAAAATGCCTAGATTTTCTTGCCATGGAAAAATGGAGCAGACAGAAGCTCAGCCTGTGGATGTTGGACTCGAGTCATGCTACCTTAAATATTGACTGCTGACTACTGTAAAGCTAATCTTCATTTCCTACACATAATCATCTATAAAGTATATTCATGATAGAGTTCTAATTTCAGCCTGGCTTCACTCCGTTCCTTTGTAAATTTCTGGGTCTTTTTTTCCTAACTTCTCTATGTGTGTGTTAGGGAAGTCAGAATCACCTTAATAGTATCTAAGAAAAAACAGTCTTTGCTGTAGTGGTAACTATATAAGGTATTCTAAGCCCATGTTTTAGTAATCATCAGAACTTATGCTGTCATAGAGCACTCCTTTCCATTTACAGGGTCAGTGAAAGCCTTAATAAGAGCTACATTTCCTGGAGCTATCTGCAGATCATTTCCTGGTTTCTTAGGAAGTTCCTGAAAGCAATTCCTTTGACTGTAGGATTTTCTCTGTCTTCCCTAGGAAAATCTGGAGAGCTGAAGAGTTGGAGCTATTCACGAGACTGAACATCACTTCCTTGTTGACTGATTGGGTGATTGATTCCTGGGAATTCAAACAAACAAATAAAAAAGCACTTTTTTCATTTTATCAGAACTGAACTTAGCTGAATAAGTTATTTTTTACTGATTGTTAAAGTTGGGAGCAGCTGCCAGAGGCCTGCAGAGTTGGTTTTTGTTTTGTTTTGTTTTGTCAACTTAATGCAAACCACAGAGATTTTCTACTTTCTGTTTTCACATGAGTTTTAATGAGGTTCTGTTGAAGCAAAGACCCCTAGACACAAAGTAATGACTTGTTAGTAGTGGAATTATAAGCAACAGGGCAGGCCTTTGCTGGAGGTATTTTGAGAGAAAGGGAGAACAATGGAAACTATTTCTTCAGATGTAGCCCTGTCTTTTGGTAAGAATTGTGCCTACTAATTTTGCAATTTAAAGGATTTCAGGAAGCTTTTTGGTTGAAAAATCTTGTTTTTTTTTTTTTAGACGTAGTCTCACTCTGTCACCCAGGCTGGAGTGCAGTGGTGCGATCTCAGCTCACTGCAAGCTCCACCTCCCGGTTTCACTCCATTCTCCTGCCTCAGCCTCCTGAGTAGCTGGGACTACAGGAGCCCGCCATCACGCCCGGCTAATTTTTTGTATTTTTAGTAGAGATGAGGTTTCGCCGTGTTAGCCAGGATGGTCTGGATCTCCTGACCTCGTGATTCGCCCGCCTTGGCCTCCCAAAGTGCTGGGATTACAGGCGTGAGCCACCACGCCCGGCCTAAAATCTTGTTATTTTAAGTTGAGCATTTTCATTCAAAATCATCCCTAAACTTCATGTTAATTTCACCTGAGAAGGACTATTTTATGCATTTTAGAGGTTGGAAGCAAAAAACAAACAAACAAACAAAAACAGTTGTTTCTACTAGGAAGGTCAAAGAAAATAAAAGTTACTCCATTTTTACTGCCACAGGATGCAGGAAGTGCTGGCCCACATCTAGGACAGCAAGGCCACCCCAGCTTAGATGAAGCTAGCTGCATAACACAAAGCTTTAAAAGTGTGGTTCACACACCACTTGTGGACCTTATTGAATTGCTGATTCGCATTCCTAGAGATTCTGATTCTGTAGGGGTAGGCTGGAGCCTAGGAACCTACCTTTTAAACTAGTTCCATAGGTGATTCTGATGTACATATAGAGTGTGACAGCCATCACTATAGAGAATAGATTGATAAATTACAACCCACGCGTCAAATCTGGCTTGCTGTCTTATTTTGTAAATAAAGTTTTATTGGAATAGAGCAACATTCACTTGTTTACATATTGTCCATGGCCGCTTTTGTGCTACAATGGCAGAGTTGAATGATTATAGAAGACCATATGGCTGGTTAAGTCCAAAATATTTACTAGCTGGCCCTTTACAGAAAAAGTTGGCTGACCCCTTCTCTAAATCAACATTTCTCCTTGGTAACTGAAACTCTATTACAGTCCTGACAATTCCAGCAAACACAGCTGTAGATAGGGTTTAAACTCAAAGATATTTAACTCTTCTTTGGGAACTTAGTCTCCATATGTTTGTTAGTTCTTGCATAATCCACAGTTTCTCTGGGTCTTCAGCCAATCAGAGAGCTCTGTAGCTCCTGAGTAGTCCATTTCTCTGGCCCTACAAGTGAGAGTGATTGGAAGCAAAGCTTATGATTTGTATGATCTTGTATCTCAAAATAGTCCTTAATGATCTAATAGATTAGTAGGCAGTCATCAGGTAGAGACTCCAAAAACCAGACTACTTTCCTAAATATCAAGAAGAAAGGCATTGCTACAGTGATTCATGAAAAGCAGCATTAATAACTTTGGCTAAAGTTTAACAAAGCTAACCACTTCCCCTCTATCAGCCAGCCATCTATGTATCTCCTCTAAATGCAGAGAAGTAAATATGTAGTGCTGTTAATACATTTTTGCTTTTTAAAGTTATGCTTTGTCCTGGCGCAGTGGCTCATGCCTGTAATCCCAGCACTTTGGGAGGCCAAGGCGGGTGGATCACCTGAGGTTAGGAGTTTGAGACCAGCCTGGCCAACATGGTGAAACCCTGTCTCTGCTAAAAATACAAAAAATTAGCCAGGCTTGGTGGCACGTGCCTGTAATGCCAGCTACTCAGGAGGCTGAGGCAGGAGAATCACTTGAACCTGGGAGGCGGAGGTTGCTGTGAGCTGAGTTCGCGCCATTGCACTCCAGCCTGGGCTACAAAAGCGAAACTGTCTAAAAAAAAAAAAAGAAAATAAATAAAGTTATGCTTTTTCCTCTATTCCTAGTTAAATCACAACAAGTTAGTAATCCATAAATGATGTGTCCTGTTTCTCTTTAGTAGAAATTATATTTTTGGCTACCAGTTAAGAAACTTGTACTCCTTTGTCCCTTATGTTACTATAAACTCAAGATGATGAGTTTTGTGGTATTTGACTTCATAGGCAAAATCAAAATTTTTACTTTGTTGCTATTCTGTTTTATGAAATAAACTTCTGTCTATGCATTTGAACTAAGTTTCAGCAAATTCAATCTAAATTGAATAATTCCAGCTCCCAGTTTTATCCTATGTTGCTCATAAAACAGTTCCAAGTATACTGCATTATCTTGAGATTTGAAGATATGGTGCCCACGGGGATTATACTAGGCAAATGCGTTAAGCAGCTCTGGCCTAGGTGTTGTGTATTTTAAGAGACTCTATCTTAGGAGAGCTTAAGTGATTGGGCTGCAGGAAGAAGACATTGTAACCCAGGAATTAAAAATGGATTCAGATTGCCTGATTTTAACACTTTAGTTTCACCATAGGCTAATTATGTGACATTGGGCAAGAGACATAATTCTTCTGTACCTTAGTTTCTACATTTGTAAAATAGAGATGATTTGGTAACTTATTAATAAGATTTTTGTGAGAGATAAATAAAACAAATACATTTTGTAAAGGGTGAGTACTTGGAATATTTTAAACACTGTGCCATTAGCAATTTGGAATTCTGTGTTATGCAGTTCATAAGGTTCTAGCTTGACTTTTTTCTCTCTCCATTAACCCTGTCTCTCACAGATGCAAACCACTCTTAATGGCTTTACTTTCACATCAATGTGAGTGATTCCTAAATATGATTTATTTCCCTTCTCAATTCCATACCCACAGATGCTTATTATTTATTTATGTGTACCTTTCTTATCCCCATACTCTCCCTGTTTGCGATACAACTAGCTCAAAACCTCAGTCATTTTTACCTTGTCTCTCTCTCTCCAGTCCAACTCACCCAACTAGTTTTTCTCATTTGTTACTTCATTTTTGTCCTGGTTCTTCTACCAGATTTATTAGCAACTGCCTGGACTATTAATAAAGCCTCCTACTTAGGCTTTCAATAGATTGTTCTGTTCCTGCTCCATTCCAGTCTGTCCTATATACTGCCATCAGATTGATCAAAGCTGTGGTTTCTTTGTCTATTATTTTGATTCATTTTTAGATATGGTATCATTCATTTTTAAATTTAACATACCAATGAAGATTACAAGACTTAAACATCTTATCAGAAGGGGGCATTTATTTTTTAAATCAAGAAATAACTTTCCAAAAGCATTGCTTTGAATGCCATTCTCTTAAAGTCCTTCAGTGGAACTTTTGAGTGTGATTAGACATGTTCATTATCTTGATTGTAGTGATTTTATGGGTGATGATTTCACACCAACTTATCAAACTGCATACTTTGAAATGTGTAGTTTATTGTACATCAGCACTACCTTAATAAGGTTGTTTTTTTTAAAAAAAAAAAAAAAACCTTCAGCTGCTCCCTACTGTTCATCAAATAACAGTCTGATATTCAAATTCCCCCAGTATCTGGCCCTAACTGCCCTATATAGCCTTAATCAATCATGATTCTCCTCTACAATCCCAATGCTCTAGTATAACCGAGCCAGTCACTAAAGCTGCCCTCCTCCTACTGTTCCCTATGTTTCATATTCCTTTTTCTGAGGCTCTACCTGTAGACATCTTCAAGACCCAACCCAACTGTCATGAAGCCTTCTCCATGAAGGCTATCCATATAACCAGAATAAGAAGTGGTCTTTGCCTCCTTGAACTTTTGTTTGTACCACTTTTATGTTTCTTATCCAAAAAATGGCCTTAAGTTGTAATTATCTGTATAGTCATCTTCCCCACTAGGATAAAGGATTGCTGAATGATACAATTTGTTGTATACTTCTGTAACACCCCTCCTCTTCATTATCTGGCATGTACATCGATATTAAAAATATTCATTAAATGAATGAATAGCTGATTGACTCAGATGAGACTTCAAGTTTGATTATATTTGAAAAGGATGCTAAGCTTTAAGAGTCCTGATGCTCTTTATTTTAAAAAAAAAATGCTTCAGGCTGGGCTCGGTGGCTCACGCCTGTAATCTCAGCACTTTTGGGAGGCCAAGGCGGGTGGATCACCTGAGGTCAGGAGTTCAAGACCAGCTTGGCCAACATGGTGAAACCCCATCTCTACTAATAATACAAAAATTAGCTGGGCGTGGTGGCACATGCCTGTCATCCCAGCCACTCAGGAGGCTGACGCAGAAGAATTGCTTGAACCCAGGAGGCGGAGGTTGCAGTGAGCCGAGATAGCACCATTGCACACCAGCCTGGGTGACAACAGCAAAACTCTGTCTCCAAAAAAAAAAAAAAAACTTCAATTGCAAGTTATTGGTTGACCTTTGCTTCTTGAGGATTTTGAAACCAAAGGCAGAGTATGCTTCCCTGTGTAGTGGGAGGTTGACTATGAAGTCTGCAGCAGGTGAACTGAAGGACTTAGTGAAGTCTCAGAATGCTGTAGTGACAAGCAGTAGATTGAAAGATGGGTAGGGGGACTTTTCCTACCCGGGATGATGTGAAAACATGAGAAAATCAAACAAGCTTCGTTAAAGGTATTTTATAAGCCTCTTCTGTGTTCATTTATAAAAGGAAAAACAAGCCTACTCTAGAGATAAAGGAGGTCATTTATTTCTGGCCATTGCAGTTCTTCAGAGATGGACTCTGAAGCTCAGTATTGACACCATTCCTTTCATAATAATAGCCCTGCTGCTTGGGCAGCAGCATTCAGGAAAGTACCCTTTGCCAGGTTCCTGTGCCTCCATGTAGGAAGGCCCATCTGCTCCTGGCATAATGAAAGTGCCTAGCTAGAGACAAGAAGCACAGACTGTGCCAGACAAGAGACTTGGAGTAATTGATATAATGAGTAACCAAGTGAGAGTAGATCCCTCACCAAAGCGTAACCACATTAGCTACTTTATCACAACAGACTTATTTTTAGGTATACTCAAGACCATGTTAAGCACTGTGGGTTATACAAACGCATAGAATACACTATCATTGCCTTTGATAAATCTGAAAATACAGGGGACATCTTTTGAATAAACTCTTAAATAAACTTATAGGAGACAAGGAAATTGAATAAATGAAAACTTCTATAGCTGAATATACAGATTTATATTGAAGAGATTCAGACTAAGGGAAGATCATGGCGAAACAGAGTTAGGGGCAAGATTTTTGAAGAAAAATTGAGCTTTATGGTTTTATTTTCATTGTGGTGAAACTTAGGGGTAAAGGTGAGAAGTAGAAAAAAGTGGTAGTAGAACGAACGAGGTCTGTAGGTGATGTGCTTGGATAGGTTGGGTGGGGATAGTTGACAGGGAGGGGCTTGGTGACAAGCTAAGGAATCTGGACTTGTTCCCGTAGATCATCAATAACTATTCTGATTCTTTAGCATTAAAGTGCAGTTTTAAGAACTTTCATCCAGCCTTGGTTAACAGGAGATACTAGAATGGAAACATATAGATAGGAAGATACTCTAAGTTTATTGCTATAGGAATCCGGGTGTGAAAGTGGGAATGGGGCTAAGTGGGAATGGAAAAGACAGGTTGAATCTAAAAGACATTGAGGAGAAATTTCCAATAGGCCTTGGTGATCAAAAGAATGCTTACAAAGGACTGAATGTTTCACAGACAGTATATATATCCCATATCAAATCAATGACCCTGGAATGTAGGGAAAGGCAAGAGTAGTGAAACTAAAGCTAAGGTTGGGTAAGTATCTTCTCCAGGGTAAAACATGTCTCCCCCTCATCTAAAAGACAGAAGGATGTTCTGAGAATCCTGAATGTTTTTCCTATTGAATAGTTTATCTTACCCTTGTAGTCTTCCCTGAAATTCTCCTCAATTAATGTTTATTGTAATCTAATTCCTGACCTCTGTGATACTGATATTTCCCCTTAAACTAGCATACTCCCCTCTTCTTGGAACAGGTGACATGGTGACCAGCACTCTTCTCTGTTGTGTTCTTCCTTCTGACCAAGCACTACAGCCACATGAGGCAGCAGTGAGATGTGGCCTTGTCACTCCTCTTCAGGTGCTTATCCACAATTTACTTCCCACAATTTACTTGATGGTTCTGGCAAAATGTTTGTGAGTCTTTTTTTATTGCATGGAATTGTGTTCACTTAGGTTTTATGCCAGACTGGTTTAAATGATTCATCATAAATTCTGAAACTCTTTTAGGTATTTGCCAACCTTTACTGCATGTCTTGTTTCCCCTCCCCAGCTCTTTATCTTCCCGCAAGATACAAATGAGTCAACACAATCTTCATCAAAAAGCATTGTGCTCTGTAGAAGGAAGTGTGATAAATTAAGTAGTAGCTTATTTTTTTAAAAAAAAAATAATAGCTCCAGCTACTTGGAAGTCTGAAGTGGAAGGATCACTTGAGCCCAGGAGTTCCAGACTAGTCTGGGTAACATAGCAAGACCCTGTCTCAAAACAAAACAAACAAACAAACAAAAAAACCCAAAACAAAAAAAATAATTAAAGTTTTTTGTTTTCTTCTTCAGTTTGTTTTTTGCTTGCTTGAGTGGTCTGCTCAGGAAATGGCCTTGTAGCTAAGTGGGTTTTGGGGGTTTGGTTATTTCACAATGTCTCTATACCTTTTGGGTTTACAGTAGAATAGATTGCTGCTTGCTTTTTTAAAAAAGTGTGAAGTTCTGCCAAGACACTATTTACAGATTCTTAGATTTTGAGGAAAGGGACTATGGAGGCATCTAAGCAAAATTTTTTTTGTTATCTCCTATTTATTTCTGTCTTCTCCCTCATTAAGAAGAAACAAGAAAGTTAGTAAGAGATTGTGCTGAAATATAGGCTTGAGAAAAATAGATTTAAATTTTATTAGGCAGGTTTGCCTCATCAATTAATAAAAATTAATAAAGTTCTAGTTTTGTGTAATTGAGGACATTCTAAGGGTACAGAGAAATTATAAAACTATATTATCTTCTTTGTCCAAACATAGAAAATCATTTTCCTTTTAGGATTATGCTTTGCTACTCTGCAATTAAGCAAGTTAGTTTGGAATGTTTTTATTTTTATTTTCTTTCCCAAAGTTACCTAAGGAGTGTTTTAATTTTTATCAGTAATCATGTCTGTATCTTTAGTTCTGAGTTGCTTTATTAACTGGCTAAGGATGTTTTTGTTTTGTTTTGTTTTGTTTTTACCATATTCTGGCTTTCTCAGTGTTGTATGCCAATCTCCTAAGACAATGTTTAGAATTTAGTGGGTACTCAATAAATTTGTTGAACAACTTAATGGATTTTTAAATGTTTATTTCTAATTTTAAAAACGGTATGATAATTTTAGAAAGCAAACTTTATCATAATTCTAAAATTATGATAATTTTAGAAAGCAAACTTACACAATTGATTCTTTTTTGCTTCTTTTAGTCTTTAACTATGTACACACTTTTACATGGTTTTAGTTATTACAAACTTGAAATTTTGTATTTTTATAAATCAAAGATTTCCCATATTTTATGTTTTAAAATAGCCAAAGTAAACATCACGTTACTTAGAGCAGCAAGAAATTCTCTCTTAATTCTAGATGGGGATAATTTAAGAAATATACTATTCCTAACAAATATTGCTGAAGAATGAGGGTTTATTTTAATTTATGTATACTGGGATTGAGTTTCTTAATTTGAAATATTGTCTTTAAGTTGTCTATAACCAAGATATCTCGATGATCTTTCTTTTTTTTTTGCAGTACTTAGTAAAGAGCATGCAGTATCTTTAATGTTCAGATTAAGCAGTGTTCAGAATCATGATATCCTGAAGGAAGTTTGAATAATGTTGCAAAACAGAAAGGATTGCTAATATCTTAAATAGAGGAAGTCCTAACAACACATTTCCCAGTTTTCTTCAGGATCAAGACTAATTTTGTTAACATTTGTTGAACTTCTGCCTTCAATAAAGATGATATACTGATTTTTGGATGTTCTCACACTGAATTAGGCACTTGGGTAGACTTGTACCCATTGAGAGGTTATGCAAGCTCAAATGTGGAAAGTTTTTCTAGAAGAGCCTGCCTTTCAGGGCCAAAATGCCACAGGCACAGCATAACTTCCTGAAACAAATTTATTTCCTAAGACATTGGTTGCAGAGTAGAAATGTGTTCTTTAGAAACAGTTCTTCAGGCTTTCTGCCCTAAAAGTTACAATGTTGTCAGCAAGGTGGTTGATTTTACTTTCTTTTTGTTCCATCACAGTTTACCAGCATTACATATGCAGGGTATTGAGCTAACTGTCTGGTCAGGTGCTCCTTGTGGGGGCCACTTGCTCTAGATCCTATATAGACCAACACTCTTAGTCTTTATATCCAGAACCCAAGTGAAGCTTCAAAGGTTACTGGGAGGGTTGAAGAGGTGCTGAAATCAACACTTCCCTTAATGGAGGTCAGCACTTCCCCAGTCCTGGGAGAGACACAGACTGTCAGAAGCATCTGACTTTGCTTCATTCAAAAGGGAGTTTGAGGTATATATAGCAGACTTAAAAGTTATGAATAAAAATACCTTCTGTGATGAACAGAAGTTTCTCATTGATCACACTGACAAGAAACCTTTCGATGAACAGTCCGGGTAGAAGACATGTCACTCACTCTAAACAGTGTCTGTCTTCTTTCCTGGGCCTAACTGAACTTTGCAGAGTTCATTTGGGACATAAGGAAACAGAAGGTGTCAACTTGGCCCTTGTGCTCACTGGGAAAATGGGGAGAGACAGAACTCATTCAGGAGACCTGTAATTCTGTTCTTTCTCTGGGAGGCAAGAAGAAAGGTGAGTTTTGCATATGGGTGATGGAATGGAATAATCTCAGTTAAGCAGACCACACTTTACGTTCTAGTTAGCCTCTTGTTTGTTAAAAATTTGAATTGTAACCAGGTTCCTTTGCTGAGAAGGAAGGCACTAGGGCCCTGGAGTGAGATGATGGCTGTGTTATGTGACCACAGAAGGTGGTTACGTACTAATTTCCTCTAGGGCTTGTGATGAAGTCAGTAAACCACAGCCTTCAGCATGCTCTGCTCAGGCGGCAGCAGTGGCTTTTTGGAGGTGTCTCGGCCATGACACACATTTGACATGCCCTCCCTCAACCTACTTATAGACTATTTTTCTTGCTCTGCAGCATGGACCAAAGAGAAATTCTGCAGAAGTTCCTGGATGAGGCCCAAAGCAAGAAAATTACTAAAGAGGAGTTTGCCAATGAATTTCTGGTGAGTCCTGTATGTGACCCTCTCAGGGTAGTTACATACACTATTTAACTGACTATGGGGGTCCAATTTTCCGAGACCAAATTGCTCTTGGGATAAAGTAAATATGAGACCTTGGCGGGGAAGACAGAAAAAAAAAAGTTTGACTTCTCTGAGTGGTTTGCATGTATTTCAGGTATTCTCTCAAAATTACTGGTTTTAATATTTTGTTTGCTAGTTCTTTGGAGTTTGGTTAGGAATCCTACAGAAGACATATACAACTCCAGATGTAAAAACACTAATATTAATTGAACATCCAGATTTCCCCAGGTATCTAAGTTGTGGTTTATGCTTTATATTACTAATTTTAATTAATATTAAGAAGAAAGAGACCAATGTTAACTTTTCATGCAATATTACATTTTTAGCCTCCCCTCTGGGATTCTATTTGGTTGACAAAGGTTTTTGAAGAGCACCAAAACTACCCACTGCCACAGTTTTTTTTGTTGTTGTTGTTTGTTTTTTTAAGATTCAGAATCTTACTCTGTCACCCAGGCTGGAGTGCAGCAGTGCAACCACAGCTCACTGTAGCCTTGAACTCCTGGCCTCAAGTGATTCTCTTGCCTCAGCCTCCTGAGTAGCTGGGGCCACAGGTGTGTATCGCCATGCCTGGCTAATTTAAAAAAAAATTGTTTTTTTCTTTTTTGTAGATACGAGCCTTGCTTTTTTGCCCAGGCTTGTCTCGAACTCCTGGCTTCAAGCAATCCTCCCATCTTGCCTCCCAAAGTGCTGGGATTACAGGCATGAACCACTATGTCTGGCCATCATTTTTCTTTTCTTTTTCATATGAAAAATATATTATAACATGTGTTTTTTCAATAACAGGGCTTCCTTAACTTCTTTTGCTTGGAGAAGTGGAATGGCTAGGATGGAGAGTAGAGACAAGTGTAGGTCAAGGAGAGAAACATGAGTACAAGGTAGCTTCAGGTTGGGTGGATTAGATTACCCAGAAGAACAGTGAATCTCCTTTGAGAGAACTGTGATTATTGATGCAATGGCAGCTGGGTAGGCCTCATTCACCCTACAAGCTGAGATATCAGATAACATAGGGTGTCTAATAGTACCTATCATGTATTTTAGAATGCTTACAGCTGGCGTTTCAGAGATATAAGAATTTTAAACCTTAGCTCTTCAGTTGTGAAGAAATGGGTGGAAAGAGGGGAACTGAAGTACAAACCTGAAATTAAATCATGATTTTTTTTCACCAAATTATGAAGTATTTGACATGTTCTTAAATCTCTCTGTTTTCTAACTTATAAAATGGGGATAATAATACATGTCCTACCTATCCTCACAGGATTGTTGTGATGATTAAATATCAATAACAATCATTAAATGTGGTCATTTATTGAGTACCATTTATTGAGCACTTAGTATGTACCAAGTTCAGTTCTAAGCACTAAAAATACAGCGGTGAACAAAAAGAACCAAAACCTTTGCCTCCTGGAGCTAACACTCTGGTACCGGATAGCAGATGTGAAAACACTCTGAAAGTCTTGAGTAATTAGATATTATTGAGTGATTAGATATTATGATAGGAACTCCGATGTCAGCTCAACATGGATAATCTTGTGGTACTATGAAAAATGTGCTCTCACTGCCACTGGCTGATCAGTCTGAGCCCCTCTGGTAGAGTTACCTGAAAGGAGATAAGTAGGAAGTTCTAGCACATGTGTATACATGTCCCTGCCCCTGGACTATAATTCCTAAGCCAAGGTAACCCAAGGCATAGATGTAAAAAGTGAGCTGAGGGGCAGTGCCGGCCTCTGTTTTATTTTGGTTGTGTTTTTTAAAATAATGTAGACTGGCCGGGGGCAGTGGCTCACACCTGTAAACCCAGCACTTTGGGAGGCCGAGGCGGGTGGATCACCTGAGGTCAGGAGTTTGAGACCATCCTGGCCAACATAATGAAACCCCATTTCTACTAAAAATACAAAAATTAGCTGGGCGTGGTGGCAGGCACCTGTAATCCTAGCTACTCAAGAGGTTGACACAGGAGAATCGCTTAAACTCGGGAGGCAGAGGTTGCAGTGAACTGAGATAGAGCTGTTGCACTCCAGCCTGGACAACAAGAGCGAACTTCTGTCTCAAAAAAAAAAAAATGTAGACTATATCCCTAATATTTTACCTTTTCTCAGCTAAAGTCATTATAATTTCTCACCAAAATATAGCAGCTACCTCCTAACTGGCTTCTCTGCCTCTAGCCTTGCCCCACCTTCAGTCAATTTTCAGTTCAACACCCAAGTGATCTTTTAATCATACAAATCTGGTCTTTTTTTTGGGGGCGACAAAGTTTTGCTCTTGTCACCCAGGCTGGAATGCAATGACACCATCTCGGCTCACTGCAGCCTCCACCTCCCTGGTTCAAGCGATTTTCCTGCCTCAGCCTCCCAAGTAGCTGGGATTACAGGCATGAGCCACCACGCCTGGCTAATTTTGTATTTTTA
Organism: Homo sapiens; assembly: GCF_000001405.40. Taxonomy (NCBI): domain Eukaryota; kingdom Metazoa; phylum Chordata; class Mammalia; order Primates; family Hominidae; genus Homo; species Homo sapiens. The sequence goes on along the minus strand of NC_000001.11, from coordinate 113,869,053 downwards.
GTAGAGACAAGGTTCCACCATGTTGGCCAGGCTGGTCTGTCCAACCAGGTAATCCACTCGCCTCAGCCTCCCAAAGTACTAGGATTATAGGCATGAGCCACCACGCCCAGCCAAATCTGGTCATTTTTTCCCTGCTTAAAAACTTGTTATAGTTTTTTTTAGCTGCTTAATATTGTGCAATATAATACACATTTAGAAAAGTACATAAAACATTTAAGTATAATTATAAAGCAACCATTAGCAGTGCAACCACTACCCAAGTCAAGAAACTGTCAGACCCCCGAAGACCCATGCCCCATCAGGTCCCCTACACCCATCTGCCCCTGTCCTGTCCTACCCTGGCCAAGGGATAATCACTATCCTGACTTTTATATTAATCACTTCCTTGCTTTTCTAGCTCCTGATTTTAAGGACCTTGTTTTTGGGTAGTGATTAAGTGTAACCTCACTGTTCACTGACTCATGTCCTCCAGTGGAAAAATAGAGTCTTCCTCTCAGCTCCATCTAAAGGTTTCAGATGAGACACCAGATAGAGAGCTTTGGGGGAGTAGAGGAGTAGTGAATGAGGCTAGACTGCTTGCTTGGACAAGGTAAATACTGCCACTAAATCAGAGGGCTTTCCATCTGGTCATGTTCTGTGTCCCATCTTAAGCCCTTAATGTATTCTCCCAGGATTTTATGTTTCCGAGGTTTGAGGACTCATTCTGTGACACAAGGCCACTGTTCACTTAACTGGTGGTAACTTTAAGGGAATTATCAAAAGGCATCTCTATTTCCAGGTAGATTCCCTGAGCATCCTAACCCCTTTACCCTCTCCCCAGGTCCATGGTTCAGATTTCAGTCTCCACTTCCTTCTTGGCCATACATCTTTGTACAGAGAACAATACAGATGGCTGTCTGTATCCCCAAGTTCTACATCCTTGGATTCAACCAACTATGGATCAAAAATATTTGAAAAAAATACCAAAAATAACACAACAACAAAAAATAAAAAATATAAAGCATAACAACAATTTATCTAGCATTTACATTGTATTAGGTATTATAAGTAATGTAGAGATGATTTAAAATATACAAGAGGTCATGTATAGTATGTGTAAATACTATGCCATTTTATATGAGGGACTTGAGCATCCACAGATTTTGGTAATTGAAGGGGGTGGTCCTGGAACCAGTCCCCCACAGATACTGTGAGAGGACTGTATTCATAATTGGATGTGGCAGTCCTGTTAATGGCAGCTGAAGCCAGTGCCATGCTGCTTATGTCTTTTCCCTGTGCCAGGACTAAATTCAGTAACTTTTCTGTAGTTGAAACTACCACTGACCACCCATCTAAGGTTTTTATACATTCATATAAACATTCATTGAGTGCTTATTGTGTGCAAAGTAATGCCCTAGATGCTAGGAATGCAATGCAATGCTCCATGCTTTAGTGGAGCTTATGTTATAAGGCAATAGATATGTCTTAGAGAGGCAGACATTAAACAACTAATTGCTATATTAAATATTTAATATAATTGTGATAGTCTGGGTGAGGTGGTCAAGGAAACATCAACATTCATTTTCTTATTTACTACTCCTTAAGAAAACCCTGTGAAATAGCTACAAATGTCATTTCTGACTTACAAATGAGGAAACTGAAGCTCTGAGAAGTTAAATAATTGGCCTAAGCTCACTCAGCTGTTCAGCCATAGAGATGAAATTTAACTCAGATCTGTCTTATTACAGAGCTGTAACATTAATCCTTATCCAATAGTGTTCTACTTCATCCAATGACACTGAGTCTCTCAAAGGACCTAGTTTTAGGGTAAGTTTTAGGGTAAGGACATAGTTAGTATAGTTTCTACACAGCAGAAACAGCAGGATGCAACTATACTGTTGAAATTTCTAAAGGTATTTTCAAACGTTCCTTATTATTGTTATAAAACAATATTATTGAAAGTTAAAAGAAAGTAAACTCACCATAATACCAACATTCTAACAAATCAAAACTTTTTTTGTGGATCTTGGCCAGGTGAGGTGGCTCGCGCCTGTAATCCCAGCACTTTGAGAGGCTGAGACGAGCAGATGGCTTGAGTCCAGGAGTTCAAGACAAGCCTGGGCAACATGATGAAACCCCGTCTCCACTAAAAATAAAAAATTAGCCAGAAGTGGTGGCACATGCCTGTAATCCCAGCTACCTGGGAGGCTGAAGTGGGAGGATCACTTGACCCCAGGGGGTGGAGGGTGTAGTGAGCTGAGATTGCACCACTGCACACCAGCCAGGGAGACAGAGTGGGACCCTGTCATACACACACATGAAAACCAACAATAGCTTTTTTTGTGGATCTTCTAGTTCTTGTCCATTTATGTAAATTTTTAATATTATTGTAATTATAGCATAGATACAATTTTGTGTTCTCATATTTTCACTTACCATTATACCAAAATTATCAGGCTGATTAAAATGTATATGATTTTTAATAGTTGATGATGCAGCATCATCACATGGACATATATTTGTCTATGTGGGTTTTGTTGTTGTTGTTGTTGTTGTTGTTGTTTTGAGATGGAGTCTCACTCTGTCACCAGGCTGGAATGCAGTGGCATGATCTCGGCTCACTGCAACCACCACCTCCCGGGTTCAAGCTATTCTCCTGGCTCAGCCTCCCCAGTAGCTGGGACTACAGGAGTGTGCCACCACACCCAGCTAATTTTTGTATTTTTAGTAGAGATGGGGTTTCATCATGTTGGCCAGGATGGTCTCGATCCCTTGACCTCATGATCTGCCTGCCTTGGCCTCCCAAAGTACTGGGATTACAGGTGTGAGCCACCGCGCCCAGCCTGTCCATCTGGTTTTATAATGAAAGAATAATAATCATAATAGAGAATGCTTCTATACCTCTTACAGACACTGTTCTAAACACTCATATATAAACTCATTTGCTCCATTGAGGAAGGTACTGTTTTCATTTCCATTTTATAGGTGAGGAAACAAACAGAGAGGTCAATTAACTTGCTCAGGGTCACATAGCTAGTAAGTGGTGGAACTGAATTTCAATTTCAGGTAGTCTTGCTTTGTCATCTGAAGTCATAAAAACTTTGGAGTCATATAAATCTTGGTTTGAATTTAAGTTATGCCCATGATTAGCTATGTGACCTTGGATTAAGTCAGTAAAATGTGGGAATAATATTCACTTTGAAGAACTGCTGTGAAGATAATAAGTATATAAACTTCCTGAGACATAGTAATACCCAAATAATTTATTTCTCCATTGTTAAACAGTTATTTCTAGTTTTTCATGATTATTGATAACACTAATATGAATATATTTTTCCATGTGGTTTTTCCCTTCTTTTGGATTAATCCTTAGGCTAGATCCCCAAAAATGTTATTACTGGGTCAAAGACTATTAGCATCTAATTGGTTAAGTATTACCAAATGTATTTCCAAAGGAGTTTTTCTAATTTGCAATATATGAATTTATCATCTTCTCTACCACCTTGCTAGACTTAATAAATATAAAAGAGAATAAAAGATGAAAACATTTTGCCTACTTACTATGTACTAGGCAATCTGCTAAGTGCTTTGCCGTACGTGATCTCGTTTAATCGTTACAACTACCCCAAGAGGAAAATATTATGTTCATTTTTACCCATGAAATGGAAAAGCCCGGATTTGAAACCAGTCTGTTTTTTTTCAAAGCCTCTTAACCTCTGTACTTAAACTGTATCAGGTAAAAATCATGACTTTTTTTCTGATATAACTAGCATAAAATAGTACTTTATTATGTTAATTTCATTCATTGGATTTCTGAGCCTTAAAATGTTCCATGATTATTTTAAATCTGCATTTCCTTATATACGTTTTCTGTTCATCTACTTTCCACAGTAACAACAGCTAATCCATAGAACTGTGTTCCAGACTCTGTGCTAAAAGTGCTTCACAAATAGAACTTCATTTACCTCCCAAAGAACCTTTTAAAATGGCTATCAATGTCCTACATGGTGTCTCTCCAGCTTCTTATAGCATGCTCATTTTCTTGTCCTTGCCATGCTTCCTCTGCCATAGGGCCTTGCACACATGTTGTTACCTCCGCCTTGAACATTCCTCACACTCCTCTTTACCTAGATAACATTTGGTAATTTTTTTTTTTTTTTTTTGAGACGGAGTCTCGCTCTGTCACCCAGGCTGGAGTGCAGTGGCACGATCTCTGCTCACTGCAACCTCTGCCTCCTGGGTTCAAGTTATTCTCCTGCCTCAGCCTCCTGAATAGCTGGGACTACAGGTGTGTGTCACCATGCCCGGCTAATTTTTTGTGTTTTTAGTAGAGACAAGGTTTCACTGTGTTAGCCAGGATGGTCTCTCGATCTCCCGACCTCGTGATCTGCCCACCTTGGCCTCCCAAAGTGATTATAGGCGTGAGCCACCATGCCTGGCCTTTTTTTTTTTTTTTTTTTGAGACAGGGCCTCACTTGGTCATCTAGGCTGGAGTGCAGTAGTGTGATCATGGCTTACTGCAGCCTCAACCTCTAGGGTTCCCATCTCAGCCTCCCAAAGTGTTGAGATTACAGGTGTGAGCCACCATGCCCGACTAATAATTCTTTAGATCTCAATTTGGTGGTCAATTCTTCAAAGAAAGCTTTCTTTTCTTTTCTTCTTTTCTTTCTTTTTTTTTTTTTCTGGAGACAGGGTCTTGCTCTGTCACCCAGGCTGGAGTGCCGTGGCTTGATCATAGCTCACTGCAGACTTGACTTCCTGGACTCAAGTGATCCTCCAGCCTCAGCCTCCCAAAGTGCTGAGATTACAACCATGAGCCACCACACCTGGCCAGAGAAAGCTTTCTGGACCTCTTTGAATAGATCAAATCTTCTATTGTAAGTTCTTATTAGCACCATTTGTTATTTTTCATAGCACTTACCACAATTTCAGTTTTTTGTTTGTTTGTTTGTTTGTCTGTTTTGAGATGGAGTTTTGCTCTTTTTGCCCAGACCAGAGTGCAATGGTGCGATCTTGGCTCACCGCAAGTGACTCTCCTATCTCAGCCTCCCGAGTAGCTGGGATTGCAGGCAAAGTTGCAGTGAGCCGAGATCGCGCCACTGCACTCTAGCCTGGATGACAGAGTGAGATCCCATGTCAAAAAAAAATATATATATATATATATATATTTATTAAATATAAAGGATTCATTGAATCCTAACAGAAAGAAGATACCTAGTTCTGAAGGCCAGGTTTAGGTGCTAACAGTTTAAACTATACTAGAAATCAGACTGGTACTATTGCAACTTCTGGAGATTCATTAGAAGACCAGAGACATATCAAAGATCTGGCTACATCTTGGTTCTATAAAGGAGACATAGATACATCCTGGTTCTGTGTATATTATAGTAATGATACTAACCAAACAGTTATCAACAAGGTACTTCCTACAGAGCAAGTGCACAAACATCTATGAATTGACACTACTCATTCCTGTGAATCAGCCTATCACTTGAACATATTTATCAGCATTTCTTGACCTTTGTGCACATTAAGGTGCAATTTTTAAAAATGCCACCACCAGAATAAATGTATCACATCACCTCTGAAGCTGATTTCTCTAACACCATCTCCAGCCTCTCACTAGGGACCATCTAGTCCTACATTTTCATTTACTCACAGGACACTTAAAACACATTTCTTGGCTGAGCGCAGCGGCTCACGCCTGTAATCCCCACACTTTGGGAGGCTGAGGCAGGCGGATCACTTGAGGTCAAGAGTTCAAGACCAGCCTGGCCAACGTGGTAAAACCCTGTCTCTAATAAAAATACAAAAGTTAGCTGGGCATGGTGGCAGGTGCCTGTAATCCCAGCTACTCAGGAGGCTGAGGTGGGAGGATCACTTGAACCTGGGAGGCAGAGGTTGCAGTGAGCCAAGATTGCGCCACTGAACTCTCTGCTGGGTGACAAGGCAAGATTCTGTCTCAAAAACCAACCAACCAACCAACAACACACACATTTCTTGCCATTTTCTCACATTTTATGTATCTAAAGTTGAACCTCTTGGTTTACTCACCCCAATTTAGCTATTGCCTACCCACCTACCCATTTGCCCCACTATTGCACTGGAAACTAACCTCGATAAGTTTGTCAGTCTTGTTGAAGATGATTGCATTGCACGCTCGTACAATTCAGTCTTGTCCTCCATTCCTACTGGTAGTTCTCCTGATTACTGGATTTAGAAGCCTGAGCTCCTAATGCCATTCCTTACCACTTGTACTTCTTCTGTCCTGATGGAGGCTTGGTATAATACTGACCTATATTTGCAAGGCACTGAGGAACTACCTTGCAGAGTTCTCGAGACAGCCAAACTTTGTGTTCTCCCACCTAGCACAGGAGGGCCAAGTTTAATTTTCCTCTCCCTAAAATGTATCTAAAATGCTACGTCTTCTATCCAGTAATGTAGTCCTTCAAGGCAAAGATATCGTGGTCTTGTGCTTTCTTTTACTTTCTGTTCTTTTTTGGGAGTGACTTTATTTTATTTACTAGTCTGTGAGAATAACATGCAAATGACTCAATCCGAATTTCTAGAATCTAATACTCCTTGTTATACTGGCCAGGATCCCCATTCTCCTCTCCTTTCTTGAAACGAAAGGGGTAGTATCATCTACAAACCAAATGAACTTACTATTAGCTTATCAAGCACACACAGAATCTGGTTTCTCACACATTCCACCCTATTTCAGGGCCCACGAGGGATGTTGAGCTCTCTCTTCACTTTATTCTCTTTTTTATTTTTATTTTTATTTTTTTTGAGGCGGAGTCTCACACTGTCACCCAGGCTGGAGTGCAGTGGTGTGATCTCAGCTTACTGCAATCTCTGCCTTCCAGGTTCAAGCGATTCTCCTTGCCTTAGCCTCCTGAATAGCTGGGATTACAGGGGTCTGCCACCATGCCCAGCTAATTTTTTTTGTATTTTTGGTAGAGACGGGGTTTCACTATGCTGGCCAGGCTGGTCTCGAACTCCTGACCTAGTGATCTGCCTGCCTCGGCATCCCAAAGTGCTGGGATTACAGGTGTGAGCCACCGCACCCAGTCTCTTCACTTTATCCTCTTGGCAACTATTCCCCTGACTTCTCTTGATGGTACTTCCTCTAGGGAACTCACACCCCTACCTTGTAGTTGGCAAAGAAATACCTTCACCCTTTAGATCTCATATCTTTTCTTCACAAACTTAAACCCATCCCCATGACCCTGCTTCCTCTTTTATACCCTTTTGCTTTCTACTTTCAGGGTTCCTCCTTTTCTGGTGTAGTTTATTACTTTTTCTGCCCTAATTTTGCCCTAATTTGTTCTTTCTTGGGATATTGGAGCCCGGGAGTCTGGCAGGAAGAGAGGTGGAAGAGAAAAATGAAGCCTGCCGGGCGCGGTGGCTCATGCCTATAATCCCAGCACTTTGGGAGGCCGAGGTGGGGGGATCACTTGAGGTCAGGAGTTCAAGACCAGCCTGGCCAACATGGCGAAACCCTGTCTCTACTAAAAATACAAAAAAAAATTGGCCGGGCGCGGTGGCTCACGACTGTAATCCCACCACTTCGGGAGGCCAAGGCGGGCAGATCACGAGGTCAGGAGTTCCAGACCATCCTGGCCAACATGGTGAAACCCCGTCTCTACCAAAAATACAAAAAATTGGCCAGGCATGGTGGCGGGCGCCTGTAACCCCAGCTACTTTGGAAGCTGAGGCATGAGAATTGCTTGAACCTGGGTGGCAGAGGTTGCAGTGAACCGAGATCATGCCACTGCACTCCAGCCTGGGCGATAGAGCAAGACTTTGTCTCAAAAACAAAAACAAAAACAAACAAACAAAAAAACAGAAAGAAAAAGGAAGACTTCACAGTGGTATGACCTTAAGATAAGATGTTTGAGGGAAAAAAATCAAATCTTTCATACATTACAAATGAATAATTCTGTAGGCATTTCCTGTGTGATGTTTTGCTAAGAGTGTCTGCTTTTGTCATCCAGCTAGATTACTCGAGGGGGAGGAAAGGAGTAGGAAAAATGAAAGCCATTCTGCCTTATTGTTGAAGGTAGCAGTGAAGGCAGCTAAACAAATATAGGACACACATACACACACACACCCATCACCTTTATCTGTAACATTTTGCCAAATTAATTGAAGGATATCTTACGCAAAGGGCTTTGTGTATAGCATTCTCCCTAGAAAGCGTTCCACAAGCAAAATAAAACAAAAATAAATAAAAACAGTATAACAAGGAGTATGCACTGAGCTTAGTTCTGGAGACTCCTAGAAGAAACTGTTCTGGGACTTGAGATCTTTTCAGCAGCCCTGGGATCAACAGCAACCTGAAAATGATCATTCTGAAGTTGCTTAAGAGCAGGGAGATTTGAAAAATTGGTGTAACTTCAGCTGAAATTCAGCCTAGTCTTTCATGTGTCCTTAAATTCCCAAATTAGTCCACTTGTATCCATATCCATCTTGAAGTAAAAATATGCTATAAAGATAGTTCAGTAGCTTCTTGGGGTTCAAAGTTAAACAAACAAACAAACAAAAAGATATCAGTTCAGTATCTCTCCTCTCAAATCCAGTTCTGAAAATCCAGAGGAATTCAAACTACAGTAGGCTCTCTTTATATACGGAGGATGTGTTTGAAGACCTATAGTAGATGCCTGAAACTGCAGATAGTACCAAATCTTACGTACACTATGTTGTTTTTACCTATACATACATATCTATAATTAAGGTCAATTTATAAATTAGGCACAATAAGAGATTAGCAATAATAGCTAGTAATACAATAGAACAATTATGATAATCTACAGTAATAAAAGTTATGTGAGGCCAAGGAAGGTGCATTGCTTGAGCCCAGGAGTTTGAGACCAGCCTGGGCAACATGGTGAAATCCCTTCTCTACTGAAAATATGAGAACTATCCAGGTGTGATGCTTGTGCCTGTGGTCCCAGCTTTCAGGAGGTAAGGCTGAGGTGGGAGGTGAGGCTGAGGTGGAAGAATCACCTGAGCCCAGAAAGTTGAGGCTGCATTGAGCTGTGGTCAAGCCACTGCACTCCAGCCTGGGTGACAGAGTGAAACTTTATCTCAAAAAAAAAAAAAAAAAAAAGTGACTGCTTTTGGAACTGAAATCTTTGAAATTTTGCTAGATATAGAGAAATTTTATTCAGCTTAAGCTCCACTTCCACTTAGAAAAAAAAGCGATCTGAAGTAAAAAGACTAATAGAACTTAATTATTTTCCAGTTGACCATTTAACTAAAAAGCAGTTATAAAGAAAGTAAATTAAGCTTTTAATATCTGCCCATTGGGTGGAGCATATAGCTTGCTTCCAGAAGATATTTGGTTCTTAAAATATTCACAAGTTTCACTTTTAAGTTCACGCTATCTATGGCTCAGCTGCAGTAAGTGTGATCTTTTCACTTCCCCAAATGTCACTGAACTCAGGTCTCCTTATGCTCTGCAGCTCTGTCCTGAACGGAGTCAGAACCAGAAGATAATAAAAGGGTTGAGGTAGAATGTTTTGCCAGTGGAAAAGGAAAGCTCTTTAGAGATAGCTTCTTACCTCATTTCTCTAGGAAGATTAATTTTTCTTGGAATCTTATTACAGAAGCTGAAAAGGCAATCTACCAAGTACAAGGCAGACAAAACCTATCCTACAACTGTGGCTGAGAAGCCCAAGAATATCAAGAAAAACAGATATAAGGATATTTTGCCCTGTAAGTTCCATTTCTCTCTATAAACTCATACTTTCTCCCAAATTCAATCATTACTATCTCTTTGTACCCATTGCTTACTGATCCTGATCTTGGAACATGGCATTGACAACTTAGTTTGTACTATTTATGACTGCAAAAGAATATTCATTCATTCATTCATTCATTCACTCACTTGTTCACTCATGAGCATACACTATTCACAGTGTTAGGCCCTGATTTAAATCTGCTGACTAAGCCCTCTTAATTGTACTATGTCTGTCTTTTGTATTATAGATGATTATAGCCGGGTAGAACTATCCCTGATAACCTCTGATGAGGATTCCAGCTACATCAATGCCAACTTCATTAAGGTACAGTGAAAGAAAATAAAAGCATTCCATATTTCTCTAGATACCCAAAAAAAGGGGAGGGCTGGCTGGACTCAGTGGCTCATGCCTGTAATCCCAGCACTTTGGGAGGCTGAGGCGGAAAGATCACTTGAACGCAAGAATTTCAGACCAGCCTGGGCAACATATGAGACCCCATCTCAACAAAAAGTTAAAAAATTAGCCAGGTGTGGTGGCATGCGCTTGTAGTCCCAGCTACTGGAGAGGCTGAGGAAAGGGGATTGCCTGAAGCCAGGAGGTCAAGGCTGCAGTGAGCTGTGATTATGCCACTGCACTCCAGCCTGGGTAACACAGTGAGACCATCTCAAAAAAAAAAAAAAAAGGAAGCGGAGGACTAGGTGAGAACAGGGTATTATTTGTAGTCACCCCGTGTAATTTCTGTTCCCCTTTAGGGAGTTTATGGACCCAAGGCTTATATTGCCACCCAGGGTCCTTTATCTACAACCCTCCTGGACTTCTGGAGGATGATTTGGGAATATAGTGTCCTTGTAAGTATGGTGTTGCTTTTGTTACTTTATTCTCTACTTTATTAAAAACAGTGCTTTTAAAAAATTGGTCAGTGGAACTTCAGGGTTCAGGCATCTTTTAGTCAGAATCACAATGCCATTCTTGTCCAAGGAAATGAAAGTTCTCAGCCAGGTGTACTCTGGGAGGCCAAGAGGGGTGGATAGCTTGAGCCTAGGGGTTCTAGACCAGCCTGGGCAACATTGCAAAACCCTGTCTCTACAAAAAATACAAAAATTAGCTGGGAGTGGTGGTGTGTGCCTGTAGTCCCAGCTACTGGGGAAGCTGATATGGGAGAATCGCTTGAGCCCATGAGGTTGAGACTGCAGTAAGCTGAGATTGTGCCACAGCACTCCAGCCTGGGTGACAGAATGAGACCCTGTCTCAAAAATAAATAAGTTTTAAAAAATAATAAAAATAAATTTAAAAATGAGAAAGTTCTTACCTTGACAGGCTCATTTGGTAACAAGATTACTGGTCTGAACAGAGAAAGGGGAAGTATTGTCAGAATGAAGGAAGAGTAGCAGCAATATTTTATAAGTCACCAGGATTTATTTTTTGGTTAAAAAAAAACGACAAAACAGAAAAAAGAACGGTTAATACTTTCTGAGTCTGGGATCCATGTATTAACTGCTCTTTCTAACTATATATGAATGTTTAAGTTTCTATCTATTTCATCCCCCAGATCATTGTTATGGCATGCATGGAGTATGAAATGGGAAAGGTAAGTTACTTTCTAGTACCTGCTGACCTTAAAACAAAGGAAAGAAGAAAAAGGAGAGGGAAATTGGCAGCAGAACTTACCTGAGTGTACCTAGATAAAACTTATGTCATCTTCATAGTTTTCAGTTTGGGAATGCCACGTGATTCTCAGAGGATTTTTTTTTTCTCCTAAGAATCCTATTTGTTTGTTTTCTCAGTAGACCCTATGTTTTACAGTTAAAAACAAGGTATGCTTTTAAGATTAACAAATCACTTGCCCATTTCTATTAATTAGATATCTTTAACTGCCAGCCAGAGCTTTTAATCCTGTGCCGTCCAATATTGCATCCACCAGCCACATACAGCTATTGAGCATTTAAAATATGGCTAATGTGACTGGGGAACTCAATTATTTTAATTGATTTAAACTTAAAAACTGACATGCAATTCAGTTATCAGAAAGCTGTTTGAGTATGTGAAAATTTTTCAAATGTAAGTTTTATTAAATCTAAATGGAAATAAAATATTTCCAAAATTTGGCATCCTAATTGAGATTAGCTATAAATATAAAATATACACTGGATTTTGAAGACTTAGTAAAAAATGCCAAATATCTGATAATTATTTTATATTGGTTACATGTCAGAATGTTTTGATATATTGGGCTAAGATATGTTATTAAAATTAATTTCACCTCTTTTCATTTTTTAATATGTCTGTTTGAAAATTTAAAATTACATTTGTGGTTCACATTATATTTTTACTGGATATCACTGTTCTACTGTTGCCATTCTGAGTTGACAATTCTAATCAAAAGCAAGGGAACTAGGTATTTCACTTAGCTTGTGCAGCTGTTTTAGTAGACATATGATTTCTGTTAGTTCTTGTGAAATACTAAAAATAGGTCAAAGATTTCTATTTCTACTTTTTCAGACTCCCAGGAAGTCTGTAATTTATATATCCTTTAATGTTTGTTTTCCCATCTTTGGAGATTCCAATAATGTAGGGGTTGAAGCCCAAAGGGGTTAGACGCACCTAACCTAAGGTGAAGGACATAGAGCTGAATTTGCTTCCAAATGAGAGAGTGGAAAAGACTAGAATATATGGAGGGAAATCACTGTATTCTGCTTTGTGCAACAGAAAAAGTGTGAGCGCTACTGGGCTGAGCCAGGAGAGATGCAGCTGGAATTTGGCCCTTTCTCTGTATCCTGTGTAAGTGTAATGTCTGTTCTCATGTCTGAGTAAAGCCTCCAGGGTCTACCTTATAGAGAGCTTGTCTTTGCAATCACTAATACTTGAGTCTTCTTTTTCTTTTTAGGAAGCTGAAAAAAGGAAATCTGATTATATAATCAGGACTCTAAAAGTTAAGTTCAATAGTGTAAGTATAAAATAAGAATGATAAACTCAAAAGCCTATAGAGATCAGGCAAGTAAATATAGATGTGTGTAGCTCAGGCTGGGCATAAGACAATGGGAAGTGGTAGGGTCTTTGATGTCATGAATGAGTCTTCATATTCAAGAGAACTTTGAGCCTGGCCGACATGGCAAAAACCTGTCTCTACTAAAAACACACAAAAAATTAGCTGGGCGTGGTGGTGCATGCCTGTGGTTCCAGCTAGTCAAGAGGCTTAGGCAGGAGAAATCATTTAAGCCCTGGAGGTGGAGGTTGCAGTGAACCGAGATGGTGCCACTGTACTGCAGCCTGGGTGACAGAGCAAGACTGTGTCTCAAAGAAGAAGAAAAAAAGAAGAGACCATTGTTATAATATGTCTTCAATCTATTCTATACCATGGCACACATATAAAATGATAATATTTGTAGGGTGAACAGAAGCTGAACAGTGCATAGAGACTGGGGACCAGTTTGAGAGCTTAGGCTGCCCTAGGCCCTGCCCAGCTTCTCTAAGGCAAAAAGATTTAATATATCAGCATGATTGTGACACATTGGAGGCATACCAGTTGGGAAACACTGGTTTGAACTATTTTCATATCTAGCTATTTCCTCTTGTGAATGGGGCAGATGGGGACAAACCAATAGTAAGTGACCTGAAATCACTTTTAATGGTTTTCAGAAAGCATCTGGTCACCTGAGATCTATAGAGAAGAAACCGGAATAAATTTCAAAAAGGATATAGATACAACTTAGTATGCCGGACTGTTGTCTTGGTATAATGAGGTGGAGTTCTAACCACAAGTTGTCTTATTATCCTGGCTATTTTTAAAATAATTTCAACTTTTTTTTTTTTTTTTTTTTTTTTGAGACAGAGTCTCGCTCTGTCACCCAGTCTGGAGTGTGGAGTGTGCAGTGGTGCAATCTTGGCTTACTGCAACCTGAGCCTCCTGGGTCCAAGCAACTCTTGTGCCGTGGCCTCCCCAGTAGCTGGGACTACAGGTGCTCACCACCTTGCCTGGCTAACTTTTGTATTTTTAGTAGAGACAGGGTTTCCCCATGTTGGCCAGGTTGGTCTTGAACTCCTGACCTCAAGTAATCTGCCTGCTTCGGCCTCCCAAAGTGCTAGGATTACAGGCGTAAGCCACCACACCCAGCCTCAACTTTAATCTTATGAATATAAGACACAAGGGCGTAAATGTGCAGGTTTGTTGCATGCATGCCACTGAATAATCCCATCACCCAGGTAGTGAGCATAATACCCAATAGGTGGTTTTTCAGCCCTTGCCCCTCTTCCCCTCCCATCTGGCTACTTTTTATAGGAAACTCGAACTATCTACCAGTTTCATTACAAGAATTGGCCAGACCATGATGTACCTTCATCTATAGACCCTATTCTTGAGCTCATCTGGGATGTACGTTGTTACCAAGAGGATGACAGTGTTCCCATATGCATTCACTGCAGGTATGACACTATATATAAACCTTCTACCCAAAATGAACCAAATGTCAGAGTCTGGCCAGGACTGTGTAATTGAAAGGGGAAAAGGTTAATAGCAAAAACAAACGATAATAAATTCAACCTAAGCATTAAATTCATGTTTTTCTGATAAGTTACTTGTGAGTAGTACAGTTCTAGAGACTCTTGCTCTGAGATGTTGCCTAGGACCTCTTGCATGACAAATGGGCTCTGGGAAATGGTGGGGTTTGGAAAGTTTAATTGTCCCCAGGTATCTTCTTCCTCAAATCTGCTGGTGAAATTTTCCAGCTACTGTCAATGGTCCATTCTCTCTAGGTATACATGCATACATGCTACTGTGATCTTTCATTTCAGTGCTGGCTGTGGAAGGACTGGTGTTATTTGTGCTATTGATTATACATGGATGTTGCTAAAAGATGGGGTGAGTTTCTCTCAGCAGGCACTTCCCATTTGCTTAGTCTACTGCTTTCATACTTAGTAATTGTTTGGTTTTTCAAAACATCTATCTTCATGATTCATCTTTTCTAGAAAATGTACTTGTAGACCCACTCTGTCAGACGATTAAATTAGTTCCCAGGTAGGTGGGTCTTAAAGGGTGGTCCCCAGACAAGAAGCATCAGCATCACCTGAGAACTTGTTAGAAATGCAATATATATTGGGCTAAGATATGTTATTAAAATTAATTTCACCTCTTTTCGGTTTTGAATGTGTCTATTTGAAAATTTAGGCCGGGCACAGTGGCTCACGCCTGTAATCCCAGCACTTTGGGAGGCCGAGGGAGGTGGATCACGAGGTCAGGAGATCGAGACCATCTTGGCTAACATGGTGAAACCCTGTCTCTACTAAAAATACAAAAAAATTAGCCGGGCATGGTGGTGGACGCCTGTAGTCCCCACTACTCAGGAGGCTGAGGCGGGAGAATGGCTTGAACTGAGGAGGTGGAGCTTGCAGTGAGCCAAGATCGCGCCACTGCACTCCAGCTTAGGTGACAGAGCGAGACTCTGTCTCAAAAAAAAAAAAAAAAAAAAAAAAGCAAAAAAAAATTAGCCAGGCATGGTGGCATGTGCCTGTAATCCCAGCTACTCAGGAGGCTGAGGCAGGAGAATTGCTTGAACCCGGGAGGCGGAGGTTGCAGTGAGCTGAGATTGAGCCACTGTACTCCAGCCTGGGTGACAGAGAGAGACTCCGTCTCAAAAAAATAAAAATAAAAATAAAATACATAAAGGAAAAGAAAGAAATTTTTGGCCGGGCATGGTGGCTCACACGGTAATCCCAGCACTTTGGGAGGCCGAGGCAGGCTGATCACCTAAAGTTGGGAGTTCGAGACCAGCCTGACCAACATGGTGAAACCCTGTCTCTACTAAAAATACAAAATTAGCCAGGTGTGGTGGCGCATGCCTGTAATACCAGCTACTCGGGAGGCTGAGACAGGAGAATCACTTGAACCTGGGAGGTGGAGGTTGCAGTGAGCCAAGATCATGCCATTGTACTCCAGCTTGGGCAACAAAAGTGAAAGTCCTCAAAAAAAAAAAAAAAAAAGAAAGAAAAAGAAAATTTAAAATCACATATGTGGCTCACATTATATTTTACTGGATATCACTGTTCTACTGTTGCCATTCTGAGTTGACAATTCTAATCAAAACCAAGCAAACTTGGCTGGTTGCAGTGGCTCATGCCTGTAATCTCAGCACTTTGGGAGGCTGAGGTGGGCAGATCACCTGAGGTCGGGAGTTCAAGACCAGCCTGACCAACATGGAGAAACCCTGTCTCAACTAAAAATACAAAATTAGCCGGGCCTGGTGGCACATGCCTGTTATCCCAGCTACTCAGGAGGCTGAGGCAGGAGAATCGCTTGAACCCGGGAGACAGAGGCTGCAGTGAGCCGAGATCGCGCTGTTGCACTCCAGCCTGGGCAGCAAGAGTGAAAGTCCGTTTCAAAAACAAAACAAAACAAAAAGCAAAAATCAAAACCCAAGGAAACTAGATATTTCACTTAGCTTGTGCAGCTGTTTTAGTAGACATATGATTTCTGTTAGTTCTTGTGAAATACTGAAAATAGGTCAAATATTTCTATTTCTACTTTGTCAGACTCCCAGGAAGTCTGTAATTTATATGTCCTTTAATGTTTGTTTTCCAATCTTTGGAGATTCCAATAGTGTAGGGGTTGAACCCCAAGGGGGTTAGGTGCACCTAACCTAAGGTGAAGGCAAATTACTGGGCCCCACCCCATTGAATTGAATCATGTCTCTAGAGATGGGGGCCCAGCAAGCTGTCCAGGTGATTGTGATGCATGATGAAGTTTGAGGACCACTGTCCTAAATTATATAGTTACCCTTCCTTTATCCAAAGATGCTTTAATAGATGGACTCAACTTACTGCAATCATACTTTGCGTTCCAATCTATAAATCATTTTTTAATGTCTAATAGGAAATGGGAAGTTTAAAATATGGCCTTTAGACCTACCTACCAACCTCTTTTATTTTATGCAACTCTCATACTTGTGCATCTACTGAATCCTGTCCCTCGTTATATCTATAGTTTTAGACATTTGGTTATACCGTGTGAAATCATTCTGAAGAGTTTCTTTAGTCTTTTCTAGGGAAAATACCAGGCTCTAAATCATGTTGCAAGTGATAAGAAACCTCATTTGTTTTAAAAATGCATCATTTTTCTGATATTACCCCATGTTAGAAGAGCAGATGCCATGGAAGTACAAGACTATGAAAAAGTAGCAATAATTTATTAACAAAATATTGAAAGGAATATTTTCCCCTTTAATTTGATAGATAATTCCTGAGAACTTCAGTGTTTTCAGTTTGATCCGGGAAATGCGGACACAGAGGCCTTCATTAGTTCAAACGCAGGTATGAACTATAGTGAATGGATCAGAACATGTGTCTGAGTCTTGCTCCATCTGTTTAATGGTGAGGCATCCAAAAACAGCTGACTGCTCAGATATAACACCAATTTACCATTACGTGCTCTAGAGTCCATTGCCATTTTCTCTAACTCTGAATATCCCAATATTTTTCCTGTATCCCTTGTCCTGGGTCAAATTCCTTTCATTCCTTATTTTACTGTCTGTTCAGAAAATATTAAGATACCAATGTAATATTACTTACTTCCTTACAAAGGATGTTGTAAAAGTATTCAACAAACTGACTTGTGGACTTGAAATAGCTAGGTCATGTTAATTTGAAATTTTGTAGTGATAAAATTCATCTCTGAAAGCATAGAAAATCAGGGATTTGTAATTTCTACCCAGGATGTGGTAACAGAATATGGAGAATTCAGTCTATGTGCTCGTTTTAGGAAACACTGAAAAATAAAAATAAAAACCATATTCCTATTACCTACAGATAGCCACTATTACTATTTTTCTATAGTTTCTCCTGATTCTTATTGCATGCATACTTAAAAAAGAAAAAACATAATTGGGCCGGGCGCGGTGGCTGACACCTGTAATCCCAGCACTTTGGGAGGCCAAGGTGGGTGGATCACCTGAGGTCAGGAGTTTGAGACCAGCCTGACCAATATGCTGAAACCCTGTCTCTACTAAAAATAAAAAAATTAGCTGGATATGGTGGCAGGCACCTGCTAATCCCAGCTACTTGGGAGGCTGAGGCGGGAGAATTGCTTGAGCCTGCGAGGTGGAGGTTGCAGAGGGCCGAGATCACACGACTGCACTCCAGCCTGGGTAACAGAGTGAGACTCTGTCTCAAAAAAAAAAAAAATTACAATCACACTCTATTTATGTATCACAATCTTTTAACCTACCCCAGAATACCCATACTTGTTCACTCCATTAGGAATGCTCTTCCCTTCTCCTAGCCCAAATCTCTCACTGCCTACAATATTAATTTCACCCATATTTCTACACGAATAGTTTTACCCAATAGTTTTAGTTTTCTAAGTGGTCTCCATTTTTAATATAGAATTTAGAATTGACCCATTCATTCATGAAACGTGTATTGATGTTTATTAACAGGCACTTTTGTGTAATTTGTTAGAACTACTTTTAACTACTTAAATAGCAAGACCTTAAAGTGTTTAAAACACTTACAAATGAAGATGCAAATAGTTTTAGAGATAAAACAACTGACAATGGCAATTCAGATATTTAGTCTAGAAGTTGTGAATTAAAGGGATAAAATAAAGAGCTATTATAATATAAAACTGTTTGGCCTGCACAGATTTTCCACTAATAGCTGGTGGAAAAAAATAACTTTCATGTGTGCTGAGTGTAGGTGTTTTCTATATTCAACCTGTGAGGGAGAAAGCTTATGTGAAATGAAAGCATTAGCTGGTTTAATGCTGTCAGACTTGAAAGAAGGCTGATCCATGTAAATGCATAAAGATTCCAGAAGTATGGAACCTAGTTATATAAATAGCAATACTAATTTAATAAAACTATACCCCATTTCAAAAACGAATTTCATTTCAGGCCTACTTTTAAGAGTTGGAAGACGCTGAAAAAGCCTTCACATTTTGGCATTATCAAACAACTAACTGAACTTGACAGTTGTAGCTGTTTTTTCTGACACTACTGTAACCAGGAAATGGCACTGTAACCAGATGAGAGCTTCCTGTCTGATTTTTCTTTTTCTTCCTTTCTTTCCTTCCTTCCTTCCTTCCTTCCTTCCTTCCTTCCTTCCTTCCTTCCTTCCTTCCTTCCTTCCTTCCTTCCTTCTTTTGAGATGGAGTTTCACACTGTCACTCAGGCTGGAGTGCAATGGTGCGATCTTGGCTCACTGCAACTTCTGCCTGCCGGGTTCAAGCAAGTCTTCTGCCTCAGCCTCCCGAGTAGGTGGGACTCCAGGCACGCATCACCATGCCCAGCTAATTTTTTTTGTATTTTTAGTGGAGATGGGGTTTCACCATGCTGGCCAGGCTGGTCTTGAACTCCTGATTTCGTGATCTGCCTGCCTCGGCCTCCCAAAGTGCTGGGATTACAGGCGTGAGCCACCATGCCCAGCCCTGATTTTTCTTTCTTAAAGAAATTAGCCAGATGTGGTGGCTCACCCCTATAATCTCCGCACTTTGGGAGGCTGAGGCAGGTGGATCACTTGAGCTCAGGAGTTCAAAACCAGCCTGGGCAACATAGTGAGACCCTGTCTCTACAAAAAATACAAAAATTATCAGGGTGTAGTGGCAGGTGCCTGCAGTCCCGACTTACTTGGGAGACTGAGGTGGGAGCATCACTTGAGCCTGGGAGGTCGAGGCTGCAGTAAGCCGAGATTGCATCACTGCACTCCAGCCTGGGCAACACGGTGAGACCGTGTCTCAAAAAAAAAAATAAATAAATAAATAAATAAAGAGCATACTAATGGCTGTGTTGAATGATATAGACTCTGCATTGTTTCCTGCTAAAATTATCTTTGAAAAAAAATTGTTCTTTATTTGTACAGAAATGTGTAAAGTGTCAGGGAAAACCCTGAATAGGCCCTTTCAGGTAAAACCCTGATTAGGCCCTTTCAGATAAAAAGTAGGTTCAAAATTAAGTGCTTGAGAAAGTACAGGCAAAAACAGAGTAGTAATAACTCATAAACCTTGTAATAATAGAGGTCTCATTTCTCTATGGTGAAATCCTTTTGTAACCACAAATTTCAAAACCTTATTTAGTGGTTTACTTTTTTTTGGTATCTTTATTAGGACAAAATTTTAGCAACTTTATCTAAATGCACTGAACTAAGAGTGTGGAAATTAAGTTTCTAAGCCAAGCCCTGGAAATTCCTTCTGAATGACCTGGGATAAACTGTTTGTAAATAGGTATAAATAGCTTATCTACTTTATAGAGCAATTGTGAGGACCAAATTAAAGCATAGACATTGAAGTTATCTATCTATATACCAACCACTATCTCTTTTTCCAGAAAAGATGAAGGTTGCTTACAAAAAATCCATCTAGAATGAAATATTTTTTTTTTTAATGTGAGCAAGGGAAACAGAATTAGAGAAATGATGGTGGAGAGAAAGATAAGAAACTAGGTTTAGAACATAAAAGAAACAAGTCATAAGATTCCTGTACATTAGTTAGAGGTGTATCAAATATTTAGCTATTTTCAGCAGCATAAAAGTGCTTTGAAATCTGAAGTGAACTACGTAAGCATAAGGCATTGTTAGTAAGTTTAATAACATGCCGATCGTCCTTTTGGGTCTGCTATATTAGGATTTGATTGGTGTTCATATTCCTAAAATCTGGTCCTGTCGTTCACCAATTTTTTTGTTTTTGTTTTCATTTGTTCTGGGTTGTGATGCTCTTCAGGAACAATATGAACTGGTCTACAATGCTGTATTAGAACTATTTAAGAGACAGATGGATGTTATCAGAGATAAACATTCTGGAACAGAGGTAAAATTTAAACTAGATATTATGTCAAAAAAATTTTCATACTTGCTTTTGGTCAAGGGATGTCAGATTTGTTGCAGGATTTATCTATTGTCACAACTAAATTGAGAGCGTCAGGTGTGCATAGGGCTGCACTGAAAATTTCCTGTGGAAAATGACAAATTAATTTGATGTAATTTAACTTAAAAAATTAATCTCACTAAGTCCGGTGGCTCACACCTGTAATCCCAGCATTTTGGGAGCTCGAGGCAGGCAGATCACCTGAGGTCAGGAGTTCAAGACCAGCCTGGCCAACATGGTGAACCCCATCTCCAAAAAAAAAAAAATTTAGCCAGGAGTGGTGGGGCATACCTGTAGTCCCAGCTACTCCAGAGGCTGAGGCAGGAGGATTGCTTGAACCTGGGAGGTGGAGGTCGCAGTGAGCTGAAATGGCACCACAGCACTCCAGCCTGGGCAACAAAGTGAGACCCTGTCTCAAAGAGAAATAAAAATTTAAAAATAATCTCTTGGCTGGGCAAGGTGGTTCATGCCTGTAATCCCAGCACTTTGGAAGGCCAAGGTGGAAGGATTGTTCAAGCCTAGGAGTTTGAGAGCAGCCTCAGCAACATAGCAATTGTCTCTACAAAAAAATTTTTCCAAATGGCCGGGTGCAGTGGTTCACTCCTGTAATCCCAGCACTTTGGGAGGCCAAGGTGGGGTTTTGCCATATTGACCAGGCTGGTCTTGACCTGGGATCAGGAGTTCAAGACCAGCCTGGCCAACATGGTGAAACCCCATCTCTACTAAAAATACAAAAATTAACTGGGCATGGTGATGCGCACCTGTAATCCCAGCTACTCAGGAGGCTGAGGCATGAGAATCATTTGAACCCAGGAGGCGGAGGTTGCAGTGATCTGAGATTGCACCACTGCACTCCAGCCTAGGTGACAGAGCAACACTCTGTTAAAAAAAAAAAAAAGCCCCAGCAAAAAGAGAAGGCTTAACTAAGATTCAGAGTCTCATAACAATGTGAAAATACCCAGATTTCAGTTGAAAATCACTTATTATACCAAGAACCAGGAAGATCTCAAACTGAATTTAAATAAGGACAATAGGTGACAACACCGAGATGATACAGATGTCAGAATTATCTGACAAGGATTTTAAAGCAGCCAAGATAAAAATGCTTCAATGAGCAATTAAAAACATAGTTAAAACAACAACAACAAAACAATAAAAAGAATGAAAATATAAAAAAATAAAAAAGGTAAAAACATGCTTAAATCAAATTAAAAAATACAAAGCCTCATCAAAAAAAAAAAAAAAAGAGTCTCAGCAAAGAAACAAGATATAAAGAGAACCAAATGGAAATTTTAGAACTTAAAAATACAGTAACTGAAGCAAAATAGATGGGTTCAACAGCAGAATAGAGGGTACGGAAAAAAGAATTAATGAATTGAAAAGTAGAACAATAGAAATTGCCCAGTCTGAGCAACAGTGATAAAATAGACTGAAAAAAAAATAAACAGAGCTGCAGGGAACTAAGGGACCAAAAAAAAAAAAAAAAAAAATCTAGCATTGGGTCATCAAAATCCAGAAAGAAAATAGAAAGGGCAGGGCTGAAAAAGTACTGGAAGATACATCATAATTAAATTTCTGAAAACAAAAAACGACAAAAAAGTTTTAGAAATCAGCCAGAAAAAGATGACACCTTAACTGTAGGAGGAAAACAATTAGAATGACAGCAGATTTTGCATTAGGAATCATAGAGGTCAGAAGGAAGTGGCACAATATTTTCCAAGTGCTGAAAGAAAATAACTGTCAATCCAGAGTTTTACACCCAGTGAAAACATCCTTCAGGGCTGAAGGGGAAATCAAGACATTCTCAGATGAAGAAAAACTAAGATAATCTGTTACCAGTAGACCTACCCTAAAAAAATGGCAAAGGAAACTTTCTAAACCGAAAGGGAATGATGAAAGAAGGAAGAAAGAACATAATAAACAAAAGTGGGTAAATATAATAAACTTTCCTTCTCCTCTTGAGTTTTATAAATTATGTTTTACAATTGAAGCAAAAATATAACACTGACTGATGTTGTTCTAAATGTATTAAAGGAAATATTTTAAATGATTATAACAGGAGGATGGTAAGAAACATAAAGGAAGGTAAGGCTTCCACACTTGAACTGGTAAAATGATAACACCAGTAGAGTGTGATACCATATATCTGTATCTATATCTAGAGCCATGACTAAAAAAAGGCTATACAAAGAGATATAATAAAACACACTATAGGTAAATCAAAATGGAATTCTAAAAAATGCAGGAAAGAGAAAGCATCAGGAAAAAGAAAAGAGCAATGAGAAACAGAAAGAATAAAGAGAAAACAAAAAATAAAATAGCAGAATGAAACTTGACCATATTAATAATTACATTAAACATATAAGCCTAAATACACCAATATTTACTGGTGGTAGAGTGAATTGCCAGACTGGCATAGAGAATTAAAAAACAATTCAACTATATGTTGTCTATGAGAAACTCACTTCAAATATATAAGAGGGCTAAAAACAAAGGAATGGAAAAAAGTTATATCAGTAAACATGAATCAAAGGAAAGCAGGAGTGGCTATGTTAATATCAGATAAAGTAGACTTCAGAGCAAAGACAATTATCAGAGATAGGGAGATAATGATAAAAGGGTCAATCTGCCAGTAAGACATAATAGTCCTAAATGTATATAGACCAAACAATGAAATTGCAAAATATGTGAAGAAAAACTCATAGAACTTAAAGGAGAGAAACAGATGATTCACAGTCATAGCCAGAGACTTCAATATTCTTCTTTCAACAATTTTGATAGAACTAGACAGAAAACCAGCAAGGATATAGGTGAACTCAACACCACTAACTGACAAAATCTAGTTGACACTTACAGAACACTCTACCTAATAAGAATACACATTCTTTTAAAGTGCTTATGGAAAATATATATCAAGATAGAGTATATCCTGAGCCATAAAAATCTGAAAAATTTGAAAAATTTTTTTAAATTGAAATTAGCCTGGGAGCAGTGGCTCACACCTGTAATCCCAGCACTTTGGGAGGCCAAGACAGACGGATCACATGAGGTCAGGAATTTGAGACCAGCCTGGTCAGCCTGGCCAAACCCCATCTCTACTAAATATACAAAAATTAGCCAGGTGTGGTGGTGGGCACCTGTAATCCCAGTTACGTGGGAGGCTGAGGAAGGAGAATCACTTGAACCCGAACCTGGTAGGCGGAGGTTGCAGTGAGCTGAGATAGCATCACTGCACTCCAGCCTGGCCAACAAAGCGAGACTCTGTCTCAAAAAAAAAAAAAACAAAAACAAAAACAAAACAACCAAAATTATACAGAATATATTTTCTAACCACAATAGAATCAAATTAGAAATCAGTAACAGAGACCGGGCATGGTGGCTCTTGCCTGTAATCCTAGCACTTTGAGAGGCCAAGGTGGGAGGATTCCTTGAGGCCAGGAGTTCAAAATGATCCTGGGTAACACAGGGGGACCCCCGTCTCTACAAAAATTAAAAACTCAGCCAGGTGTGATGGCATGTGCCTGTAGTCCCAGCTACTCAGGGGGCTGAGGTGGGAGGATTGCTTGAGCCTGGGAGGTCAAGGCTGCAGTCAACTGTGATTGTGCCACTGCACTCCAACCTGGGTGACAGAGCAAGACCCTGTCTCAAAAATTAATTAACTAATTAAAAAAAGAAAAAAATCAGTAACAGAAAGGTAACGGAAAAGTATCCAAATCCTTGGAAATCAAACCACACTTTTCTAAATAATCTATTGGGTCAAAGAGAAAGTCTCAAAGGAAATAAAGAAACACACTGAATTAAACAAAAATGAAAATACAACATACCAAAATTTATGAGACAGAAGCAATAGCAGTACTGAGAGGGAACTTTATAGCACTAAGTGCATCCATTAGAAAACAGTATAGGTCTCAATAATCTAAGCTGTCACTCCAAGAATATAGAAAAAGAAATAAAGAGCAGAAATCAATGAAATTGGAAACAATAATAGAGAAAAATCAGAATTGGTTTTTTGTTTGTTTTTGTTTTTTTGAGACAGAGTTTCACTCTATCACCCAGGCTGGAGTGCAGTGGCATGATCTTGGCTCACTGCAACTTCCACCTCCCAGGTTCAAGCGATTCTCCTGCCTTAGCCTCCCAAATAGCTGGGACTACAGGTATGTGCCACCATGGCCAGCTAATTTTTCTATTTTTGTAGAGATGGGGTTTTGCCATGTTGGCCAGGCTGGTCTTGAACTCCTGACTATCTGCTTGCCTCGGCCTCCCAAAGTGCTGGGATTACAGGCGTGAGCCAAGGCATCCAGCCTGGTTTTTTTAAAAGATAAAAAAAAATCGTTCTTTAACAAGATCAATGAAATTGACAAACCTTTTTAAAAACTGACACAGATAAAAAGGGAGAAAATGAAAATTACCAATATCAGGAATGAAATAGGAGCTATGTTGTCCAGGCTGGTCTTGAACTCCTGGGCTCAAGGGATTTTCCTGCCTTGGCCCCCCAAAGTGCTAGGATTACAGGCGTGAGTCACCACACCCGGCCCAGAATGGATTATTTTCTCAAACACAATCTACCACAATTTACTCAGCATGACATAGATAATTTGAGTAGCCCCTTAGTGATTAGAAAAATTGAATTTGTAATTTTAAAACTCCCAAAAAAGAAATCTCAGGCCCACATAGTTTCACTAGAGAATTCTATCAAATGGTTAAGGAAGAATTAACACCAATTTTATACAGTCTATACTAGGAAATAGAAAAGGAAGAGATACTTTCCAATTAATATTTTTATTGTGGTATAATATATCATTTTAATTTACTATTTTAGCCATTTTTAAGTGTACAATGTAGTGTCATTAAGTATATTCACAATGTTGAGTGACTATCACTATTTCTGGAACTTTCATTATTCTAAACAGACCCTCTGTATCCATTAAACAATAACTCCCTATTCTCCCCTCCCACTGGCCCCTGGCAACCATCCTTCTACTTTCTGTCTCTATGAATTTGACTACTGTAGGTACCTGATATGGGTGGAATCATATAGTATTTGTCCTTTTGTGTCTGGCTTATTTCACTTAGCGTAATGTCCTCAAGGTTCATCCATGTTGTAACGTGTCACAATTTTCTTACTCATTAAGGCTGAATAATATTCCATTGTATATGTTTATACACACACACACCACACACACACACACACACACATTTTGTTTATCCATTCATCCATCAATGGATACTTGAGTTCCTTCCACTTTTTGGCTGCTGTAATGCTGTGATGACCATGGGTATACAAATATATATTTGTATCCCTGCTTTTAATTACTTTGGGTATAACCCAGAAGTGGAATTACATGTGGTAATTCTATGTTTAGTTTTCTTTTTTTTTTTTTTTGAGACGGAGTCTCGCTCTGTCGCCCAGGCTGGAGTGCAGTGGCGGGATCTCGGCTCACTGCAAGCTCCGCCTCCCGGGTTCACGCCATTCTCCTGCCTCAGCCTCCCAAGTAGCTAGGACTACAGGCGCCCGCCACTACGCCCGGCTATTTTTTGTAGTTTTAGTAGAGACGGGGTTTCACCGTTTTAGCCGGGATGGTCTCGATCTCCTGACCTCGTGATCCGCCCGCCTCGGCCTCCCAAAGTGCTGGGATTACAGGCGTGAGCCACCGCGCCCGGCCGTTTAGTTTTCTTTTAGAACAGCCATACTCTTTTCCATAGCAGCTGTGCCATTTTACATTCCCACCAACAGTACACAAGGATTCCAATTTCTCTACATCCTGGCCAACACTTTTTATTTTCTGTTTTTTGTTTATTTGTTTGTCTTTTGAGCACAGTCTCGCTCTGTTGCCAGGCTGGAGTGCAGTGGCGCAATCTTGGCTCAATGCAACCTCTGCCTCCCGGGTTCAAGCGATTCTCCTGCCTCAGCCTCCCAAGTAGCTGGGATTACAGGCACATGCCACCACGCCCAGATAATTTTTGTATTTTTAGTAGAGATGGGGTTTCACCATGTTAGCCAGGATGGTCTCAATCTCTTGACTTCGTGATCCGCCGGCCTCGGCCTCCCAAAGTGCTGGGATTACAGGCGTGAGCCACCACGCCTGGCCTATTTTGTTTTTTTGATGGCAGCCATCCTAATTAGGTGTGAAGTGGTATCTCATTGTGATTTTGATTTATATTTTCCTAATGATTAGACACCTTTCTGTGGTCTTATTGGCCATTTGTATATCCTCTTTGGAAAAATGTCTCTTCAAGTCCTTTGCCTTCTCCCACCCACCCCTACTTTTTTTTTAGTCAGGGTCTTGCTCTGTCATTCAGGCTGGAGTCCAGTGGCACCATCATGGCTCACTGAAGCCTCAAACTCTTGGGCCTTAAGTGATCCTCCCACCTCAGCTCCTGAGTAGCTGAAACTATAGGTATGCACTACCACACCAAGCTAATTTTTTTTTAATTTTTTTTTTAGAGACAGGGTCTCATTATGTTGCCCAGGCTAGTCTTGAACTCCTGGCCTCAAGGAGTCCTCCCATCTCAAACTCCCCAGTAGCTGAGACTAAAAGCATGAGCCATGGTGCCCAGATTTTGCTCATTTTTTAATTGAGGCTGTATGCGGTGGCTCACGCCTGTAATCCCAGCACTTTGGGAGGCCGAGGCGGGCAGATCACTTGAGGTCAGGAGTTTGAGATCAGCCTGGCCAACATGGTGAAATCCCGTCTCTCCTACAAAGACAAAAATTAGCCGGGTGTGGTGGCGTGTGCCTGTAATCCCAGGTACTTGGGAGGCTAATGCAGGAGAATTGCTGGACCCCAGGAGGCAGAGGCTGCAGTGAGCCGAGATCGCACCACTGCACTCTAGCCTGGGTGACAGAGTAAGACTCTGTCCCCCTCCACCAAAAAAAAAAAAAAAAGAGTTGTTTACATGTTGTTGAGTTTTAGGAGTTCTCTATGTATTCTGGATATTGATCCCTTATCAGATATGTGATTTGCAAATACCGTCTTCCATTCAGTCAATGGGTTGCCTTTTTGCCTTTGTGTCCTTTGGTGTGTAAAAGTCTTAATCTCAATGAAGTCCAATTTTCCTATTATTCTTTTGTTGTTTGTGCCTTTGGTGTCCTATCCAAGAAATCGTTGCCAAATCCAATGTCATGAAGCTTGCCCATTTTCTTATAAGAGTTTTACATTTTACTTCTTATGTTTAGGTATTTGATCAATTTTTGAGTTAATTTCTGTATCATAAGATAAGGGTCCAACTTCATTCTCTCTCTTTTTTTTTTTCCTTTGAGATGGAGTTTCGTTCTTGCTGCCCAGGGTGGAGTGCAATGGCGTGATCTTGGCTCACTGGAACCTCCACCTCCCTGGTTCAAGTGATTCTCCGGCCTCAGCCTCTTGAGTAGCTGGGATTACAGGCATGCGCCACCATGCCTGGCTAATTTTGTATTTTTAGTAGAGACGGGGTTTCTCCATGTTGGTCAGGCTGGTCTCAAACTCCTGACCTCAGGTGATCCACCCGCCTCAGCCTCCCAAAGTGCTGGGATTACAGGCATGAGCCACCGCACCCAGCCTCAACTTCATTCTTTTGCATGTGTATATTCAGTTTTTCCCAGAATCATTTATTGAAAACACTCTCCTTTCTCCATTGAATTTTCTTGGCACTTTTGTCAAAAATCAATTGCCCACCATATGTAAATGTTTTTTTCAAAGCTCTTCTATTCCATTGGTCTTTAGTCTATACTATGTCAGTACCACACTGTTTTAATTACTGTAGCTCTGTTGCAATTTTTGAAATCAGGTAGTGTGTCATTCAACTTTGCTCTTCTTTTTCAAGATTGTTTTGACTGTTCAGTGCCCCTTGAAATTCCATGAATTTTAGTCTGTTTTTTAAACAAATTATGTAAAAATGCCATTGGGTTTTTGATAAGAATTGCATTGCACTTGTAGATCACTTTGAATGTCTATTTATTTATATCTTATTTAATTTCTTTCAGCAAAGCTTTGTAGTTTTCAGTATACAAGTCTTTTGCCTCCTTGGTTAAATCTATTCCTAAGTATTTTATTCTTTTTGATGCCATTATAAATATAACTGTTTCCTTAATGTTCTTTTCAGATTGTTCATTGCTAATGTATAGAAATGCAACTCGTTTTATGTGTTCATTTTACATCCTGCAACTTTGAATTTGTTTATTAGCTCTAGCAGATTTTTTGTGGAATCCCATATATAAAATCATGTCATCTGAGACTAGAGATAATTTTACTTCCTTTTTTTCCAATTTTTTTTTTTTTTTTGAGATGGAATTAAGTTAGGGTCTTATTCTGTCGCCCAGGCTGGAATGCAGTGGTACGATCTCGGCTCACTTCAACCTCCGCCTCCTGGGCTCAAGCAAGTCTCCTGCTTCAGCCTCCCGAATAGGTGGGATTACAGGTGTGCACCACATGCCCGGCTAATTTTTATATTTTTAATAGAGACGGGCTTTCACCATGTTGGCCAGGCTGGTTTCAAACTCCTGACCTCAAGGGATCCACTCACCTTGGCCTCCCAAAGTGCTGGGATTACAGGCGTGAGCCACTGTGCGCAGCCTTTTTTTCCAATTTGAATGCTTTTTTTTTTCTTGCCTAAGAACAAAATTAATTAAAAAAATTACTTTGGCTAGAACTTTAGTACTATGTTGAATAGAAGTGGTAAAAGTTGGCATTCTTGTCTTGTTTTTGATCTTAGGGGAAAGTTTAAGTCTTTCATGTATGAATATGATGTTAGTTATGGGTTTTCATATATGGCCTCTATCATGTTGAGAACATTTCCTTATATTCCTATTTTGTTAAGTGATTTTAACATGAATTTTGTCAAACGCTTTTTCTGCATCAACTGAGATGTTCAAAATGGATTTTAACATCTCTGAAATGAAGATATATTTTATAATCAATTATATTTTAAGATTCTATGAACCACAATAACATATTTCATAATATGATAATTGCTATAAAAAATAAGGATTGGGAAGCTGAGGTGAGAGGAGGACTTGAACCCAGGAGGTCAACACCGCAGTGAGCCATGTTTGTGCCACTGCACTCCAGCCTGGGTAACAGAATAAGACCCTAACTTAATTCAAAAAAAAAAAAAAAGATTGAGGCCAGGCACTGTGGTACACACCTGTAGTGTCCCAGCTACTTGGGAGGCTGAGGTAGGAGGACTGCTTGAGCCCAGAAGTTTGAGGCCAGACTGGGCAATACAGCGAGGCCCTGTCTCTTAAAAAAGAAGAAGATTGAGCATGGCTGGACAGGGGAAGAAATGTGATTTTAGGTTGGGTGGTCAGGGAAGGTTTCCTTATGCAGATGACAGTTAAGCAGAGATCTAATTACTTAGAAGGAGCCAGCCATGCAAAATTTGGAGCAAAAATATATTAATCAGGGGGAATAGTAAGTGTAAAAGCCTTGACTTGGAAATAAGTTTGGCATGCTAAAGTAATGGCAAGAAAACCAGTATACCTAGAGCATAGTGAGGAGGAAAAGAGTAGAACAAGATGAAATAGGTCCAGAGACCTAATAAGTACCTGTAAAGGGCTGAGATGCTGAAATTTCTAAAGGCAGAGTGTTTTTGAGACTAAAGTTACCCACCAAAGAACATTTTTAAAACTCCCACATTTGAAAAGATGATGATATACACAAATCCTTTCTAGTTTCTATAATACTATTAATCCTTTATTCTGGCCATCTCAGTATATGAACGAGTTCTTGCTGAGTTCAATATTTTGGAAGCTAATCTAACTCTTTCATGAATTATTTTAAATCTTTTTATTTCCTGAAAAATTACTTTTCAGCCTTCTAAATATTAAAATATCTTATTGACATTGCTTCACTGAAAACCAGCCTCTGACTTATTTCTTTTAAAGAGTCAAGCAAAGCATTGTATTCCTGAGAAAAATCACACTCTCCAAGCAGACTCTTATTCTCCTAATTTACCAAAAAGGTGAGTACAATTTTATATATCTAAATGTTGACTAATTGTGTCTGGGAGATGAATCTCATGCTTATACATCATTGTGATGCTAGGAAGCGGCCTGTTTGGGGTATGGTGTCATCATTACGCTTTCTTTTTGTTTTAGTACCACAAAAGCAGCAAAAATGATGAACCAACAAAGGACAAAAATGGAAATCAAAGAATCTTCTTCCTTTGACTTTAGGACTTCTGAAATAAGTGCAAAAGAAGAGCTAGTTTTGCACCCTGCTAAATCAAGCACTTCTTTTGACTTTCTGGAGCTAAATTACAGTTTTGACAAAAATGCTGACACAACCATGAAATGGCAGACAAAGGCATTTCCAATAGTTGGGGAGCCTCTTCAGAAGCATCAAAGTTTGGATTTGGGCTCTCTTTTGTTTGAGGGATGTTCTAATTCTAAACCTGTAAATGCAGCAGGAAGATATTTTAATTCAAAGGTGCCAATAACACGGACCAAATCAACTCCTTTTGAATTGATACAGCAGAGAGAAACCAAGGAGGTGGACAGCAAGGAAAACTTTTCTTATTTGGAATCTCAACCACATGATTCTTGTTTTGTAGAGATGCAGGCTCAAAAAGTAATGCATGTTTCTTCAGCAGAACTGAATTATTCACTGCCATATGACTCTAAACACCAAATACGTAATGCCTCTAATGTAAAGCACCATGACTCTAGTGCTCTTGGTGTATATTCTTACATACCTTTAGTGGAAAATCCTTATTTTTCATCATGGCCTCCAAGTGGTACCAGTTCTAAGATGTCTCTTGATTTACCTGAGAAGCAAGATGGAACTGTTTTTCCTTCTTCTCTGTTGCCAACATCCTCTACATCCCTCTTCTCTTATTACAATTCACATGATTCTTTATCACTGAATTCTCCAACCAATATTTCCTCACTATTGAACCAGGAGTCAGCTGTACTAGGTAAGTTATTTTTTAAAGTTTGCATAGAATTTTAGATTTCATTTTGTTTCTATAGAATAGTTGGTTTCTTCTCCTCTTCCCTCTTCTCCTCTGCTTCTTCTCTTTCTTTCTTTTTTCTCTTTTTTTTCTTTTTTTTTTTTGAGATGGAGTCTCGCTCTGTCACCCAGGCTGGAGTGCAGTGGTGCAATCTTGGCTCAATGCAACTTCCGCCTCCAGAGTTCAAGCAATTCTCCTGCCTCAGCCTCCTGAGTAGCTGGGATTACAGGCGCGCGCCACCACGCCCGGCTAATTTTTGTATTTTTAGCAGAGATGGAGTTTCACCATGTTGGCCAGGATGGTCTTGATCTCTTGACTTCGTGATCTGCCTGCCTCGGCCTCCCAAAGTGCTGAGATTACAGGCATGAGCCACCACGCCTAGCCTGCTTCCTTCTCTTTCTTCTTCCTGCTACTCCTCAAATAAATACATTCCAGGAGTGTTTTAATGCTGTAATAAGTTGAAAATAGCAACATCAAACATAATATTCCATGAAACAGGCAACAATGGAGGCAATCAAGATCTGGTACAGGATCTGTACCAGCAGGAGTGCTTCTAAAGAAGGCACGCCTCATTTCTAGAAATGTATATCAAAGGCTCACAATATACTGTTTTTTAAAAATATTTTTTGAAACAGAATCTCACTATGTTGCCCATGCTGGAGTGCAGTGGTGTGGACATTGCTCATTGCAGCCTTGATGTCCTGGGCTCAACCAATCCTCCCACCTCAGCCTCCCAAGTAGCTGGGACCACAGGGACACGCCACCATGCCTGGCTAATTTTTTTTTTTTTTAGAAATGGGGTCTTGCTATGTTGCCCAGCCTGGTCTTGAAAATCTGGCCTCAAGCAATCCTCCCACCTTGGCCTCCCAAAGTGCTGGGATTACAGGTGCAAGCCACCACACCTAGCTTCAGAATTTACTCTTAACATATAGAAGCAGCTTCCAAAGGAAGAGCAGAAAAAAATTTGATCAA
Organism: Homo sapiens; assembly: GCF_000001405.40. Lineage (NCBI taxonomy): Eukaryota > Metazoa > Chordata > Mammalia > Primates > Hominidae > Homo > Homo sapiens. The sequence continues at coordinate 113,836,581 of NC_000001.11, read as the reverse complement.
TAGCACCCAGATTTTTTGTTGCACAATTATGTGGCTAAAATGAGTTGAACATATTGCTAAAAATTGAATTATCTTCCTGCAGGATTTGGAAGGGGAGAACCTGATTTCTTGCTCTTTTGTAGTAATCTCGTAGATGACAATACATGTTTAGTATTTTGTGTAAAAATTTTATCATATGTATACCTTTACTTTCATGTTTTGTCTCTTTTATAATTCTGTATTTTTGCATATAATGCATATTGTTCTGTTTTACTGATTAGTTTGAAAGTAGAAATGAGCACCCTGTTAGAGATGATGACAATAATTTGATGTGGAAGATGATGAGGGAAAGCAATGAACAAGTTTAACTCCCTTAGGTATATCATCAAATAATTTGTAAAGCACATTCTACATAGATAGGAGGTGGAGAAAACTTTTGCTCTATAACATTATTTATTGTAGAGTTTCTTAATAAATAGTTGTGTAGATCATTTGTAGCTTTGTTGCAAAAATATCTTATCTGGATCTAAGATGTTCCTTCTGTGATTAGATTATTTTATACATTTTTAAACATTTAAATGTATTTTCTTTTCTTATACCTTAAACTTCTCTGAGCATCTGCATCATTAAAAAACAGAGCGAGACTCCGTCTCAAAAAAAAATTAATTAATAAAAACATACCCTTATTTTCAGGGATTGTAACAATATCGTCATGTGCCATCTGGTGGCAGTTTCTTGTAATACCATTTAAAATGTTTAATAAAAACTGAATGTTTGTATAGAAATACAGAAGACTATCCTATACTGTTGTTTTGTAAAATGGAAAAATACCCATATTCTTGAATTTTGTATAGAATGAAGAGATACTGAAATCTTTATGATTTTACCTAATGTATAACTGAACCTTTTACACGTCAAAGCACTTTATAATGTTTTATTATATAGTCTATGTAAAACAAAAGGAGTTATGTAAAAGTTAATTCAAAGCTTCCAAAATTAATATAATATTTTATGTTAACTGATACACCGTGACTCAATCAAAATGTTTTTGAGCTTTTATTTATTTATTATTATTATTATTTTTTGAGACGGAGTGTCCTGCTGCCACCCAGGCTGGAATGCAGTGGTGCAATCTCGGCTCACTGCAAGCTCTGCCTTCCGGGTTCACGCCATTCTCCCACCTCAGCCTCCCGAGTAGCTGGGACTACAGGGGCCCGCCACCACGCCCGGCTAATGTTTTGTGTTTTTAGTAGAGACACGGTTTCACCACGTTAGCCAGGATGGTTTCGATCTCCTGACCTTGTGATCTGCCCGCCTCGGCCTCCGAAAGTGCTGGGATTACAGGCGTGAGCCACCGCGCCCAGCCCTACTTTTGAGCTTTTAAAACAATAAATGTTAAAGAATAAGCAAAAACCTCCTGGGTTTGTACCTTAAGAGAATTTATTTTGCTTTTTCCTTGAATGAACAAGTGTCAACTTTACTGATAATGTTGCTTCAACGGAATTTAAATATAAATTATGGTAAATTTATATTTAATATTAGAATATAAGAATTTCCTTTGGATTGTTCTAATTAACAATTGTTACAATATTTTTGACATTTTGGATAGCAACTGCTCCAAGGATAGATGATGAAATCCCCCCTCCACTTCCTGTATGGACACCTGAATCATTTATTGTGGTTGAGGAAGCTGGTGAGTACAGTTCAGTAAGTATAAAATAAAGTGTGGGATGGGCATGGTGGCTCATGCCTTTAATTCCAGCACTTTGGGAAGCTGATGTGTGAGCCTTGAGTTTGAGGAGTTCATTGAGGCCAGGAGTTCAAGACTAGCCTGCGCAACATAGTGAGACCTCATCTCTAATTTTTTTTTTTTAATTTAGCAGAGCAATAGCAGCATGCATGTGTAGTCCCAACTATTTGGATGGTGGAGGTGAGAGGATCACTTGAGCCCAGGAGTTGGGGGCTGCAGTAAGCCATGATTGTGCCACTGCACTCCAGTCTGGGTGACAGAGCAAGACCCTGTCTCAAAAAATAAAATGAAGTGTGAATTAACTAGATTACTTCTCAGGTCCTTTCAATGTTTTATGTATTATTTGCTGAGCAACATTTGATGTCTAAAAGAATACTATTCTTAAGAACCGAACTATATTCACTTTCTTCCAGGAGAATTCTCACCAAATGTTCCCAAATCCTTATCCTCAGCTGTGAAGGTAAAAATTGGAACATCACTGGAATGGGGTGGAACATCTGAACCAAAGAAATTTGATGACTCTGTGATACTTAGACCAAGCAAGGTCAATAATTTTTTAATGACTCTACTCATTTAGATTCAATAGACTACAGTTCTACTCCTTGTATTTTTAACACCCATCATTCAATAAATCCTAAGCACATACTAAATATAGAACAATGTGCTAGAGGATGTTGGGATAAAAAGGATGTATAAGACACAATTCTTGCCTGTAAGAAGCTTCTTGTCTAGTAGTAGAGATATAGGATGTGTACAAATCTTTATTTTTGCCTATATTTATTATAACAAAGCAAATGTGATCAATGTCATATGAAAGATAAAGAATTTCAAGTGTAGGAGATGCCTCCAGGTTGGAAGTGATCAAGGAAGATTTAGTGAAAGAGGAAACATTTGAGCTGATTCTTGAAGGATAGTTAAGGCAAAAATAAATGTTTCATACTTAAGTAGGAAGCTTGTTCACTGTAGTCATTTGGTAGGCTATATCATGTTTGCTGTGATAATATGTTATAGAGAATGACAGGTGTGCATATTACTTAAGATAAACCTTTTGGAATAGTGTGGTTGATGGTAAAGTCAGAGATGGGGGTGGGAGGGGTTTGTGGATTAAATAGAAAATAATTATTGAAAGTAGGTGTGTCCTGCTTCTGGAGGAAAAATAGAAGTGTATCTAAAAATGTTATGCATTTCTGTATAGTCTGTGAACCAATTCTCTTAAAATTTGAGAGATCAGAAAAATAATTAAACATTTTAAAGTACCTACAATTGCAATGCTGATAGGCAAATATTCTCTGCCTTTTAAATTATAATTCTAATGTACTAGTAATTATTATTGTCATTAATAATAGGCACATATATTTACTTTAACAACTCCCAGAGGAAAGAACAGTCACTCTTCCAATGTTATGAAGTAACTTCAATTTCCGCAACTTACCTCTAATTAAATTTTCAGGGAAATGTTTCAGGTGGGACAGAAATAAGTCAGAAGGGGATCAATTTAGGACTAATTGCCATGGGATATAAAAATCAGTGTAAGAGTGAAAGATGCCATTTCATAATTCAGCACACTTACAAATTAGGAAAAATAGGGTCTACATTTCATAATTATCTCTACAGCTATATTACATATAAGTTCAAAAATGCCATTTTTTGCTTTGAGTTTGTATAATTTGTATACATATTCTTCTTTCACTTTTCCTTTCTTTTTTTCTTTTAGAGTGTAAAACTCCGAAGTCCTAAATCAGGTAAAAATTTCTCTTGGCTTTAGATGACATTTAGCCCTAAGATTGGAAGAATGGTTCGTTAAGTTTAGAGTAATTCACTTCAGGAAGTTACTTGGTTCCCATAATAGCTTCCAGTATTCATTGATTTATTTCTGGCTTTCCCAGACTAGAAATTTTGTAAAGAGCAAGGTGAAGACAGGATTTTAGAATTCTGCTCCTTAATATATAACCTCTCTGAAATAATATATAAAAACTATTTCAGAGAGAATCTTTTAAAACTTTGCAGCTTTTCCACTATAGAGATTTTCCCACTGTTAACAGTGTGATTCAAAAAATTATTTCTGGCCACTTAATTCTTTAATTTGCTGTTGCCTCTCCAGTACTTGTCTGAGCTTTGCCTGTTTCATGCATTGAAGAACAAAAACTAACATTTATTGGGCACTTCCAGGTACTTTGTTTACATTATCACAAGTGGTAGTTGCCCTTAACATATTTATTCATACTGTCATATTATTCAAATACATATACAGATAATATAAAGGTTAAAAAACATGGGCTTTGCCAGGAATTTGAGGCTGCAGTGAGCTATAATGGCACCACTGCACCCAGCCTGTATGACAGAGCAAGATGCTGTCTCTAAAAAACATGACAACAGGCCAGGCGCAGTGGCTCACACCTGTAATCCCAGCACTTTGGGAGGCCAAAGCTGGCGGATCACGAGGTCAAGAGATCGAGACCATCCTGGCCAACATGGTGAAACCCTGTCTCTACTAAAAATTAGCTGGGCGTGGTGGCGGGTGCCTGTAGTCCCAGCTACTGGGGAGGCTGAGGCAGGAGAATCGCTTGAACCTGGGAGGTGGAGGTTGCAGTGAGCTGAGATTGCGCCACTGCACACCAGCCTGGGTGACAGAGCGAGACTCCATCTCAAAAACAAAACAAAACATGACAACAAAAACAAGGGCTTTAGAGTCAGATAGGCTTTAAGTCAAATCCCTGGTCTATGAAGAATTATCAACATGCATAAACTTGGTTAAATTACATACTTTCTCCTTCTATTTTTCTCATTTATAAAAGAATAGAATCCCTTAGATAATTTTTATGAGGATTAAATACAATAATGTCGTAAAGCTTTTAGCGTAGTACTTGTCAAATAAGTCCTCATTAAATATTATCGATTATAATTTTTATTAATCATTAAATAAGCATTTTACTAAGCAACTTCTGTGCACCTTACACAGGGTTAGAATAGGCAGGATGTATGAGAAAGAGTACTACTTAATGCTTATATTCAAATAGAGTAGATAAAATTAATACTCACGTGGAACCACTAAGTGATAATCTGTGTGGCACTGACTGTAATCACCAGGAGTCTGGGAAAACAGGATGGCATTACTGGAGTGGTTAGGAAAGGTTTCGCTGAGTGGAAGAAAGAACTTTAAATAATTTGTATAGACAGAGAGAAAAAAGGAGGGAATTCCAGCAGCAGGGATCAGCCTACCAATGACTCAAAGGTAGAAATGAGCATGATGTGTATGGAGAAATGGTGAGTAGGCTATTTTTTTTTTGCAATAGATATTCTAGTTTGTGAAATACAGAAAATAAATTTGGGTAAATAAGATGTGGGGCAAGATTCTGAAGGACTTAAAAAAGCTAGTCACATGAAATATCCAGAATAGACAGATCCATAAAGATAGAAGCAGATTAGTGATTGCCAGGGGCTGGGGGAAAGAGGAAAATAAGGAGTGATGACTTAATGGGTGCAGAGTTTCCTTCTAGGGTGATAAAAAGTATTCTGGAACTAAATTGTGGTGATGGTTGTACAATACTGTGAATGTGCTAAATGTCACTAATGGCAAATCTTATGTGTATTTTACTACCCAAAGTTAGGCAGAGGAATTTACACCCAAAGTTAGGCAGAGGAATTTAGATTTAATGTAGTAAGTAACAGGCATTATGGGTTCTTTGTTAGGGGAGTATTAAGATGAAATGGAATTTTAGGGAAATAATTACTAGAATACTGTTAACGAACAACTTTAGTTTTCAGAATATTCCCTAACAGCAAACTGGAAGATGATGAACTACTTCAGAGTAGTTATTAAGTATTTATTAAATGCCTACTGTATGCCAGTTATTTTATTAGGTGCTAGAAATAAGTACTACACTTGTGTGTATTACCTAGCATGTAAGAAATAAGACAATTTATTGATAAGACAAATTCTAAGGACTAAACAAACCCAATGACCAATGACATGTGAACCTCTTGTACTTTACTGCATTTTCATTTTCAAAAGGAATTAATATAATAGTAATACTCAGCACCATATAATTAAATGCTTATGTCAGTAGAATACCATCTGTATCTTCAGAAATTTACATCATGGGAAAATATGTCCATTACTGAAAATCTTCATCATGGAAAATTTCAAACACACATTTAAAACCTACCTTATCACACCAATAAAATTAATAATAATTCCTTAATAGTAACTAATATCCAGACTGTTCAGTTTTCAATTGTCTCAAAAATGTCTTTTTACAGTTGGTTTATTCAAATCTGGATTCAAACAAAATCTAAGCATTTCATTTGATTTGTATGTTTGTCTTCTTAAATCTGTCTTTTGAAATCTGTAACAGTTCTCCCTTCTTTTTTTAATATTTTCTTTTTAAATATATAACCGTTCTCCTTTCTATACTTTTCACATCATTTATTTGTTGAAGAGAGTGGGTCATTTGTCTTAAAAGACTGCTTAGTCTTCTAGATTTGGCTAATTGTATCACAATGGTTTTATTTAACATCCTCTATGCCCAATATTTCATGCAAAATGGGTGTTAGATCTAGAAGCTTGATTATATTCGGTTTCAGTGTCTTTGGGAGAATACTTCTGAAGTGAGCTATACATTTTTGATGAATCATAGGCTCATAGGCTAACGAGGTAGAAAAACAAAGTTCTTGAGGCTCCAGTCATTTTTCAGATAATATTTTATTTGGTGATTGTCGGCTAAGATTGATTGATTAAAAAATTATACAAAGAGAAAAGGGTGTTGACTTATGACTTTTAATTGATGGATTTCTCTGGTTTATTGTATACTTTCTTATCACAGAACTACATCAAGATCGTTCTTCTCCCCCACCTCCTCTCCCAGAAAGAACTCTAGAGTCCTTCTTTCTTGCCGATGAAGATTGTAAGTGGTAGCACTTTCTCTCAAAAAAATCATAAAAATGAAAATGTTAAAAGATTAACAATAAAGTAGGACCTAAATGGAAAGGTACAAAAATGATTACACAAAAGAATACATTTTAAAAGCCCCTAATATATAGTCAAAATAATGCCTAAAAAAGCCAAGCTAACAATTTATTATATGTAACATGAAGGCTTAAGAAGGTATGCAATGGAACATGTTTTTCTCCTTTTTTTTTTTTAAGGTATGCAGGCCCAATCTATAGAAACATATTCTACTAGCTATCCTGACACCATGGAAAATTCAACATCTTCAAAACAGACACTGAAGACTCCTGGAAAAAGTTTCACAAGGAGTAAGGTAAAGAAGATAAGAGTTTTGGGAAACATGCCGGAAACTTTCCCTTACTGAAAGTTTCCCCCTCCCCAGCATTAAGATGGAAAATTAGATTAAATATCTTTATTAAAACTAATTGTTGATATTATAACAGTCAAAATTAATAGAAGGAAACGAAAAAGAAGAAAAAATACAACTTAAAGAGGCATTTGTCAGAGGGAGAGGACCAGAAAAAATACCTATTGGGTACTATGCTTATTACCTGGGTGACAAAATTATCTGTACAGCAAACCCTTGTGACACACAGTTTACCTACATAACAAACTGGCACACATACCCCTGAACCTAAAATAAAAATTAAAAAATAAAAATAAAAATAAATGAAGAAAAAAAAAATCCACTTCTCCCTAAGGTTGATTTATAAATGTAAAAGATGCCCAAGGAAACTACCAACTTGTTTATTTCTGGAACTAGATAAACTGAATTCAAAGTTCACATGGGAGTAGGGGGAAGCAGGACTAGTCAGAAACCTGCAAATAAATAATAAATAAAAATAGTTTAGATAAATGTCTTTCTAAAATAATTTTTAAAAATAAAAATAAATAAAAAGAAAAGCAATGAAAGAGAGTCACCTTAGCAGATATTCGAATATGGCAAAGCCTCAATTAAAATGGCATGATAGGCCCAGCATGGTGGCTCATGCCTGTAATCCCAGCCTTTGGGAGGCCAAGGCGGGCAGATCACTTGAGCTCAGGATTCGAGACCAGCCTGGGCAACATGGCAAAACCCCGTCTCTACCAAAAATACAAAAAATTAGCCGGGCATGGTGCTGTGTGCCTGCAGTCCCAGCTACTCAGGAGGCTGAGGTGGGAGGATTGGTCGAGCCTGGAAGGTGGAGACTGCAGAGATTATGCCACTGTACTCCAGCCTGGGTGACAGAGTGAGACGTCATCTCAAAAATTTAAATATAAATATAAAATGGCATATTAGTGTATAAAAAGAAACATATACGAGCAGAGTAAAAGGGAAAGTTCTGAAATAGATCCAAATATATGTAGAAATTTAGTATACAATGAAGGTGGTATCTCAAAATCAGGGGATAAAGATGGATGGTTTAATAACTGTTGTTGGATCAAATAACCACCTGAAAAAAAGCAGGGTCTATTCCTTACATCTATACTAGGATAAATTCTAAGTGGCTAAATGATTAAAATGTTAAAAAAACAAAAACAAAAACCTCAATCCATAGAAGACCTAAAGAAACTTGGAAAGAGTCTTTTACAACCTGGGAGTGTGAATGACCTTTATAACTTACTCAAAATCCGGAGGCCATAAGAAAAGAGATAGATAAATTCAGCTAAATAAAAGAGAAAATGTATGCATGGTAAAACAATCACCTTAAAAATCAAAAGACAAAGAACAAATTGGAGGAAAAAAAATCTGCAACTGGCACCACAGCCAAAGGGGTTATTACTCTAATAGATAAAGAACTGTTAGAAATTCATAGAAAATAATAACCCCCAAATAAAAATGGGCAAAAATAGGTGATCAGATGGTTTGAAGAAAATAAATGAGCATGGTATGCCCTTTATATATTTGATATGTTCAATTTCATTCATAATGAAAAAATTACAAATTAAAACCACAGTGACATATTGCTTTTCATCCATCAGAATGGTAAATTCCAAAAGTTTGATTACACTCTCTGTTAGGGAGGCTATGGGGAAATAAGCACACTCAATGTTGTTGGTGAGAATGTCAAGTGGTACAACTTCTTTTTACAATTTTTTTTTTAAATTAGAGATGGGGTCTTGCTATGTTGTCTAGGATGGGGTCTCCCTATGTTGCCAACTTCTAGACTCAAGCGATCCTCCTGCCTTGGCCTCCCAAAGTGCTGGGATTACAGGTGTGAGCCACTAGAAGTGAAATTTATCCTACAAATATGCTTGCATACACATGAAATGACATGTATACCAAGTATTCATTGCAGCATTATCTGTAAGAGCAGATTACTGGAAACAACATAATTAATAGTGTTAATTGTTAGGGGAACTGATTAAATAAATCATAAATCATGTTATATCCATACAAATGGAATACTGTGCAGCTAAAAAAGAATTAGGACTTTCTCAATATATTTATATATAATTTATTAACTTTTACTTAAAAAAAGGAATATGATACATATGTGTATTTACTTATATATTCATAAGTAACACTGGAAGGATACTAACAACAGAGGATAAAAAACTAACAGTGGTTATCTACAGGAGGAGCATTAGAAACTGAGTAGTAGATTGAAGACAAGGATGGGAGCATTTTTACTAGGATTTCCTGACTTGTAAATAAATCATCTATTTTTTAAAAAATAACTAAAAATGTTACAAATAAATAATGTATTAAATATCTATTCCATGGAAGAGCACATTTCTGTTAGGTGTTAGGAAAACAGAAATGTCATAAAGGATAACTATTTGCCCTTGAAAATAGTATAGTTAATCTGTTGGAACAGAACACCTTTGAGAAACATGAAAATTATCAAGAAGAATAAAATGCCTGAAGCAGATTAAAAACATACATGCTGAAGAAATGTGGAGTAAAGAAGAAATTTGGGTAGGTTCCTTGAAGAGATAAATTAGAGACTCCAGGCCGGGCGCGGTGGCTCACGCCTGTAATCCCAGCACTTTGGGAGGCCGAGGCGGGCGGATCACGAGGTCAGGAGATCGAGGCCATCCCGGCTAAAACGGTGAAACCCCGTCTCTACTAAAAATACAAAAAATTAGCCGGGCGTAGTGGCGGGCGCCTGTAGTCCCAGCTACTTGGGAGGCTGAGGCAGGAGAATGGCGTGAACCCGGGAGGCGGAGCTTGCAGTGAGCCGAGATCCCGCCACTGCACTCCAGCCTGGGCGACAGAGCGAGACTCCGTCTCAAAAAAAAAAAAAAAAAAAAAAAAAAAATTAGAGACTCCACCATAAAAGTAGAGGAAGGAAGTATGGCTAACAGTTTGGAAGGTGGCCTTAGTAAATTGAATACAGAATATGACTGGCAAAAATTCTTGGCTAGAATGGAAATGGCTGTGTATCATGGATATATTCAGAAGCCATTGTGGATTCTGAAATGGTCCTAATAAAGGAGGGAAGTGGGAATTTCATCCCCTCTACCCCTCTGAGTCCCTTCCCTTCCCTTCCCTTCCCTTCCCTTCCCTTCCCTTCCCTTCCCCTTCTCCCTTCACTTCCCTTCCTCTGTCTCTCTCTTTCTCTTTCTTTCTTTTTTAGACAGGGTCTTGCTCTGTTGCCCATGCTAGAGTGCAGTGGCATAAATATGGCTGACTGCAGCCTTGACCTCCTGGACTCAAGTGATCCTCCTGCATCAGCCTTTCGAGTGGCTGGGAACACAGGTCTGCACCACCATGCCTGGCTTTTTAAAATTTTTGGTAGGGATGGGGTCTCACCATGTTGCCCAGTCTGGTCTTGAACTCCCTGGCCTCAAGGGAACCTCCCACTTGAGCCTCCCAAAGTGCTGGAATTACAGGCATGAGCCACCTTGCCAGCACTCCACTGCTCCCCGTCAATATTCTGATAGCATAATTAAAAAAAAATTTATTGGCTGGCCACGGTGGCTCACGCCTGTAATCCCAGCACTTTGGAAGGCCAAGGCAGGTAGGTCACAAGGTCAGGAGTTTGAGACCAGCCTGGCCAATATGGTGAAACCCTGTCTCTACTAAAAATACAAAAAATTAGCCAGGCATGGTAGCAGGTGCCTGTAGTCCCAGCTACTCAGGAGGCTGAGGCAGAAGGATCGCTTGAACCCGGGAGGCAGAGGTTGCAGTGAGCTGAGATCACGCCACTGCACTCTAGCCTGGGCGACACAGCGAGACTCCATCTCAACAACAACAACAACAACAACAACAACATTTATTAATCTTTTTTAAAAGACATGTTCTCACTCTGTCGCCCAGGCTGGAATGCAGTGGTGGGATCAGAGCTCACTGTAGCCTTGAACTCCTGGGATCAAGCAGACCTCCCGCCTCAGCCTCCCTAGTAGCTGCTACCACATTCAGCTAATATTTTTTTTACTTTTTGTAGGGACAGGGGTCTTGCTATGTTGCCTAAGATGGTCCTGAACTCCTGAGCTCAAACAATCCTCCTGCCTTGGCCTCTCAAAGTGCCGGGATTACAGGTGTGAGCCACTGTGCTCAGCCTCTGATACTATTATTTCAAAATATGTAGTGTGATACTTGCATGGGTGATATAAATAGCAAGATAAAATCAAGTAGAGGTTTTGCACTGAATTAAAAATGGCAAGATGGAAAAACAACTTTGTACATTTTCATGGCTATTTTTAAGGAAATTAAATTCTTTTCACTTAAGTCTATATTTCTATTTGATTAAAGTATTTCAAGTTTCACAGGAAAAAAAACTAACATTTTTCCTTTCTTTTGTAGAGTTTGAAAATTTTGCGAAACATGAAAAAGAGTAAGTTGGTACTTATGTTTAAAAATATCGTTTTCTCAATTTTGTAATTTTTATTTATATAACCAACCAATATTGTGAAAAGATTAACAATATTATTCCTAAACAGAGCCTCCATAGGGTCCTATGAATCAGAACAATCACCCATAGGCCTCCTTTTTTTTTTTTTTTTTTTTTTGCTAGGCTTCACAATACTAATATTGGGCAGGGAGTAGGCGATGAGAAGTCTTCTGTTTAATACACAAGAATAATAATTAGTACAATGGCATTAAAAAAATTTTAAATTTATTTTTAAAATTTATTTTAATAGCAGAGATGGGGTTTCACCATATTGCCCAGGTTGGTCTCGAACTCCTGGGCTCAAGTGATCCTCCTGCCTTGGCCTCCCAAAGTGCTGGGATTACAGGCATAAGCCACTGCACCCGGCCAATGTTTGGTACTTTCTACCCATCCTAAGATGCTGTCATACAATTGGATTATTTAAAATTTCCAGCAGTCTAACCTCAGATGTATTTTCTTTGAAAATAGTCACAGCAAAGCATATTGTGAACAAATGTGTTGACTTCATGAAATAAGCAAAGCATTGACACATTTCCATTTTTACTAAGTATTATTAGCAATAAAAGTCTGTTGCTTACTATTTTTGCTACGTTGTAATGAAAATAAAATCCATTGAGTCCTGAAACTGTGGAAAATTATCTTAGAAATCTTATTTACAAATAAAAAATATAAAAACCATGGTGATGGCCGGGTGTGGTGGCTCATGCCTATAATCCCAGCACTTTGGGAGGCCGAGGCAGGTGGATCACAAGGTCAGCAGTTTGAGACCAGCCTGGCTAACATAGTGTAACCCCGTCTCTACTAAAAATACAAAAATTAGCCGGGTGTGGTGGCATGCACCTGTAGTCCCAGCTACTCGGAAGGCTGGGGCAGGAGGATTGCTTGAACTCGGGATGCGGAGGTTGCGGTGAGCCAAGATTGCGCCACTGCACTCCAGTCTGGGCAACAGAGCGAGACTCCGTCTCAAAAAAAAAAAAAGAACCATGGTGACAATCTTAAAAAAATTTTTGATACATTTGGTTAATCAGTGAAAGAGCAGTTATTTGACATTAAACTGGTACTATAGGGAGAGACAAAAAGCACTGAGAAAATCTGATGTAGGTATAGTCTAAGAAAGAAGGTTTCCTTTTGGGTTTTCATTCTATCTCCCTACCCAAAAGCTCCAGGTTCTTGAGCTAGTTTGCTATCACTGCCATTATAGCTGATCTCTGACACCAACTCATGATGGCTGAAGTATAGTTGGAAAACATACCTTTTCTCCTAAAAAGAGTCAAAAGAGAATTTAAACATTTCAAATGGAAATTATGGTAGGAAACAGGGGAAATAAAACAGCCAAGTGCAAAGAAATGAGTGACTTAAATGGTTAACCAAAGATTGGTTTGATCCACCTAACTCAGAAAACAGTTTTCTTTCTCTAGCTCTAACTCTGCCTAGAATATCAAATAAAGAAACAGAAACTTCAGGTAGATTTAGGTTGGCACAGCTTTGAAGGTATAGTGGAACTTTCAGAGATTGAGTCTTATTTCTAAGTAAGAGCTCCCAGTTCATTCTCTGGATCTGGGCTGTGCTGTATTTTTCAGTTACCTTGATCCTCTGGTCTTTTGCCGTTAAATGAAGAACATCTGGCTCCCAAAATTGATCCTGAAGCTTTAGACTGTACTTCATATGTGTCCTCAGCCCCTTCCAGATGGTTCATGATTCTGGAATTCCATGTGTTCTCCCTGTAGCCTGGATCTCCCACTGGTCTGTAAAGCTGGTCCTACTTTTAATGAAATTAGGATTCTTCTTCTGTTATTTTAAGCTAGTATCTAAGCCTAGTGTCATTCATTCATTCATTCAATGAATATTTGTTGAGTGTCTACTATGTTCCAGGCATTCTGTAAGGCACTTGGTATATGATGGTGAACAGAACAGATATGGGCTCTGCCTTTGTGGAATGTAAGTTTGGTGAGGGGTTCCAACATTAAACAAACAACATTAAACAAAATTTGGTTGACCATATTCACAAATATATACTTAATAACACATGATAAATGCTATGAAGGAAAACAAAAGGGTAACTATGAGAGGATAACAAAGGGGATCCACTTTAGAATGAGTAGTCCAAGAAAGCCCCCGCTTTTTTTGAGACGGAGTCTAGCTCTGTCGCCCAGGCTGGAGTGAAATGATGCGATCTCGGCTCACTGCAACCTCCCCCTCCCAGGTTCAAGTGATTCTCCTGCCTCAGCCTCCCAAGTGCTGGGATGACAGGCGCACACCACTATGCCCAGCTAATTTTTGTATTTTTAGTAGAGACAAGGTTTCACCGTGTTGGCCAGGATGGTCTTGATCTCCTGACCTTATGATCCACCCACCTCGGCCTCCCAAAGTGCTGGGATTACAGCTGTGAGCCACTGTGCCCGGCCCAAGAAACCCTTTTTAAGGAAGTGACAACTGAACCCAAAACATGAAGGAGCAGCCAGCCAGCCAAAGGGTCCAGAGAAGAGTATTTCAGATAGAGGGAACAAAATCTCTGAGGTAGGAGATTTTGGTGTATTGTAGAAACTCAAAGGGAAGCCATCTTAGATGCAGGGTAGTAAGTAAAGAGGAGACAGGAGTAAGGCGAAGCTGGAAAGATCAGGGAGGAGCAGTTAGATTTTTATGGGTCATGCATGGTAAGTAGTTTAGTTTATTCTAAGTGTAATGGGAATCCATAAAAGGGTTTTAGGCAGAGATGTTACATGCTCTGTTTCCTATTTATTTTTAAACATGCTTCACAGAAAAGTATAAAACGATCACACTGGCTGCTACATACAGAATGAATTATAGAGTGACAAGAGTGGAAGCTGTCAACTGTTGGTGGGAAACTTTAATTGCTCAGAAATCCTTTAGTTACAAGTGACAGAAAACCTAACTTAAGCTGACTTCAGCAGAAAAGGGGAATTTACTGGCTTGTAACAATGGTCCAAATGATGTAATCAGAACCTAAATTCTCATTTCATGTCTCTCAGGTTAGTCTCACTCTGTGTTAACTCATTCATAGGCAGGTTTTTATCATGTGAGTTCAGGCTTATGATGGAAAAAAAATAACTCTTTATTGGTTTTCAAGCCACACTGTGATGACTAGTGCCAACTGGGTCTGATTGTCTTGACTTGGTTCATTTGCCCATCCCTGAACCAATTATAGTCAATGTTCTGATTAGGCAGGATAGTGTCATGCCCTAATATTTAACACTTATTACATGTGGACACTGTCCAATCAGGAATGAGGTCAGACCTATACATCTGGTGTGACCATGCCAATATACCAACTGAAAATCAGCCCTAGTTATAGGTCATTTCCTTAATCTAAAGGTACAATCAGCTCTAATGGAAGCACGGGAACTGAAAACTGGGGAGGGGTAGTTTCCTAAAGGAAAATTCAAGTTCTATTATCAGAAGAGGGAATGAAGTTTAGGCAGGCAGCATAAATATATCCATGATAGGCCAGGTGCAGTGGCTCATGCCTGTATTCCCAGCGCTTTGGGAGGCCAAGGCAGGCAGATCACGAGGTCAGGAGTTTGAGACCAGCCTGGCCAACATGGTGAAACCCCATCTCTACTAAAAATACAAAAAATTTACCCAGGCGTGTTGGCATGCACCTGTAGTCCCAGGTCCTCGGGAGGCTGAGGCAGGAGAATCGCTTGAACCTGGGAGGCGGTGGTTGTGGTGAGCCGAGATTGTGCCATTGCACTCCAGCCTGGGCGACAGAGTGAGACTGTCTCAAAAAAAACCCCAAAACAAACAAACAAAACAAAACAAAACAAAAAAATCCATGATGAGCCAAAATAACAAAATAGCAGTTTCCTCTGATATATATGTGTGGAATCTGTGCCTCCTTTGTAAAAAAAACAATATTCTCCTTTGAGACAATTTTGTTTTCTTTCTGAAGGATGTATATAACTTTCAGCTCCTATGCAGTATACAGATTACTGATATCTCCTGAACTTCCTCACCTTTACTACTTTCTATTAATGTCTCTATCTTCAGTGCCTACAGCAATGCTTAGCACATAGTAAGTATTTAAATATGAATAGTATTTTATACTTATACTTTATATTAAGTATTTTAATATATTAAGTATAATAATTATACTTACTATAGTAATATAGTAAGTACAAAATAAATATGTATCTTAATTAGATCTGATTGAAATTCAGTATGTAGTCTAGTGATTCATACTCAGGTACCTCCTCGAAAAGGAAGGTGTTTCTAGAATCCTAGTATTACGTATGCATGTGCAAATATGCATACCTAATATGCATATGCAGTTCACACAGTGCATTCTGAAAATGTTGAAAACAACACAAAAACACTTAATATCTTCCCATTTATATGCAATTTGTTAGAAAGTTTATACAAACCTGAAATTATCTTTTTCCATTGCCAAGACAGAGAATGTGCAAAATGTGGACAAAGTTTTTAAGGGACTGTTTTCAAAACTGCAGAAACTGATACATGAATATATCAATGTACATATATGACCTATGAGTAACTTATAAGTTAACTTATACCTATAAGTAACTAAAATAGCAAAACAAAGCAGCATAACAATGCTTTTGGGAGATTATTGGCCTAAATAATAATAATTATTATGTTTTTTTGAGACAGGGTCTTGCTCTGTCACCCAGTCTGGATGGAGTGCAGTGGCGCAATCTGGGCTCACCTCATCCCTCTGCCTCCCAGGTTGGATCAATTTTTGTGCCTCAGCCTCCCAAGTAGCTGGGATTAGAGATTTGCAACACCATGCCTCGCTAATTTTTTTTTGTATTTTTAGTAGAGACGGGGTTTCACCATGTTGGACAGGCTGGTCTCGTACTCCTGGCCTCAAGTTATCTGCCTGCCTCAGCCTCCCAAAGTACTGGGATTACAGGCGTGAGTCACCGTGCCCGGTTATGGGCCTAAATTAGAATCACTTATAATTAGAAAAAAATCAGGCTGGAAAGTGGAATAAAAAAAGAGATTCCAGGGTAGAGGATTATATAATACAAATAAAAGACTTGTCATGGATGAATTATTGTGGAGAAGAAATGATGTAAAAATGTACTAAGAGTGGCCAGAGGAAAAAGTAATATGAAGTCCAAAGCCAAAATGTGAATTTCAAAAAAAAAAACAAAAAAATGCTGATTCATGATATATTGGATCTTATTTCCTTAGCAATTTTCTTTAGTGTTGGGCTTTACTATACAATCTGTTTGCAAAGAAAAGAAACCTTTTAAGAAAAAAACCAAAAATACAAATGAGAATATTATAGTGTCAACCCATTTGTAAGCACCTACATTTTGTTAACATTTGACAGTGATATGTTTATTTGGGATTATTAATTACTCTTAACAATTATATGTGATCTGATCAACAGTCATCTGAGTCTGTCTTTAGTCTTTCCCTTATATTTTTTTCTTTTGATTCTAGGTATCTGTAATTCTTGCCCACCAAACAAGCCTGCAGAATCTGTTCAGTCAAATAACTCCAGCTCATTTCTGAATTTTGGTATGTGTGTTATTTTACTGAAGAGTTAAAAAAATTACCTAAATTACTCATTTACAGTATAACTGATTCAACTTTAAATATGATTTTAGGTTGCATGTATAGGTCCTTATGTTTATATTCTTTTCCATGCAATTTATCTTTTTATTTTTAACCTTAACTACCTCTTAACATCTCACACAGAACTAAATTATCTAGTATATGTGGAAAATAAAGCTAGGTAACCAAATTATTGTGTTGGCATGTAGTAAATAAATATGACTATCCAAATGGAGAAATTGAGATGCTGTGATATTCTGGTTCATATCTAAAGCAAATTTATAAAAAACATAGAAGTATGATAAAAAGAACAGCAGTTGCCACTATTTAATCTTATATAACTAATTCAATAGTAGGAAATGAAGCACAATTCTGACGGTTTTAAGGTTTGCTTACCCAATTGCTCCTAAGTATAAGCTATAAACTTAAAACAATAATTTTATATTCTTCTAAGCATTCTATTGTCCTATGTGATACATATTTATGTACTATTTAAAGTAGTATCAGGTATAATTTTTTGTAAGAATAGCAATTAGTGGTAGGCTATTACTACTAAAAATTATTATTAACCAATCCCCTTGAAAGAGTGTGAGGCCTCCAGGAGTCCCTGAATCACACTTTGAGAACTGCCACTTAATGGTATTGTCCTTACTTACACAATCAAAATTAGGTTGCCGCCACATGCAGACTGTAGGTGGCAAGAAAAGAGGAAAAAGTGGAGGTGTGGCCTCCTCTTCTTACTCTTCTGGTCTTCAAAGGCACTGGCCTGGAAATGGCCAGATCATATCAGCTCATATTCCCTTGAAGAGAACTTAGACATGTGCTATAACTAAATTGCAAAAGAGACTGGGAAATGTAATATTGCTGGGCAGACAGACAAAATTGCCTACACACAATTCTATTTGAGGAAGAAGCAAAGAAGATATTGGTGGATGGGGAGCAATCTCTGCCACGCCTAAGTTAAGAGTCCCTGTGTCATCTTCACAAAATGTTTAACTAAAATTTCTGGATCTGTCTTTTTTGCCATAAAATTTTGTTTGGATTTCATTAACTCTGAGGTTTAAAAAGTTATAATTTAGGCTGGGAGGGGTGGCTCACATCTGTAATCCCAGCACTTTTGGAGGCTGAGGCGGGCGGATCATGAGGTCAAGAGATCGAGACCATCTTGGCCAACATGGTGAAACCCTGTCTCTACTAAAAATACAAAAATTAGCTGGGCATGGTGGTACATGCCTCTAATCCCAGCTACTCAGGAGGCAGAGGCAGGAGAATCGCTTGAACCAGGGAGTCGGAGGTTGCAGTGAGCTGAGATTGCGCCACTGCACTCCATCCCGGCAACAGAGCGAGACTCCATCTCAAAAAAAAAAGTTATAATTTAAAAAATAAGTTATGATTTATATGAAATCATTTAGCTAAAACATTCACACAGAATATTGTAAAAACTATGAAAAAAGCAAGCCAGGTGGTTCATGCCTATAATCCCAGCACTTTGGGAGGTTGAGGTGGGAGGGTCCCTTGAGCCCAGGAGTTGAAGACCAGTCTGGGCAACATAGCAAGACCATCTCATTTAAAAAAAAAAAAGGAAAAAAGAAAAAGAAAAAAGCTCCCAACTTTACCTGGAACATAAATGTTCTCTGCTTCCTTCTTTACTCTAAATCAGTGATACAACTTGAGTACTCTAGGCCTACCTAGCTTAACAACAGTCTACATAATCTAATATGAGGATAAAATATTAGAGAGCTGCCTCCATGTTGCTTCCTCTCAAATATGCCTAGATTTGAACATTTTTCCTACTTAAAAAGCAGCATTTTCATGCCTGTAATTCCAGCACTTTGGGAGGCTGAGGAGGGAGGATTACTTGGGGCCAGAAGTTTGAGACCAGCCTAAGCAACACAGTGAGACTCTGTCTCTACAAAAAAATGTTTTTTTTTTAGAACTAGCCAGGCATGGTGGCATGTGCCTGTAGTCCCAGCTACTCAGGAGGCTGAGGTGGGAGGATCACTTGAGCCCAGGAGGTTGAGGCTGCAGTGAGCCGTGATCATGCCACTGCACTCTAGCCTGGGCGACAGTACAAGACTCTGTCTTGGAAAAAAAAACCCAAAAATCAGCACTTACTTTTTTAAGGCAATATCAATTTAAGTGCATGTTACTCAAAAAAGTACTTAAATCTGAATGAAAAAATTTATGATTCAGGTTTATTTTCCCTGAATTGGCCCACATGCAAAAAAAGGTAGCTCGAAACTGTTTTAAGCTACTGAGAATTGACCAGTGAAAGAGATCAAATATATGCATTCCTAAAATTTTAGGTACTCAATACTAACATATGTCCTTATCTCTATTCCTAGTCCACTTGGGTTACAATCAAGTGATCTGTACTGACAGGATGATTCTGACTATTGTGTGTGAAACTATTTAACCAAAAGTATTCCTTCCATCTTCTTTCTTGCCACTCGGAAGAGTAAAATGTACATCAACTAGGCTGTGTGTCCCCTCCACCAATTTTTTTTTATCATCACCATTAACAAATTTGAATGTGCTTTTTTTTCTTGAATCTTCTTTCCCCTTCCCTACTCTCCTTCTCTTCCAGTTCTGGCATAGTTTTCTAGGTTGGTAATTTTTTCTTTTTTAAATTGAGATGGAGTCTTGCTCTGTCACCCAGGCTGGAGTGCAGTGGCACGATCTCAGCTCACTGTAACCTCAGCCTCCTGGGTTCAAGCGATTCTCCTGCCTCAGCCTCCCCTGTAGCTGGCATTACAGGCACCCGCCACCATGCCCAGCTAATTTTTGTATTTTTAGTAGAGACAGGGTTTCATCATGTTGGCCAGGCTGGTCTTGAACTCCTGACCTCAGGTGATCCACTCACCTCAGCCTCCCAAAGTACTGGGATTACAGGTGTGAGCCACCACGCCTGGCTTCTGGGTTGAAATTTAAGCAACATTTGAGTAGTTACCATAGGCTTGAATTCCTGGCCCCAAGCTATCCTCCATACTCACCTCCAAAAGTGCTCGGATTATAGGTTTGAGCCACCATGACTGGCCTGAGGAACATTTGAGTACTTACTATGTGCCAGGCATTGTGCTGGATGCTGTTTTTTTTTTTCAATTCTTTTTTTTTTTCCCCTCTGCAGCCTTGACCTCCCTGGGCTCAAATGATTTGCCCACCTCAGCCTCCTGAGTATCTGGGACCAGAGGTGCAAGCCACCATGCCCGGCTAATTTTTTTGTGTTTTTTTGTAGAGACAAGGTTTCACTATGTTGCCCAGGCTGGTCTTGAACTCCTCGGCTCAAGCGATCCACCTGCCTTGGCCTCCCAAAGTGTGGGATTATTCAAAGGCATGAGCCACTGCACCCTGCCCCATTCGCTTTTTACACAAATATCTCATTTGATCCTTACATCAGTTTTTTAAGGTAGATAATACAATTTGTATGATGATGAAATTAAAGGTTTAGGTATATCTTTGAGTTTTTCATTTTATTATTCCCCTATACTTCAAACATTTCATTTCTTACTTTAAGTCCCTAAAGTTGCTAAGTGTAAGATAACTTAAAAATACACTGCCATTAGGCCTGGCTCAGTGGCTCACACCTGTAATCCCCAGACTTTGGAAGGCCAAGGTGGGTGGATCACTTGAGGTCAGGAGTTTGAGACCAGCCTGGCCAACAGGGTGAAACCCCATCTCTACTAAAAATACAAAAATTACCCAGGCATGTTGGCTGGCGCCTGTAATCCCAGCTACTCAGGAGGCTGAGGCAGGAGAATCGCTTGAACCCGGGAGGCGGAGGTTGCAGTGGGCCGAGATCGCGCCACTGCACTCCAGCCTGGGCGACAGAGCAAGACTCTGTCTCAGACAAAAAACAAACAAACAAAAAGACACTACCATCAAAAAGAAAAGTCATAAAGTCACATGTTGCTGAAATGATAAAGAACCAACATCATCAACATGCACATCTTTTGAAAGCATCCAGAAATAGCCTTCATTAGTTGTGAAAAATTTTCTCATCCTCCTTCTTTGGGGTGGGGTAGGGGGAACAAGTTTGAAGAAGAAAGATAAATAATAATGTTTACTTACCTACTTAGTTTTTCAGGATTGTTTATTTTTTCTAAGATTTTCAAACATAATCTCTTGGTAAATTGAAGGATTTCTGGACCGACATAGAGGTATAACTAGATGTAATACAATAATGTTATAAGTAACGGTGCTATATTTTTGTGAAATTAAAATTTCCTGACTTCATTTAATGGGATGGAGTGGATGACAAAAAGTCATAGACAAATGATATTATATACTAAATTATCAAAGCCTATATATAACCAGGGTCCTACATTCTATTATTACCATTATTAAATTTGTAAGTGCTCTTCAAATTTAAAGTGTTATTAGTATTCTGTTATCATTTAAGCTTTAGATTACTACAATCCCTTTATAATCTATTACTAAACTGGTCAAGATGCTGCCTAACATTTAAAAAAAGACCATGTATTTGCATATATTATAATATACTCTAAAATCCAAGTATTCATTTCTATACTTAAAACATCTTTCTTTTCATTCAACTTTATTTTTGTTCCCAGGTTTTGCAAACCGTTTTTCAAAACCCAAAGGACCAAGGAATCCACCACCAACTTGGAATATTTAATAAAACTCCAGATTTATAATAATATGGGCTGCAAGTACACCTGCAAATAAAACTACTAGAATACTGCTAGTTAAAATAAGTGCTCTATATGCATAATATCAAATATGAAGATATGCTAATGTGTTAATAGCTTTTAAAAGAAAAGCAAAATGCCAATAAGTGCCAGTTTTGCATTTTCATATCATTTGCATTGAGTTGAAAACTGCAAATAAAAGTTTGTCACTTGAGCTTATGTACAGAATGCTATATGAGAAACACTTTTAGAATGGATTTATTTTTCATTTTTGCCAGTTATTTTTATTTTCTTTTACTTTTCTACATAAACATAAACTTCAAAAGGTTTGTAAGATTTGGATCTCAACTAATTTCTACATTGCCAGAATATACTATAAAAAGTTAAAAAAAAAACTTACTTTGTGGGTTGCAATACAAACTGCTCTTGACAATGACTATTCCCTGACAGTTATTTTTGCCTAAATGGAGTATACCTTGTAAATCTTCCCAAATGTTGTGGAAAACTGGAATATTAAGAAAATGAGAAATTATATTTATTAGAATAAAATGTGCAAATAATGACAATTATTTGAATGTAACAAGGAATTCAACTGAAATCCTGATAAGTTTTAACCAAAGTCATTAAATTACCAATTCTAGAAAAGTAATCAATGAAATATAATAGCTATCTTTTGGTAGCAAAAGATATAAATTGTATATGTTTATACAGGATCTTTCAGATCATGTGCAATTTTTATCTAACCAATCAGAAATACTAGTTTAAAATGAATTTCTATATGAATATGGATCTGCCATAAGAAAATCTAGTTCAACTCTAATTTTATGTAGTAAATAAATTGGCAGGTAATTGTTTTTACAAAGAATCCACCTGACTTCCCCTAATGCATTAAAAATATTTTTATTTAAATAACTTTATTTATAACTTTTAGAAACATGTAGTATTGTTTAAACATCATTTGTTCTTCAGTATTTTTCATTTGGAAGTCCAATAGGGCAAATTGAATGAAGTATTATTATCTGTCTCTTGTAGTACAATGTATCCAACAGACACTCAATAAACTTTTTGGTTGTTAAACTGACTTCATTGCAGTAGTGTTTAGGTAATACTTCTCCAGAAACTAGTGAAATCAAACCACAGTAATTTTATCTGCTGAGTATATATCATTGTAATCAATTACTTCCAAATGTCTTTATCAATAAACAAATATACTAAAAGAATTCTAGGTAACCATGAGTTACTTAGGGCACCATGAGTGCATCTGTAGACCCAGCTACTCATTCCTTGAGCCCAGGAGTTGGAGGCCAGCCTGGTCAACAGAGCGAGACCTTGTCTCTTTTTTTTAAGAGTCAGGGTCTAGATCTGTCACCCAGGCCAGAGTGCAGTGGTGCGACCACTCCTCCCACCTTAGCCTCACGAGTACCTGGGACTACAGGCGCGTGTCACGACACCCAGATAATTTAAAAAATACTTTTGTAGGGACAGAGGCTCACTATGTTACCAACGCTGATCTGGAACTCCTGGCCTCATGCAATCCTCCCGCCTCGGCCTCCCAAAGCTCTGGGATTACCGGCCTGAGACACCGAGCCCCGCCCCGCCCGTCTCTAAATAAATACTTAAAAGAACCCCAGGTAAAAGCTAAAGCGAGGATGAAATTCTAAATGAATTTCTGAGCAACAACTATCCGTAGTGAGCAGTGATGATTTTTGGTGTGTTCTCCGGTAGGCACACTTTTCAAATTTATGCAATCTTATCCTTAAGATTTGAAAAAAAAAAACTTATAAAAAATCTTAAACGTGGTTTTCCATCTACAATTTTTCGCAACTGTAGGGATATATTCAAAATAAATGCTGGACATTTCCAGGCATTAGAGGGGATGTGGCCGGATGGCGAGGAGGGGCCGTCCTCACCAGGACTCCAAGCAGTTCTCGCACCTGACTTCGTAGGCCTGTAGTTGTAACCATAGCAATGCCCCAGATGCTTGAAAACATTTCTGAATTGCGGCCCTATCATATTTTTACAGCAAAACCACCCTTATTTTACATATTACTAAATCCTCTTTTCACCTTCATTTCATCCCTCGTCAAAGTTAAAAGGATGAAGATTCTTTTATCTCACAAAGGTTATGAGAGAAATATTAAATTTAAAATCACTGTGGAGACCACCTCCTCCGTGTAAAATGAGGAAGGGTCACAGGAAGATGATAATGGGAACGCGCCGCCAGACTCTGAAAGCCATTAACATTGTTTCGGCCGTTAGGGCGGTTGGCGGCAACTCACCGCCCAGCGGCGGTTGCGTCGCAGCCAGAAGCGTGACTTCGCGCACGCTCCCTTTCCACTCCTCCACTCAGAGCCGGGGACGCGGCGGGGGCGCGGCGGAACTACAGCTCCCATGACGCTTTGCGCGGCATAGGGTGCTTTACAATAGAAGCTCGGTTGGAGAGGCCTGCGGAGAAAAGCTGGGAACGGCCGCTTCCGGCATGTTCATCTCTGGACGAAGAACGGCCGACAAGTGGAGGGCGGAGGAGAGACTCCAATGCCCAGCGGGCAGTGCGCGGGCGGCGCTTGCGCGATGCGCGGACGGGGGGGCGGTCGGGCCATTTAAATGTGTGTTTGTGGGTGAAATGGCTGCGCAGGTCGGAGCGGTGCGCGTAGTACGGGCGGTGGCGGCGCAGGAGGAGCCGGACAAAGAGGGGAAGGAGAAACCTCATGCTGGGGTCTCCCCGCGGGGAGTTAAACGGCAGCGCCGATCTAGCAGTGGGGGGTCTCAGGAGAAGCGGGGGCGGCCGAGCCAGGAGCCCCCTCTCGCTCCCCCTCACCGGCGGCGTCGCAGCCGCCAACATCCTGGGCCGCTGCCGCCAACGAATGCAGCCCCAACTGTCCCAGGCCCTGTTGAGCCTCTTCTCCTGCCGCCTCCGCCGCCACCTTCGCTGGCACCCGCCGGGCCCGCTGTCGCTGCCCCTCTCCCGGCCCCAAGCACCTCGGCCCTCTTCACCTTCTCGCCTCTGACGGTGAGCGCGGCCGGGCCCAAGCATAAGGGCCACAAGGAGCGGCACAAGCACCATCACCACCGCGGCCCCGATGGTGATCCCAGCTCCTGCGGAACCGATCTCAAGCACAAGGACAAGCAGGAAAACGGCGAGAGGACTGGAGGGGTGCCTCTGATCAAAGCCCCCAAGAGAGGTGAGAGCAGGCAAACTGCCCGGCTTGGGTTCTAGGTCTCTCTCAGTTCCGATATCCCGCATCTTTAGGACTGAAAGACGCCAAACCCCTGCTTACCTTCTGCTGCTGTACTTCTCTAAGCTCACTGGGGTGGACCCTGGATTTCAGATCGTTGACACGGTTTGATCTAACTACTTGAGGCTTCTCGCTCCGAGGCCGAGCTGTCAGTTGCTAATCCCTTTACCGGTCCCCCGGAGCCTCTCAGCATTTGTTTTCAAATTCTGCAAGGTTTCCGCGCCGCGTTAGATTAGTAGGTGGGGTACTAAAAAATGCCTTTCCAAAGAAAAGGCATGTTCCTAAAATCCCTTCTCCTTGTTTTGCTTGCTGGAGAGCTTTAGTTATCTGCTCTCCCTTGCTCCAGAATAGTCAGGGGTATGGTTCCAGTCTTTCAGGAGGGAATTCATATAAAGGTTACACGACTCACTGGTTGACTTAGCTTCTGCAAGGTAAAATATCAGACGCAGTTTATCTTGGTTCTTTTTAATCTAGAGGTAAAAATCATTTTAAAGTTTTCATATTAGCTATTTAAATTCTTAGAATAGGCATGTGGAAGGTTTTCTCTACCCTTTGATACTAGGAAATAGGACCAACAGTGCCTCTGAAAAGTGGGAATTTGTGCAGTAGATAGTAGAGGCCGGAATTTCAGTTGCATTTGATTCTGTCTAGCACACTTTGTGGATCTGTTAATTCCAATAGCCCTCAAGAATATTTTACTAGAAAATGTCAGAGTATCCAATTAAATGTGGATTCTAGAAAAATTAGATTGGCCAGAACTGATGTCTTCCTGTTCCCAAGTACCTGTAGCATTTATTTATATTCTTTGTGGAAGAAATGTGATGCTTTTGATTATGCCGTATGTTTGTACTTTATATATTATTTTATATAATTTACTAGTTGTTTTTCCTCAGGAATATTTGAAATACTTGTTTCTTAGTACTGGACCAGTTAGGTTATTACATGTTAATGAGACAATCTTTCAACCTAAAGTTTTGTGAGTCTTGCATTCTTTCCACGTATTGAGTCTTAAGGCTAATCATTTTTTTTGGTGGTGCTATTTCCGAATACTGTAGTTCGTTGCAAATAATTGCTCAATAAGTATTTATTGAATAGCATTAAATTTTTATTCATTTGGTGGCATCCAAATCTTGGGAGTAGAACTTGTGGCAAGATGACAGGACTGCCAGTTTTCACCACCAATATGCAATGATCTTGCTCTCTTTTTATTTTTACTTTTATTCCCTACTTTCTCATTTCTTGTGTGTGTGTGTGTGTGTGTGTGTGTGTGTTTTAACTGTACAGAACTAGAGGGAATTAGTGATCCTCTGGCTTAAATTTGTATTGTAGAAAAGGAAACTGAGGCCCAAAGTAGTAAAGAGGCCTGTTCAATCAAATCACAGTTAATTCGCATGAAGTGCAAAAAAATTAAATATTTTTTAAAAAGGTGAATATTGGCATAACAGGCAGTAGAACCCAGGCTCCTGAATCCTGCTTCAAGCTTCATCTCCAGGCTTCATGATGTTGCTTTCTCTTCCTGCTATTCATTTTTTCCACTCCTTTGTTTACCTTTTCCCTGTGCTTTGACATTACAGTGGCTTTATATCATCGAGGATCTCTGACCTGGCCCCGTTTTATGGGGGATAGTGGCAATAACATGTGTAATAATTTACAATCTTTCTCTGAAGATTGCACAGGCCCCATGTTCTTTAAAAAACACACTTCTGACCTAATGCTGACTGATAGAACTTTCTCAGATGATGGAAATTTTCTGTATTTGTGCTGACCAATATGGTAGCCGTATGTGGTTCCTGAACAGACTTGAAATGTGGCATGATTGAGGAACTGAAATTTTGATTTTATTTAATTCTAATTAATTTATAATTAGTCACATATGGCTAGTGGCTACCACACTGGACAACACCACTCTAAATATCTGTAGTTTGCCAACATGTGAAGAAGAGAAGTGGGTTAAGATAAGCCCATTTAAACATTTTAACTTTTGGCTGAGAGATTGTTGGATTATATACCCAAACTATATTTTGGGTGAAAAAGAATTTTTTGGTCAAATACATTTGAGAAAAACTGTGTACTGTAGCCTTCTACATATGTAACATGAATTGGCAAACTGGCATTTTAAAAGTTTTGAAAACCCTACAGAAAATAAACTGGTTTAACTTTGTTTAATCCAGGCTTTTGCACATAGTTTGACTGATATCTTTTTTGTCCTCTGAACATCTTTATTGTTACAGTGGTATGCAGGAGGCATGCCTCTGGTATTAATCTGAGTTTAAATCATGGCTCTAACACTTACTGTGTGAGCCTGAACAAATTGCTTTACCCTCTCTCAACTGCACTTTTCCTGTCTATAAAATGGGGTTGTGGTATTTCATTTATAAGGAACTTGTGTGGATTAAATAGGGCATTGTGTGAAAGTACTTACAGCAGTGCCTGGCTCATTGTAGGCACTTACTTAAAACCGGCCTTTATTATTTTATTATGCATGGTCCCTAAAACAACTCTAAGATTAATAAGGAGAGTGGGCAGATTCTTGTTACTTACAAAGCTATGTCCTTCCTTCGCTTATCCTCAGATTTTTGGAAACTATTTTAACTGTTTTTTTTTTTTAGATAATTAATGATTCACAGGAAATTGCAAACATAGTCAAGTCCTTACCTTTTACCAGTTTCCCTCAGTGGCTACATCTTACATAACTATTGTATAATATCAACACCAGGAAATTGACATTGGTACAATGTATATGTAGTTATATGCTATTTTATCATATGTAGATTAGTGTAACCACCACTACAATCAAGATACAGAACTGTTCCACCACCACAAACCCTTTACAGCCTTAGGCACTCCCTCTGTCTCTCTACTGTCCCTGTCCTCTGGCAGCCACTAACCTGTTTTGTCATTTTGAGACTATTATATAAGTTGAATCATACAGTATGTGATCTTTGGAGATTGCCCTTTTTCACTCAGTGTGATGTCCCTGAGATCCATCCCTCTTTTTCATTGCCGAATAGTGTTCCATGGTATGGATGTACCATGGTTCACCTATTGAATCATTCCCGTATAAGAAAGGACATTTTGATTATTTCTAGTTTTTGGCTATTATAGATAGAGCTTCTATGAAAATTGGTGTTCAGGTTTTTGTGTGCATGTAACTTTTCATTTCTTTGGTCGTATGGTAAATACAATTAGCCCTCTGTATCCATGGGTTCCACATCAATGGATTCAGCCAACCTGGGATTGAAAATATTTTCAAAAAAACATTGTCTGTACTGGACTTGTGCAGACTTTTTTTTTCTTGTCACTGTTCCCTAAACAATACAGTATAACAATTATTTATATAGCATGTACATTGTATTAGGTATAAATAATCTGGAGATGATTTAAAATATAGGGGAGGATGTGCATAGGTTATAAGCAATTATTATGCCATTTTATATGAAGGACTTGATCATCTTGGATTTTGTTGCCCTGGGAGGCTCTGGAACCAATCCTCCATGGATACCAAGGATGACTATATATATTTATTTTGTTTGTTTGTTTTTTAAGATACTGCCAAAGTATTTTCTGGAGTGTCGGTACCATTTTACATTCCTGTCAGCGGTGTAAGAGAAATCCATTTTCTCCACATTCTTGCCAGTATCTGGTATTGTCACTATTTTTATTTTAGCAATTTTAATAGACGTGTGGTGATACATCATCATGATCTTAATTTGCATTTCCCAAATGGCTAGTGATAATACACATCTTTTCATATCATCATTTGCTGTCTATATATCCTGGTCAGTAAAATGTCTCTTTATACCTTTTGCCTATTTTCTAATTGAATTTTGTGTGTGTGTGTGTGTGTGTGTGTGTATACATATACATATATATATATATATAATTTTTTTTTTTGAGACAGAATTTCACTCTTGTTGCCCAGGCTGGAGAGCAATGGTGCAATCTCGGCTCACTGCAACCTCTGCCTCCCGGGTTCAAGCGATTCTCCTGCCTCAGCCTCCCGAATCGCTGGGATTACAGGTGCCTGCCACCACACCCAGCTACTTTTTTATATTTTTAGTAGAGACGGGGTTTCACTGTGTTGGCCAGGCTGTTCTCGAACTCCTGACCTCAGGTGATCCACCCGCCTCAGCCTCCCAAAGTGCTGGGATTTCAGGCGTGAGCCACTGCGCCCGGCCCTTGAATTGTATATTTTTTATTACTGGGTTTTGATAATTTTTTGTAGATCACAGGTGCAGCTTCTTTGTATGGTTTGCACATATTTTCTCCCAATCTGTTGCTTGTCTTTCCATCCTTTTTGTTTGTTTGCTTGTTTTTATTTTGGTTGTTTTTTTTTTTTTTTGAGATGGATTCTCACTTTGTCACCCAGGCTGGAGTGTAGTAGCACGATCCTGGCTCACTGCAACCTCCACCTCTTGGGTTCAGGCGATTCTCCTATGTCAGCCTCCCGAGTAGCTGTGATTACAGGCATCTGCCACCATGCCCGGCTAATTTTTGTGTTTTTCAGTAGAGACGGGGTTTCGCCATATTGGTCAGGCTGGTCTTGAACTCCTGACCTCAGGTGATCCGCCCGCCTTGGTCTCCCAAAGTGCTGGGATTACAGGCATGAGCCACCACGCCCAGCCTGTTTGTTTTTGTTTTTTTGGGGAGGGTCTCACTCAGTTACCCAGGCTGCAGCACAGTGATGTGATCATGGCTCACTCTAGCCTCAACCTCTGGGGCTCAAGTGATCCTCCCACCTCAACCTCCTGAGTAGCTGAGACCACACGTGTGCACCACCACACCTGGCTAATGTTTTTTTTTTTTTTTTTTTTTTTGATAGAGGCAGGGTCTCTCTGTGTTGTCCAGGCTGGTCTCAAACTCCTGGGCTTAAGTGATCCTCCCGCCTTGGCCTACCAAAGTGTTGGGATTACAGACAGGAGCCACTGTGCCTGGTCCTTTCTACCTTCTCAGTGGGATACTTCACAGAGCAAAAATTTTAAATTTTGTTGATATCCAATTTACTAAGTTTTTTTTTTTCTTTAATGGATCATGTTTTTGGCATCATATCTAACATACCAAGTCCTAGATCCCAAAGATTTTCTCCTTTGTTTTCTTCTAAAAGTTTTATAATTTTAACTTTTGTATTTTAATCTGTCATCCATTTGAGTTAATTTTGTACAGGTGTGAGGTTTAGGTCGCCATTTTTTTTCTTCTTGCCTAAGGATATCCAGTTGCTCTAGCACCTTTTGTTGAAAAGATTAATCTTCCATTGAATTGCTTTTGCACTTTTTTCAAAAATCAGTACAACCTGTAATGTAACAATGATTTTTTTTTTTTTTTTGAGACAGAGTCTCGCTCTGTGCCAGGCTGGAGTGCAGTGGTGTGATCTCAGCTCAGTGCAACCTCCACCTCCTGGGTTCATGGGAATCTTATGCCTCAGCCTCCTGAGTAGCTGGGATTACAGGCGCCCACCACCACACCCAGCTAATTTTGTATTTTTAGTAGAGATGGGGTTTCACCATGTTGGCCAGACTGGTCTCAAACTCCTGACCTCAGGTGATGTGCCTCCCACAAGTGCTGGGATTACAGGCATGAGCCACTGTGCCTGGCCTAACAATGGTTTTTACAATTTAAAATAGTTGGAACGACCTTGTAGCGCATGGAAATCATACGAAATTTAAACTGTGTCCAGAAATAAAGCTTTATTGGAATATAGCTCTGTTCATTCATATATATTGTCTATGGTAGTTTTTGCACTACAGTAGCAGAATACAGTAATTGAGACAGAGACCATAAGACCTGCAAAGCCTGCTGTTCGGCTCTTTAGAGAAGTTTGCCACCCTTGAGTTCACTTAAGAGACATGTTCCTTCCTGCACAGCAGTTCAACAGTATTTAATCTGAATTCATGTGGAGACTAATTACAAATTATTACAATCTCAGACATTTGGAGTTGTTCATAAACAGTTGAAACAAAAATTTAATCTGTAAATGCTAGGGTAAACTTGTTCATCTTTAAAACAGAAAGAAGTGATTTTCAGAGAGATGAAGTGAAATGCTTAAAATTTTTTAGTTGGTGATAGAGCTGAATACAGAACTCAATTTTTTTCCCTCATGGCCCAGTTGACCTCTCTTTCTGCTATGCACACTGGGGTTGATTATTTAACAGAGATATTTAAATGCTGTTTTTATTTCTTATAGGGAATAAGCTTGAGTGTAACTAAACTGGAGGTTACCTATGTGTTTTGAAATCTTAATTTTTTTCTCTCCCTCTTATTGCTCATAAAAACATAGGACAGGCCGGGCGCGGTGGCTCATGCCTGTATTCCCAGACCAAGGTGGGCAAATCACGAGGTCGGGAGTTTGACACCAGCCTAGTCAACATGGTGAAACCCTGTCTCTACGAAAAATACAAAAAATTAGCTGGGCTACTTGGGAGGCTGAGGCAGGAGAATCACTTGAACCTGGAAGGCGGAGGTTGCACTGAGCTGAGATTGCGCCACTTGCATTCCAGCCTGGTCGACAGAGTCAGACTCCGTTTCAAAAAAAAAAATAGGACAAACATACTTCCTTAAAAATCCATGAAAAGAAGTAATGCTTCTTTTTAATTATTCTTAGTAAATTCATGATTTTAATATGTTGTTAAAAAGGAAAGAAAGGAAGGACAGCCCCCATAGGCTGTCTTCTCCAATGTCATTACATGACCGGATTGCTCATATGTATGCTCTTGTGAGTCATCTTTCTTATCTCATTTTTTTTTTTTTTTTTACTCTTGACCAGTTGCCTAACTGCTATCACCGAGTGTAAGTGTTCCTGAGCCAGATGTTTAATGGAAATTTTCTCTCATGTCAAAAAGCAGGGATTTTAAGTCCAGAAACACTTCTTTTTGATGTTAGCAATGGAGAATTATTGGGATTATAAGGGAATTGAAATAAACAATCTTATTTATCAGAACAACAACTGTAGGGACTAATATTTTTCCCTGCTCACCCTGAGAGAGGCAAAAACACCTTTAAGGGCACGAAAACTTTTGAAATGGCACTAAGTAAGATATTTGTTGAAGTAATACTCCCTTTATTCCAAGCTACCTCAGGTCCATTAATTGTAACCAGATAATCTTAGTTGATCATCTAATGGGAGTGTTGCAGGGAGATGTCTGATAGTGGAGGCGGAAAGGAAGAGAGTGTAGGGTGCAGTATGTTAGAAGAATTTGTTTTGGAGTCAGATAGGTGAGAAGTTTGAATCTTGGCTGTTGTGTACTAGCTTTGTGACCTAATATAAATTACATATCTTGTTTCAGGCTGTTTCTTTCTCCGTACTTCATTGGTTTGAGGATTAAAATAAAATAACATATATGGTCCCTATTAGACATTTGGCAAATACGTTTTCTTTCCTCTTTCAGAGATCTTTCTTATGTGTTTCTCTTGATAATCAAGATGATAAGAGACTTATTGTGTGTCACATATTGTGATGAGGGCCTTATAGTCATTGTCTCATTTAATTCTTAAAATAACTCTGTGAGATAGACTCTAGAATTAATAACTTTTTTTTTTTTCTGAGACGGGGTTGCCCAGGCTGGAGTGTAGTGAAGTGATTATAGCTCACTGTAACCTCGAACTCCTGGGCTCAAGCGATCCTCCCACCTCAGCCTGTAGCTAAGCCTAGCTCACTCCTGCAGCTAGGACTACAGGCATGCACCGCCAAGCCCAGCTAACTTTTTTTTTTTTTTTTTTTTTGTAAAAATGGGGTCCTGCTGTGTTGCTCAGGCTGGTCTTGAATTCCTGGACTCTAGCAGTCTTCCTGCCTCAGTCTCCCAAAGTGCTGGGATTACAGGCATGAGGCACTGTACCTGGCCTATTATAACATTTTAAGATGAGAAAATTTAGATTTAAAGAGATTTATGAGCTTACCCAGAGACCTTAGTAAACAATAGAGCTGGGACATTGACTTAGGTCTATCTAACAGTACAGCACCTGTTCTTATCTTAAATAGTACACTCTACTGCCTCTAGAATTCAACTGTTTTTGGCAATAATAGTAGTTATGATGTATTGAGTATTTATTATGTTCTAGGACTATTATAAGTACTTCACATGCGTTTTTCATTTACTCTGCACACTAATTTTATAATGAGATACTGTTCTTTCCTCCGGTTTTACCAATGAGAAGCAGTGCAAAGAATTAACTTGCAAAAAGATATGCTATCTCATTCATTATTGTTGGGAATACAAAATGATACAGCCACTTTGGAAGACAGTTTGGCAGTTTCTTAACAAAACTAAACATACTATACGATCCAGCAGTCATACTCTTTGATATTTACCCCGAGGAGCTGAAAATTTGTGTCCACACAAAAACCTGTAGATAGGTGTTCATAATAGGTTTATTCATAGTTACCAAAACTTGGAAGCAATCAAAATGTCCTTCAGTAGGTAAATGGATAAACTGTGGTACATCCAGACAGTAGAATATTATTCAGTGCTAAAAAGAAATGAGCTATCAAGCCATAAAAAGACATGGAGGAACCTTAAATGCATATTACCAAGTGGAAGAAGCCATCCTGAAAAGGCTGCACATTTTATGATTCCAATTATATGACACTCTGGAAAAGGCAAAACTATCAAGAAAGTTAAAAGATCAGTGGTTGCTAGGGGTTTTAGAGAGGGTTGCATGAATAGGCAGAGCACAGAGCATTTTATAGGACAGTGAAACTACTCTTTATGCAACTTAATTAATGGTGGATACATGTCATACATTTATCCAAACCCTCAGAATGTACAACAAGAGTGAACCTGAATGTAAACCATGGACTGCGGGCAGGCGAATAATGATGCATCAATGTAGACTTATCAGTTGTAACAAGTATTCCACTCTGGCTGGGGGTGATGATAATCAGGGAGACAGACTATGCATTTGTGGGAGCCAGGTGTGGTTATAGTTCTAGGAACCTGAAACTGCTCTAAAAAAAAAAAAGTAAAGGCTTAGGGAAAAAAAAGTTCTAGAAAGTATACTTCTAGAAAGTATACTAGAAAGTTATAGAACAGGGATTTAAACCTAGACAGCGCTCTTAAAACACCATAATATAGAGAGATGGTGGGTAAAGTAAGGCAGTGTTAAAAACATACAATGATTCACAAATGTTTGGCTTTCAAAATGAGTAGTTTTTTGTTTTTCCTTTTTAGTCAGGTATTTATATAGAACTGGAAGAACTCTCAAGAAGACTGAAAATAATTTATTTTCAGGAAACAACTTTAGTCCTTTAAAAAATCATGAATAATAAGATGTAAGCAATTACACTTGTTTTGCTTTTGTTCATCTACTGTGATTTTTACGAACTGAAGATACTACCTTTTTTTTTTTTTTCCGACTTCTAAGCCATAATTAGAGTATAAGAATTGCTGTTAAGACCTTAAGTTTTGTAGGCCGGGCATGGTGGCTTATGCCTGTAATCCCAGCACTTTGGGAGGCCGAGGCGGATAGATCACTTGAGGTCAGGAGTTTGAGACCAGCCTGGCCAACATAGTGAAACCCTGTCTCTACCAAAAAATACAAGAATTAGCTGGGCATGGTGATGTGCACCTGCAGTCCCAGCTACTTGGGAGGCTGAGGTGGGAGAATCACTTGAACTTGGGAGGCAGAGGTTGCAGTGAGCCGAGATTGCGCCACTGCCCTCCAGCCTGGATGAGAGTAAAACCCTATCAAAAAAAAAAAAAGAACTTAATAATATAGAAAGCTGTTTTTTTGCATTAATGAAAACTTTCAATTGTGTGAAATCAGATGACATTAATTGATAATATTGGTAGTATTAGCACATATGAGGATCTTATTAATAACGTCATGTATTAATAGTTACCTTTTTAAAGACAGCCAGCAATTTGTTTCTTAAGTGAATGTATCTTCCTCTGTAGAATTATGTATTTCTCTTTATATGTAATCACACAGTTGGATAGGTGAAAGTTTTTCTTAATCACAGGTATAGTGTAGGTTGGCTCTTTTTCTGTAAAGAACTGTAGTCAATAAATTTTAGCTTTTGCACTATGGGGAAATACTAAAAATGTGCTGAATAGATTCTCTGTTGGAAAGCTAAAACCAGAAATAGAAAAGTTGTGAAGAAGACTTTGGACACTGACTTTCAAATAACGTTTTAAATTCAAGGCAGGGCAATTGTTATTTTTCTCATAAAGCAACAGTGGCCAGTGTTTGATAATAACCTTTGATAACTTGTTTATACATATGCCATTCTCAATTAGTTGCCACCACGGTAATTCAATAATAAATTTTGTTTACTCATGGAGATTTGTTAGCCAGTATGAAATGGGTAGTCTTAAATTTCTCTGTAAAAAAAGTCAAGCTTTCTGTATCTTACCCTAAGTTAGATAAAAGTCAAAAGCTGAGGCCGGGCGTCGTGGCTCACGCTTGTAATCCCAGCACTTTGGGAGGCTGAGGTGGGTGGATCACTTGAGGTCAGGAGTTTGAGACCAGCCTGGCCAACATGGTGAAACCCTGTCTCTACTAAAAATACAAAAAATTAGCCGGGTGTGGTGGTACATGCCTGTGATCCCAGCTACTCAGAAGGCCGAGAGGCAGGAGACTCTCTGGAACCTGGGAGGTGGAGGCTGGAGTGAGCAGAGATCACGCCACTGCACTCCATCCTGGGCAACAGAGAGAGACTCTGTCTCAAAAAAAAAAAAAATTGAAAAACAGGATTAGTGAGAAGATAGATTGAAATTTACTTCATATTTAAAATTTTTATCATGTTGATTTATGAGATTACAATGTAAGATTCTTTTCTTTATACAGTGGTTTTCTCTTTTTTTGTTTTTTTTGTTGTTTTTTTTTGAGATGGGCCATGTTGGACTAATTGAATGGTTTTCATATAAGTGAATTTTGTGAAACTCGTATAAGTGAAACCCACAGAGACTTGACCAAGTTAGAAATACCACTGGAAAGTTGATAGTAATACAGAAAATGTGTTACAATCAACGCAGTTCTTTCTTGGTGCTAATTTCAGTGGCAGATCTAGGTCACAATTCATTTTCTGCATACCAAATACCTCTTCCGAAGCTTAAAATAACAAGATCTATTTGGAGATATTTTCTTTTCTTGTTTTCCTGTGAAATTGCTAAAACATTAATAGAAGAGAGTAATTAGATGACTATTTTTAAATTGGTCTAACCTTTATATTGAATGGCATTAACATTTAGTTGCTTGGGAGAATTGCCTAAATTACTGATTTGATATTGGGGAAAGTATTTAGATGAATTTTATTTGGTAAGAAGTATACTTCTTACCAAATAAATGACTATTACTAAGTGTTTAATTCTCAAATATCTCAAATATTTAGTTGTATATAGAATAAAAGATGACTTTTTCTCTTGCCAGGTTAACAGTATTCTGATTAAATGTAAATTTTGCTATCTTATTACAGTTTAATTACAAGTGATATTTGCAAATAAACGGTTTTCATTTTATTGTTCTTAGAAGGAAATATTATTTGGCATTAGTAAAGTCTTTGACTTGCTTTTTTAAGTATTTTCTTTAGAAGGTTTCGTAACCCTTGTAGTAGCTAATTGACTTGAAGTGATTTTATATGGAGTATTGGAACTGTCATATATTTACATATTGTACCAAGTAAATTCTTAACTCTAAAATTTGTTGAACTTGTTTTTCTAGATGTAAAAATAGGATTAATTGGAATATTTGTCTTAACTCCAAATTACTTCAATTATGTTAGAAAAAACGATTGTTTGGTGGGTAAATTCTATGCAGTAAATACTAGACCAAACTTGAAGGTTCGTCAGGACTCTACCTGGTATTTAATCCTGAAAGTTTCCTGCTAGGTATATTTTCCAATTAGTAAACAAAAGATGCCATTCCATCTTGGGCTTGTCAATCCATGATAATCCTTTAAAACTTAAAAATAAGTTTTTAAATTATAAAAGTAATATGTTTATTTTAGAAAATTAGAAAATACAGATAAGCAGAAAAGCTAGACATTTAGAATTCTACCACCAATAGATAACTACCATTAATAGCTTGGTATATATTTCTCCAGATATTTTTCTGTGTGTGTGTGTGTGTGTGTGTGTGTGTGTGTGTGTGTGTGTGTGTAAAGCATCTATAGATCAGACAGACTTCTTCATCTCTTTAGGTCCTTTTCTTCTTTCTGGGAATATTTTCTCCTAGACCTTTACATGCCTGGCTTGTCTTATTCTTTAGGAATCACTCTTAATGTTACCTCCCCAAAAGAGCTTCCCCCAAACTTAATGCATCCCACTTATCACTATCTGGTACTTTCTTTTTCTTGTACAATTAGATCATAAGACCCAAGAGATGCCAGGCACCATGGGTCACACCTGTAATCCCAGAACTTAGGGAGGTAGAGGCAGGAGTATAGCTTGAGCCCTGCCTGGGCAACATATGGAGACTCCATACTCCTCAAAAAGCGGGGAGAAAAAGATCCAAGAGATTGGGGATTGTGTATGTCCTAGTCAGCATTATGGTCCTAGCACTTAGTAGGTACTTAAATGTTTGGATGAATTAATGTTTATATAAAAATGGGATCAGAATGTACATGTGTTAAGTGCTCAGGAGAGAAAGGTAAGGTATACATCACTGAACTTAGATTGCTGACAGTCTAGGGGAGGGTGTAAAATGAAATGTTAATAACACAGAGTATAAGTGCTGAGATGGGGATACAAAGCTTAAGGGAGCCCATAGCAGGAGTAGCTATCCAGATTGGGTGGGGAAGAAAAGGCTTTCTGAAAGAATGAGTCTAAGCATTTTGTAACCTTCTAATTTTTATGTCAGTTTTTTCATCTATAATATACTTTACAATGGCTGAGTAGTGTTTTATAATATGTAACTACCAGAGTTTAATCAGTCCCCTGTTATTAGACATTTAGGAGCATTCCCTGTTGTGTCGTTTTAAATAATACTGTAATGGATATCTTTATATAATCTTCAATTATTTTCTTAGATAACTTTTACTTGGAAGTGGAATTTCTGGGTCTGAGGATTAGAAATATTTTTTAAGACTTTTAACATGTATCATGAAATTGCCCTTCAGAAAGTTGTACCAGTTTATACTTCCAGCAGTAGTAGTTGAGAATGACCAGAAACCGCAGACTTTGCCAACTTGATAGGAAAAAATGATATCTCATGGCTTACTTTGCCTTTGTTGATTTACCTGTATGTATCATAGTAATTCATAGGCTGACAGCAAAATATGCCTAGCTTAAATTTAAATTTTATGATGATAACTGAACAAAAGAATCTATGTTGTTACATAGATTTCAGAATCATCATATTTAGCTATCGTATAATGTTTCATACCATTGCTATATCATGATTTATTTAACCATTCTCTGTTTTTTGGATGTGTGAATTATTTCTGATTTTTCTCCATTATCAGTAATATACTGCTTTGAAAAATGGATACCTTCAATTTTATTCTTTTCTTCAATCCAGAATATTAT
Organism: Homo sapiens; assembly: GCF_000001405.40. Classification (NCBI taxonomy): domain Eukaryota; kingdom Metazoa; phylum Chordata; class Mammalia; order Primates; family Hominidae; genus Homo; species Homo sapiens. Next base: position 113,798,198 of record NC_000001.11, on the reverse strand, counting down.
TATATTTAAGATCTCTGTCTCATTTGTTTTCTAAACACGTAAGTTGTAATAGCAAATTCAGAGAAATTGAGGATAGGCTATTTAATGAGATCAAGTACCTTAAGAAGCTTGTATGTTGACACTAGTCCTAGCAACTAACTTCTTTTTAATTATTGTGGCCAGAAACACCAGATGAAAATGGTAAAACCCAGAGAGCCGATGATTTTGTCTTGAAGAAAATAAAGAAGAAAAAGAAAAAGAAACACCGAGAAGACATGCGAGGAAGACGCCTTAAAATGTACAATAAGGAAGTACAAACCGTCTGTGCTGGCCTGACCCGCATCAGTAAAGAAATTCTCACCCAAGGACAAATAAATAGCACTTCAGGACTTAATAAGGAGTCCTTCAGGTATCTGAAAGATGAACAGCTGTGCCGATTAAATTTGGGTATGCAAGAATATCGGGTACCCCAGGGAGTACAAACACCTTTTATGACTCACCAGGAACATTCTATTCGTAGAAATTTCTTAAAAACAGGTACTAAATTTAGCAACTTTATTCATGAGGAACACCAGTCCAATGGTGGTGCTCTTGTCCTTCATGCTTACATGGATGAACTCTCATTTTTGTCTCCAATGGAGATGGAGAGATTTTCTGAGGAGTTTCTTGCTTTGACATTCAGTGAAAATGAGAAAAATGCTGCTTACTATGCTTTAGCAATAGTGCATGGAGCGGCTGCTTATCTCCCAGACTTCTTGGACTACTTTGCTTTTAATTTCCCCAACACTCCAGTGAAAATGGAAATTCTGGGCAAGAAAGATATTGAAACAACCACCATTTCAAATTTTCACACTCAGGTAAGATAAAAATTGTTGTTAAAAATTAGTAAATACGATTCTAAACAGAATTAACCTCTTTCTGTCGCACAGCACATACCAGCACATTTTTGATAACAAATTTATGGTAATAAAGGTGCTTCAAATTGTTTGTCTCTTCCTCTAATTGAAAAATCTTAATTACTGAGTTCGGGTGGGGCTTCTTCTTTACTGGAGGGAATGCTTTATACATGTTATACATCATTACAAATCTTTATGGAAAACTAGCTTGAAAACTTACCTGGTCTTTCACAAATCGGGTAATGTTAGTATGGAGGATGTGATTGAGATCTGTTAGTCTCAGGATAACTTTAGTTAAGATTTGCTTTTATATCATAATAAAACACGTGAGGGCATGGGCCTGTTTATATGCCAGGTTTTTGGAGTTTTTATATCTCTTTCAGTAACTTGTTGGCAGTCCATCCCAGAAATATACCCCATTTATGTGACTTGGAAGTGTCATTAGGAAGACCGCCATAGCCTCTGCTCCTTCTGCCTATACATTGTTGTAGGTGAAGACATTTTTTGAAGCCTTGCATGGGCAGCTAGGCTTAAGTCAGCAGGGAAACGTCTGCTTCTTAACCAGTGGTTTTAACCAAACATTTTTTTCAGTGAAGTTATTTTAGGGAATAAGAAGTTAATAATGTGTCCTAGTTTTTTTCTTACTTGCTTTTCTCGTAAGAATTGAATATAAATGGTCAGCTATAAGTTTCTGCAGTATATATTATAAATTCAACTTTAGTGGAGACTTTCACTTTTTAAACTTTTATGATTATATGTTCTGTTTTTTCAGGTTGTCTAGTAATTTGCTGCCATTCTTTTCCCTTAATATATATATATTTTTTTAGGTAAATAGATTGTTGCCGTAATAAGACTCTCAGCTGCCTGAATTATAGTGGTTTCAAGCCACTTAGATTTATTTGAAACCTCCTCTAACTTGAATCTTTTTAGTGAGTCTTACCATCTTTGCCTCCAATGAGGGGAGTATCCAGTTTAGATTTATGAGCTTCAGAATTTCTCTAATTGAAGTTCTCTCTGCAGTAGAGAGAGCAGGAGCAGCCAATGTGGAGAGGTCGCAAGATGGG